>NC_000010.11:36399930-36704212 GCF_000001405.40 Homo sapiens | reverse complement strand
AAAGGAAAATAATGTAGATGGAAAATGGAAACGAGATCCTGGCAAGTAATTGCATTTCTGTTTTATCAGAGATAAAAGATAGAGTCTTTCCAATAGTCCTTCAGATGTTTCTCTTGTGAGCATTTGAATATAACTCCAATGTGTGGAACAAAACATCCACCTACTTGGATTAAAGTTCATCCTGTAGAAAGAGCTAATGTCACGACTGCAAATGTGCCTTTGCAGCATAAACACGTCAGAGGTCTTAGTGTCATAGAAGCTAGAAGTCAGTCAAAAGAGTTGGTTTTGACATCACAGTTCTCAACCAAAATAAAATTCCAAAAAGAGACTGGAAAATGTTCCACTGGTAATTTAAATATAAGCTGTAGGTGCTTTCATTTTATACCCAGCCACTTCACAGCAAAAAGACATTTTTTATTGCGCAGACGGAAATAATACATCTTGAAAGCCAAAATCCTGAAATCAGTTTAAGGCTTACAAAATACATTTATAAGATATTGCTTGAGTATGACAAAATTTTACTTACGTATACCTATCTTTAAGTCTTTCCTCATAATAACTGAATCTTGTCTATATCAACATTCATTCTTTCCAAATTCTAAAATTAGCAAAAGTCTATTTTTGCTCTAAAATACACATTTCAAATTTAATTTCATACAAATGCCAATTCTAATTCTCATTTTTTCCTTAGCAAGCAAGTGTCCCAACCTCATGATTTTTTGCCAAGCCTTGGCCAAGCAATGTTGTATTTAAAAACCAAACAACATAGACTTGTTCAAACTCTCAGAACGTTTGAGCCTGCAACTCCAGGAAAGCCTTTATCTAAAACCAATGAACTTTTCAGGGCTGTTGAAAAATGGCCAGAGGGGCCAATTAGCTGTTGCACAATTGGAATCTTCCTGACGCTTTGTCAATAATTTATAAAATGGAGAGGGCGGAAGGGGTCACTGTCACTGAGGGGAAGTTAAAATTAAAATGTTCCTCTTACATATTGTGCTCTAGAAAGCAAGAGGATAATTTTTTCTCCTGAATAAATTCATTTTGATGTAAATCAGACAATAAATTGTATTTTATCAAAAGCTAACAATTGTGCAGCAGTTATAATCTGATTTTATATACTCTCTTTCTTACCTGCCTTAGATTTCAAATTGTTGGTTGATGCAAATACGTCGTTTTAATTTTTTTCCTCTATTTCTATTTCTATCCATTCCTATAATTGTATCTATTCCCATTGCTTCATTTCCTTGAAGAGAAGAAGAATCAATCTTTATTTTTTTCTTTTTTCACTCAATAAATGAAGAAACTCGGTAGACAAAAATATTTTTCACTTACCTTTGGATATAAGGCTTAAAATTTTATATTATTCACAAGGAAATGAATGTGAATTTTTCATTCTATTTCCTTTTTAGCATAACCTGAAACTAAGGGTCCTATCATGAAAGTCCAACATTCAATTTAATTCTTAAACTTCTTGACAAATATGACAAAAATTATATGAAGCTTTTGTCATTTGGTAAGCTCATAAAAAGGCAGGATCAACTGAAAATGGCTGTATTTACAGAACATGAAGGCTGGGTGCAGTGCCTCACGCCTGTAATCCCAGCACTTTAGGAGGTCGATGCGGGAGGATCACCTGAGGCTGTGAGTTTGAGACCAGCCTGATCAACGTGGAAAAACCCCATCTCTACTAAAAATACAAAATTAGCTGGGTGTGGTGGCACATGCCTGTAATCCCAGCTACTTGGGAGGCTGAGGCAGGAGAATCGCTTTAACCCAGGAGGTGGAGGTTGCAGTGAACCGAGATGGTGCCATTGCACTGCAGCCTGGGCAACAAGAGTGAAACTCCATCTCAAAAAAAAAAAAGAACACGAGCTGGGAGGAAATGCATGATAACCCGGTACATTAGTTTTGTGAAGGTTTGCATTTAGGGACTTTTGATAGATAACATTTCATGGTCATGAGAACCCTGAGTTAAGACAGACCTTGATGAAAAGGTATTAATAGAATGAAGTGAAAACAGATGAAGCTGAAAATGATCAGGTCAAACTTATGTGTCCATTTACTTAATTTTTTCTCTCTCACTTTTTTTTTTTTTTTTTTTTTTGAGACAAAGTTTCACTCTTGTTGCCCAGGCTGGAGTGCAGTAGCATGACCTCAGCTCACTGCAACCTCCGCCTCCCAAGTTCAAGTGATTCTCCTACCTCAGCCTCCTGAGTAGCTGGGATTACAGGCGTGCACCACCACACCCAGCTAATTTTTGTATTTTTAGTAGAAACGGGGTTTCACTATATTGGCCAAGCTGGTCTCAAACTCCTGACCTCATGATCCACCCACCTCAGCCTCCCAAAGTGCTGGGATTACAGGCATGAACCACCATGCCCGGCCTTACATTGCTCTTTATCTTCTAGTCTCCTAAAATAGAAGCTTATTGATTTTAGATTTTTCTTTTTTCTAATAAATGCTTTTAATGTTATACATCATCCTCTAAACAGTGTTTTTGCTGTATCCCACAAATTTGGATACGTTTTATTTTTATTTTATTTTTTTGAGACAGAGTCTCACTCAGTTGCCCAGGCTGGAGTGCAGTGGGGCAATCTTGGCTCACTACAACCTCTGCCTCCTGAGTTCAAGTGATTCTGATGCCTCAGCCTAACATGTAGCTGAGACTATAGACACACACCATTACACTCTGCTAATTTGGATATCTTTATTAGAGATGGGGTTTCACCGTGTTGGCCAGGCTTGTCTCAAACTCCTGACCTCAAATGATCTGCCCACCTCAGCCTCCCAAAGTGCTGGGATTACAAACGTGAGCCACTGTGCCTGGCCTGTAATTTTATTTTCAGTTAGTTTAATATCTTTTAAATTTTTAGCTTGGCAAGTCTTTGGCTAGTGGATTATCTAGAAGTATGCTGTTTAATTTCCATATATTTAGGAACTTCCTAGCTAACAGTCTGTTACTGATTTCTGGGTTAGTTTCATTGTGGTCTGAGAACACACTTTGTATGATTTCTATCTTTTTAAGTTTGTTCAGGTGTGATTGATGGCATAGCATTTGGTCTATCTTAATGAATATTTCCTGGGTCCTTGAGAGAATGAATATGCTGTAGTTGTTTGATGGACTACTGTATGAATGTTAATTTGATTCATTTGATAGATATTGCTATTCGGGTCAAATATCTCTTATTGATTCTCTGCCTGCTTGATCTATCAATGACTGACAGGAAGATGCTGAGGTCTCTAATTATAAAAGTGAAATTCTCTATTTCTTCTGCTAGTGTTTTTAATTTTTGCTTTATGTATGCTTTATGCTTTTTTTTTTTTTTGAGATGGAGTCTCACTCTACCTCCCAGGCTGGGGTGCAATGGCGTGATCTCGGCTCACTGCAACCTCCGCTTCCCGGGTTCAAGCAAGTCTCCTGCCTCAGCCTCCTGAGTAGCTGAGATTACAGGTGCACACCACCATGCTGGGCTAATTTTTGTATTTTTAGTGGAGACAAGTTTTCACCATGTTGGTCAGGCTGGTCTCAAACTCCTGACTTTGTCATCTACCTGCCTTGGCCTCCCAAAGTGCTGGGATTACAGGTGTGAGCCACTGTGCCCGGCCTGCTTTATGCATTTTTATCCTCTGTTGCTAGGTCCATTAAAATTAAGATTGTTATATCTTTTTGGGGAATTGACATCTTTATCATTACCCCTCTTTATTCCTGAAAATTGTCCAGATTGCTTTCTCCAAAATAAATTTGAATACTCTAGCTTTCTTTTGATGAGGATTAGTGTGGCAGGGTTTTTATACTTAAAGTGAGTATCTTGTAGACAACATATATTTGAGTCTTACTTCTTTCTCCATTAATGAGTAGTCTCTGTCTTTTAATTTGTGTATTTAGACCATGAATATTTAGAGTGATTGTCTATAAAGTTAGGTTAACACCTACCATGTTTATAACTCTTTTCTATTTGTTGCATTTGTTCTCTCCTTTTCTCTTTCTGCTTTTGATGATGTTAACAGAACATTTTATAAAATTGCATTGTTTTCTTAGTATATCAATTGCACTTCTTTATAAAAACATTTTTCGGGCCAGGTGCTGTGGCTCATGCCTGTAATACTATTTGGGAGCCCGAGGCAGGTGGATCACTTGAGGTCTGGAGTTTCAGACCAGCCTGGCCAACATGGCGAAAACCTATCTTTATAAAAAATACCAGAATTGGCTGAGTGTGGTGGCATGTGCTTGTCATCCCATCTGCTCAGGAGGCTGAGATATGAGAATTGCTTGAACCCAGGAGGCAGAGTTTGCAAGGGCTGAGATTATACCACTGCACTCCAGCCTGGGTGACAGAGTAAGACTATCAAAACAAAACAGAACACTTTTTTGGCTACCCTAGAGGATACAATATTCATTTTGAACTAACTGAAGTCCATCTTCAAATAATGGTCTGCCATTTCATGTGCAGTACAGGCATGGTACCTTATAACCAAAAAGTCTCAATTCCTCCTTCTGTACTTTGTGACATTGATGTTAACAATTTCATTTTTCTATATGCTATCATCAACTAATGCACTGTTACCATTATTGTTTAATACCATTATCTTTTAAATCAATTAAGGAATAAAAAGAATTAAACATTTTATTTTACTTTCATTTATTACTTGTTTGATGCTTTTCTTTTTTTATGTGCTTACAAATTCCTGCCTCATCATTTTTCTTGTGCCTGAATAACTTATCTCTATAAGAACATTTTAAGGAAAAATTTTTTTAAGAAAGATTTTACTGAATATATGTAATCCTACATTGGTGGTTATTTTCTTTCAACACTTTAAATATTTCACCCTATTTTTGCTTGCTTTTCCTGAGAAGTCCACTGTAATTGTTATATGTGCTCCTCTGTAGGTAAGGTGTTTTTCTTGCTATGGCTTCTTTCAACATTTTCTTTCTGTCTTTTTTTTTTTTTTTTTTTTTTTTTTGCACTTGGAATATCTTATGCCTAAATGTGTCTTTTCTGGGGGGTGTCTACAATAGAGGTATGATGTAGGGGATAAGGTTATTGTTCTTCTTGATGTTCTCTGGGCTTCCACACCTGTGATTCCGTATCTATTATATAATTTAGAAAGTTCTCAGTCATTATTACTTCAAGTATTTACTGTGCTCTCTTCTGTCTTTATTCTTCTTCCAGTATGTCCATTAATCATGCATAACACATTTAGAAAATTTCCATAATATTTGATTCTCTATTCTCTTATTCTCATTTTTTTTCTCATTGGATTTTTGTTTAGAAATTTTCTATTGATCTCTTTACAAGAACACAGATTATTTCCTTGTCTCTGTAGAGTTCACTAATGAGTCCATCAAAGGCATTTTTAAATTTTTTGTTTGATTTATAGCATTTTTTTATTCTTTCTTAGAGTTTACATCTCCTTTCTTTCATTACGTATCTGTCCTTTCGTTTTTTTCTGAGATGGAGTCTTGCTCTGTTACTCAGGCTGGAGTGCAGTGGCATGATCTCAGCTCACTGCAACCTCCGCCTCCCAGGTTCAAGCGATTCTCCTGCCTCAGCTTCCTGAGTAGCTGGGACTACAGGTGTACACCACCACGCCCAGCTAATTTTTGTATTTTTAGCAGAGGTAGGGTTTTGCTATATTGGCCAGGCTGGTCTCAAACTCCTGACCTCAAGTGATCCGCCCATCTCGACCTCCCAAAGTGCTGGGATTACATGCATGGGCCACCATGCCTGGCCTACCTATCTGTTCTTATATGTTGTTTACTTTTCTATTATTGTGCTTAAGATATTTTATCACTATATTTTAAAATTCCTGTTGAATAATTCAACATCTGTGTCATACACAAGTCTGGTTCTGATGATTGATTTGTCTTTTTGGAGTGTATTTTTTTTCTTGATTTTTGGCATGCTTCGTAAATGTTTGGTTAAAATCTGGATATTTTGGATTGAGTAATAAAAACTGACATGAATAGATTTTTAGTGTAAGGTGTCATGTTAGTGTGGCTAAAACTTGGACTGTGCTTACTATTTGCTGTAGCTGTAGGCACCGCAAGCTTCAAATTCTTCTTATGTCTTTGTTTTTGTCTCCTCTTTCGACCTTGGGCTACCTTAAAAAAATATTCTTCTGGCTCGGCGCAGTGGCTAACGCCTGTAATCCCAGCACTTTGGGAGGCAGAAGCAGGTGGATCATGAGGTCAGGAGATCGAGACCATCCTGGCTAACATGGTGAAACCCCGTCTCTACTAAAAATACAAAAAAATTAGCCCGGCATGGTGGCAGGCACCTGTAGTCCCAGCTACTCAGGAGGCTGAGGCAGGAGAATGGCGTCAACCCAGGAGACGTAGCTTGCAGTGAGCCGAGACCACGCCACTGTCCTCCAGCTTGGGTGACAGAGCAAGACTCCATCTCAAAAAAAAAAAACTTCCTCAGAAAGGGTCTGCGTATTACAGTTTCTTTCCATTATAATCTACTCTATAAGTGGATATCCTGGAGTGCTATAAGGTGTGAGGAGGGGGAGTATGAAATAATGCCATAATAATAAATAAATTATAATAATTATAATAGTATTTCTGGGGGCTAGTGTTTTTGGGCTGTGACCTTCGTAAGAGTTTCTCCAAAGGTGTAGCTTCTTTCTCCCCCTTTCCTGCTTATTACTCTTCCCTGGATGTAAGATTCCCATTTTCTTCATTTGAAACCTTGATTCTGTTGTCTATGTATATATTTAAATTTTATTTATTTATTTATTGAGATGGAGTTTCGCTCTGTCACCCAGGCTGGAGTGCAGTGGCGCAATCTTGGTTCACTGCAACCTCCGCCTCCCGGGTTCAAGTGATTCTCCTGCCTCAGCCTCCTGAGTAGCTGGGATTACCGATGCACGCCACCATGCTCAGCTAATTTTTGTATTTTTAGTAGAGATGGGGTTTCTCCATGTTGGCCAGGATGGTCTCCTTCTCTTGACCTCGTGATCTGCCTGCCTCAGCCTCCCAAAGTGTTGGGATTACAGGCGTGAACCACCACACCCGGCCCTTAAACTTACTTATTTTTATTTTGAGATAAATGTAGATTCACTATAGTTATAAGAAATAATATAGAGAGATCTCGTTTACCTTTTATCCACTTTGCCCCAGTAATAACAACTTGCACAGCTACCTTACATAATCCTAACCAGCATATGGACATTGACACAATCAAAATATAGTACCTTTTCATTACCTTAAAGGCATCTGTGTTACTCTTTTATAGCAGTATCTACTTCCTTCCCAAATTTAGCCTATCCTTAATCCCCAGACACAACTTCTCTGGTCTTCATTTCTATGTATTTTTTGTTTTAAGAATGTTATAAACATAAATGGAATCATACAGTATGAAACCTTTTGGGATGGATGTTTTTCACTTACAATCCAGGTTGTAACATGTATAAATACTCTGTAACTTTTTACTGCTGAGTAGTGCTTCAGTCCAAATAATGGATGTATCACAGTTTGCTTACACCATCACCCACAGAAGTACATTTGTTTTGTTTCTAGTTTTTGGCTGTTATGTATAATGCTGATGAAGAACATTAGTGTACAGGATATTATGTGAGTGTAAGTCGTTCTTCTCTAGAATAACTGCAATGTATACTTTCTGGTTTCTAAGGTAGTTGCATGTTTAATTAGTCAGTTTGTTTGTTGTGATGTGTTGTGTTTGTTTTTAAAGAAACAGTCAGGGCCAGGCGTGGTGGCTCACACCTGTAATCCCAGCACTTTGGGAGACCAAGTCGGGTAGATCACCTGAGGTCAGAAGTTTGTGACCAGCCTGGCCAACTTGGCGAAATCCTGTCTCTACTAAAAATACAAAAATTTGCTGGGCATTGCGGCATGTGCCTGTAATCCCAGCTACTCGGTGGCTGAGGCAGGAGAATTGCTTGAACCCAGGAGGCGGAGGTTGCAATGAGCTGAGACTGTGCCACTGCACTCCAGCCTGGGCAGCAAGAGCAAGACTCTGTCTCGAAAAAAATAAAGCAAAACAAAACAAAACAAAAACACTCACATTGTTTTCCAGAATGGCTGTACCATTTTCATTTACACCAGCAATGTAAGTGTGATCCAGGTTCTCTGCATCTTTGTCAGCACACAGCACTGTCACCATTTTTTTTTTTAGCTATTCCGTTAAGTGTATAATGGTATTTTATTGTACCTCTAATTTGTATTTCCCTCATGCTTAATGCTTTTTAACATTTTCTCTCATGCTTGTTACTGTATATCTTTTTTTTTTTTTTTTTTTTGAGATGGAAGTTCACTCTGTCTCCCAGGCTGGGCTGCAGTGGCGTGATCTCAGCTCACTGCAACCTCTGTCTCCTGGGTTTACATGATTCTCCAGCCTCAGCCTCTGGAGTAGCTGGGAATACAGGTGTGCACCACCACATCTGGCTAATTTTTCTATTTTTAGTAGAAACCAGATTTCACCATGTCAGCCAGGCTGGTCTCGAACTCCTGGCCTCAGGTGATCCGCTTGCCTTGGCCTCCCAAAGTGCTGGTATTACAGGTGTGAGCCACCATGCCCAGCTTGTCACTGTATGTCTTGCTTAGTGAAAAATTTCTCTATGTCTGTTACTCAGATTCTATTTAGTTATTTTTTTGTCTTTTTTTTTAATGTTGAGTTGTGAGAACTTTTTATATGTTCTAGATACTAGTCCTTCATTGGATTTCTGGTTTTCAAATAATTTCTCACATTCTATAGCTTGTATTCTATATTCTTCGCATAGTCTTTCACTGAGCAAAGTTTTAAATTTTATGAAGTCCCATTTATTCATGTTTTTCATTTATAAAACATATTTTTGGTATCAAGTCTAGGAACTCCTTGCCTAGTCCAAGATCCTAGGAATCTTATCTTCTATACTTATTTTTTTCTAAGCATTTTAACATTTAAATCTGCAATCCCTTTGAATTAATTTTTATATAAGGTTTAAGACTTAGAATAAGTTTTGCTTTTTGCTTCTGGGTGTCCACTATTCTAGCGCCATTTATTGAAAAGGCGATCTTTCCTTTATTGAATTGCTGTTACGCCTTTATTAAAAGTCACTTGGGCATTTTTGCATGTTGGTGTATTTCTGGACTATTCCATTGATCTATGCGCCTCTCCTTCCCACCAACTCCACAGAGTATTGGTTACGATAGATATATAATAAGTCTTGAAATCAGACTTACACCTTATTCTTCTTTTCCAAAATTTTATTTTCATTCTCATTCATATTCACCGTGAGACTTCATCTTTGACAAATGAATTATTAATGAATGTGCTCTTTAGTTTCCAAGTGCTTGGAGAACATTTTCTGCTGTTGATTTCACATTTGATATCCTTCTTGTTGCAGAATACACTCTGTACATTTACAATAATTTTGTTGGGGCTCATTTTTTGGTCCACATCATGGTCTATCTTGGTCTTTGTTGCATGGATACTACTGTTGTCAGTTGGCGTGTTCAATACGTATTGATTAGATCCTATTTATGGATGATGTTGTTGAGTTTTGCTGTATTCTTGCATGCTTACTGATGTTGTCTAGTTGTTTCAGCAATTGTTAGGAGAGAAGTGTTGAAGTCTTCAAGTATAACTGTCAACTTGTTTATTTCTCCTTTCTGTTCCTTTCTATTTTATCAGTTTTCACCTCCTATATTTTATAGCTTTTTGTTCAATGCATACATATTTAAGATTGCTATGCCTTCTTTGTGAATTGACTCTTTCATCGTTATGTAATGTTCTTTTCTGTCTCTGTTAAGTTCTTTAGCTCTAATATACTTTATCTAATGCTCATATAGCTAATTTTCAGCTGGGCACGGTGACTCATGCCTGTAATCCCAGTACTTTGGGAGGCCGAGGCAGGCGAATGACGAGGTCAGGAGATGGAGACCATCCTGGCCAACATGGTGAAACCCCGTCTCTACTAAAAATACAAAAGTTAGCTGGGCATGGTGGCGTGTGCCTGTAATCCCAGCTACTCAGGAGGCTAAGGCAGGAGAATCACTTGAACCAGGGAGTCGGAGGTTCCAGTGAGCTGAGATTGCGCCACTGCACTCCATCCTAGAGACAGAGTGAGACCCTGCCTGAAAAAAACATTATGTATATATATAGAGAGAGAGAGAGAGAGAGAGTGAATTTTATTTCTTTTGATTAATTTTTCATACTATGTATTTTTTCTATTTTTACTTTGCACCTATCTTTATTATCACATTTGAGTTTCTTATAGACAGTATACAGTTAGATCATATTGTTTTTTGTTTTACTGTGAGGAAGTCATATTTTAATTTATTCTGCTAGGTTCTGTCTTTTCTTTGGTGTACTTAGACCATTTACACTTAATGTGATTATTGATATATGAGTGCTTAAGTCTGCCATTTTATTTTTTTGTTTTCTATTTGTGCTTTCTGCTTCTTGCTTCTCTTATTTTATTGATTTTTTTGTTGCCTTTCTGTGAGTTACTTGAACTTTTTTTTTTTTTTTTTTTTTTTTTTTGAGACGGAGTTTCGCTCTGTCGCCCAGGCTGGAGTGCAGTGGTGCAATCTCGGCTCACTGCAAGCTCCACCTCCCGGGTTCACGCCATTCTCCTGCCTCAGCCTCCCCAGTAGCTGGAACTACAGGTGCCCGCCACCACGCCAGGCTAATTTTTTGTATTTTTAGTAGAGACGGGGTTTCACCGTGTTAGCCAGGATGGTCTTGATCTCCTGACCTTGTGTTCTGCCCGCCTCGGCCTCCAAAGGCTGGGATTACAGGCGTGAGCCACCGCCCCCGGCCACTTGAGCATTTTAAAGAATTCCATTGTGATTTATCTCTAGTGATTTTACATGTATCTTTTTATATAGGTTTTTTTGTAGGTGCGCTAGGTGTAAGATTTTATATTATATATACCACATATAATCTAATATTACATTAATTATATAATTTATAATAATTTATGTATAAAACACTTTATTGGTGTTGTCATTTTAAGTGAAGTGTAGAAATCTTATCTCTATTTCTCTTCCTTTCCTCTCCTATATTTATAATTGTCTTAAATATTTGCTGTACAAACATTTACCGAACTATCATACAGTGTTATAATTTTCACTTGCACCATCATACCTAATTTTGAAAACTCAGGAAGGGTCTATTTGTCAGGAGCTCAGCTGAGTTGGAGACAGCTAAGCTGTCAGGTGTCAGAGTAGCCAAGTAAAGTGATGAAGCGGGAGAGTTCGCTGATTCCCCTGGCAGGACGCAGGATGTGCGGCAGGGGTGTGGCTTGCCTGTTCAGTGGTGCCGCCTGCTCAAACCCCTTGGCAGGAGGGAGAGGATGCAGACAGTCAGGCGCAGAGGCTGGGGCAAGCGCTTTGGGCTCTGGCTCCTCGGTAGGTAGTGTCTGAGGAGGGTGCCTGCAACCCCCCCCCCGTTATAAAGCTCTTTCAGCTCTGCCGCCTGCAGAGGCTTGAGTGTTAGTCAGCTCAATGAATCCTCTGCCTTTTGGCAAGGGCAGAGGGCCAGTGTGACAGCTTTCTCTATTCCGAGGTCTTGCCCAGCATCACGGAAAACTTGGGTCACACACGGGCTTGAAGGATGAATGCGAAGTTTTATTGAGTGGTGGAGGTGGCTTTCAGCCGGATGGATCGGGGGCCGCAATGGGGAGATGGAGAGGGAAGGCGATCTTCCTCCGGAGCCGGAGCTGGGCCACTCAGCTGCTGGACTCCTCTCCAACGGCCCCCGCTAAACTCCTCTGGGTGTTAGATGTTCCTCCTCTTCTCTCTTTCTCTGCCGCATCCCTTCTCCAACCATCGCTGATCTGGTGGCTTACTGGTCGGCTTCTGGAGCCTGGGGTTCAGGGTATATATGCATGGGTGCAGGATAGGGGGTGTGGCAGGACAAAAGGCAACTTTTGGGTTGTGAAAACAGGAATGCTTGTTCTCATGTAGGGCCGAGGGTATCCAGGCTTGAGGGTGGGGCCTTTGCCTGGGAACTGCTCCTTTCTACTCAGTTTTCCCTGTCTCCTGTCCGTATCAGTGACAAACCAGAAATGAAAGCCACTGAGCAGTGGTTTTAATCCCTTACTCTTATGGTATCACCAAGAGTCTGAAACAGAGTGCTGGGTCTGCCCTACTCTACCTTCCCCTATGGATTGGTGCAATGGCTGAGGGCCAGGTGGATCAGCATGATGTGGAGATTGCCTCAAGTAAAAGGCTAGTGCAATATTACAGACCCTGCGACTGGGGACCACCAGGAGGATGGAGAAAGGGAAGGGCACGGGTGGAAAGTACTGAGTATTGAGTCAGAGTAGGAAAAAGTGGCTTGAAGCTTTCCCCCTTTCTCTCGGATAAATTCTCAGCAGAGGCCAGTGAAGAAGACTTCTGCTCAAGGCCTCAGATAGAGAGTTCCAGGAATGGACAGGTCTGGGCTAGGAATATGCCCAAGAGCATGCCTGGCCCAGAGGCCCCTGAGTCCCTGACATCAACTCCCATTAGAACTGCATTGCACTGGCGGGGCGCAGTGGCTCCCACCTGTAATCCCAGTACTTTGGGAGGCTGAGGCAGGAGATCATGAGGTCAGGAGATTGAGACCATCCTGGATAACACAGTGAAACCCTGTCTCTACTAAAAATACAAAAAATTAGCTGGGCGTGGTGGCACGCAACTGTAGTCCCAGCTACTCGGGAGGCTGAGGCAGGAGAATCACTTGAACCCGGGAGGCAGAGGTTGTAGTCAGCTGAGATTGCACCGCTGCACTCCAGCTGGGTGACAGAGCGAGATTCTGTCTCAAAAAATAATAATAATAATAATAACTGCAATGCACTGGCTGTGCACCAAGCCTGGTGTGGGGAGGGTAGCTCTCCTGTGTGAAGCCTGCCAGGTAAAGGCATCGGACTTGCCTGTGGACAGTCTTGGAAGATCACATGCAGGTTAACCAGGAGCTAGAATCCCAGTGTGAACCCATATTTCTGCCTGCTGTATTCTTCCTTTCTGATGCTCCAAGGTTCTTTATTTTATTGTTTCCTTTGTGTGTTTGAGAACATCCTTAGCCATTCTTTTAGGATAGGTCTTCTCGTGACAAATGATCTGAGATTGTCTTCATCTGAGAATATCTTTATTTCCCCTTCATTCTTGAAGATTATTTTTATTAAGTACTGAAATCCAGATGACAGGCCTTTTTTTCAGCAATTAGAAAATACTGTGCTACTTTCTTCCATCTTCCATGGTTTCTGATGAGGAATCAGCTATCATTCAAACTGCTTTTGCTTGATAGGTAAGGTAGTGTTTATCTCTTGCTGTTTTCAAGAATTTTTGTCTTTAATGTTTAGAAGTTTATCTATGATTTGTCTGGGTATGGTTTCTTTAGATTTACGCTTTTTTTTTTTTTTTTTAGACAGAGTTTCGCTCTTGTTGCCTAGGCTGGAGTACTGTGGCACCATCTCGGCTCACTGCAGCCTCCGTCTTCCGGGTTCAAGCAATTCTCCTGCCTCAGCCTCCCAAGTAGCTGGGATTATAGGCATGTGCCACCATGCCTGGCTGAATTTTGTATTTTTAGTAGAGACGTAGTTTAATCATGTTAGCCAGGCCGGTCTCGAACTCCTGACCTCAGGTGATCCACCCACCTCGGCCTCCCAAAGTGCTGGGATTACAGGCGTGAGCCACCACGGCTGGCCATCCTCTTTTGAATCCCCTCAACTTCTCCAATCTGTACATTTATGCCTCTTGCCAAATATGAGAAGTTTTCAGCCATTATTCCATAAATTATTGTCTTCAGCCTGGCCCTCTTTCTCCTGTCTCAGTTGGAATTTCAATAATGTGAATGTTAGATCTTTCTTATATACCACAGATCCCTGAGACTTTGTTCTTTTTTTAAATTTCTATATTCTTTCAGTCGTTCACATTTGATAATTATATTTTCCCTCTTCCAGTTCACTTACTCTTTCCTCTATTTCTTCATTCTGGCACTAACCCCATTCACTGTGCCTTTAAATTAACTGTATATCTTTTAATTCTAAAATTCCCATTTGGTTCTTCTTTATGTCTTCTGTTTCTTTGCTGAAGCTTTCTACTTTTTGTTTCTTTAAAGATTGTTTGTGATGGTTAGTTGAAGTATTTTTATTAGGACTGCTTTAAAATCTTTCTCAGATAGTTGTATCATGTCTGTTATCTTGATATGGGCATGGGCCAATTGTCTTTTTAATTCAGTTTGATATCCTCCTGATTCTTGGTATGATGGGTGATTTAATATTGAAGCTTGGACATTTTGTATTATGTCATAAGACTCTGTATCTGTTTAAATCTGCCGTTTTATCTGGCTTTTTCTGATACCAGTCTGGCAGGAGGAGAGGGAGGCACCACCTTATTACTTCCAGATAAGGCAGAGTTCAGGTTTACCACTCAGACCCCATGACACCAGATGAGAGGCTGTGTAAGGGTGGATGGTCCTGCTCCTCTGTGTCCCCCACTGTCATCATGGAGTGAGTGGCCTTGTTACCACTGGGCAATGATGACTGTGCTAACTCTCTAATAAGATGCCTCTGTCACCAACCCACCAGGGAGGGTGAGGATTGTCTTGTTACAGATGGATGGGGGTAGAATTCCAAGTTCTCATGTAGTCTCCACCAACTCTTTGAGAACGCTTGTTTCCAGCAGGTGAGGATAAATATCATGGCTCGCTACTTGCCTTCTCTGACAACCCTGCAGGGATTTAAGGCACCTCATCACAACTGGTGAGGGTGGCAGTCTAGGCTCCTCTCATGGCCTTTGATGGTATGGTTGGAGTTGGGGTCACGTGTTTGTTTGTTTGTTTTTTCTGTTGTATTTGTCTAGAATATAAAATATTTTCCCAGAGTTTCTTTTCCTGCTACACCGCCCCTTTTGTGGTCCTCTGGCTAGGAGAGCAGCCTTTTGTTGGGGGTTGTATTGTCTCTGCCCTTGGCATTTCCAAACTGCTGCCTTCTTTAGCTCCAAGTCATGGTTATATGAGGCAGAAAGCAAACCTGGAAACTCACCACCATATGTCATTCTTTGTGTCCCAAGTTGCCCAGCTCAGTTACCTTCTTCTCCCCACCTTCCAGAGTCTCCTTGTGTTTGTTGAATATGTAATTTTCAGGGTTGTTAGCGGGAAGAATAGCGAATAGCAGGTCTACTGCAATTTGCAGAATCAGAAGTCATATTTTGTTAGTTTATTGTTTTCTTGTTTTTCTCTTAGGGGAGACTGGAAGGCTGGAGGGGGCTGAAGTAGAAAGAATTCCAGTTCTTCAACTGGAATAACACTCTGACAAAGCTCTTTCCCCTGGAGGGTAAGCCTTTGTTATGGAAAAATCCCTGGTGCATTTCATAAGATTTCCTTTTTCCTTCTCCATGCCAGAGCTGAGAGAGCATCTTTCCTGGCTCCTTCTCCTGAGAACCTGATTGAGTACCTGGAGGTAAAGCCTGGGAAATCCTGGGGATCCAGTTAAAGCTCCAGGTCCAGAAGATTTTTGCTCTCACACTAGTCCACACAGTCTCCAACAATTTTTAAAAATGACCATTTATGTGTTTCTACCAATTTAAGTCTCCACTGGCTTCTCTCCAGATAAGCAGATCTCAGCTGCCTGTGGCATTTGGGATGCTCTTGTCTCTAAATTTCAGAGTGGTAGTTTGTGCTGCAGCTTCAGTCCTCTAATGGGTCCTAGAAAAGTGGTTGATACTCATTTTGTTCACCTTTTTCTGTTTTACAATCAATTTTTGAGTGTAGATGTATAAAATATATTTTGGTGCTTCTTGGTAGAGATTTTAAAATGGCAGTGATGAATGTAACATGGAAATAGAAAACCAAAACACAGACACAGTCAAATATAAGGCAAATATCTTCACAGAAAAGAAATGTATCCAAAGCACAAAAAATTGGAGAAAGGGCTAACATTTATGTCTTCCTGAGGTCTGGGTCCTGAATCAGGTAGCAGCAGCACAACTTTTTTTTCTTTTTTTTTTAAGTTCTGGGATACACGTGCTGAACGTGCAGGTTTGTTACATAGGTATACATGTGCCATGGTGGTTTGCTGCATCTATCAACCCGTCATCTAGGTTTTAAGGAGTACAACTTTTAAAGTCTGTTTTCCCAAAGATTGTTGCTTAGTATGTATTAATGCTTCATTGAACTACATTCTACATTTATCTAGGTGCCTATGTGTAAGCATTTCTCTAGAGAATACAGCTAACAAAGGAATTGCTGAGTTACGGGACAATGTACCTTTTGAACTTTTCTGGCTGTTGTCAAATTGGTTTCCAAGTTTTAACAATCTATACTCCACAAGCAGAGTTATGAGAATTTCTGTATCTCCATGTCTTCCCAAAACAGGTGTTGTCAGACACTCCCCACCTCATGTAATGGAAGTATTGTGGTATTTCCTCATTCTCATTTGCATATCCTTGATCACAGAGATTGAATCGTTTTTTAAAATAGGGATTTTGGATTTTGTCTTTTGTGAACTTGCCTGTTTATACCTGTTGCCCATTTTTAAAAATGGGTTTCTTTCATGCTTATGGCTTTAGGAATTCCCCACACCTTCTTCATCCTGGCTACAATCTGAGTTCCCTCCTGAGCACTTTACTGACACTGTGCCAAGGTCATGTGTGTAATTCCAAATCCCACACACACTCTGGGTTCTCATCCCACTCAGTACATCCGCATTATTCATGAAGTTGACTACCCCCTTCTTTTTGTCAGTTTTTCTCTCTTGAAATTTGTGGCTTCTTACTTTCTTTTTTCTATTCCCTTTCCTTTTGATTCCCCTAGAGATTATGATTTTTTTAAACCTATGAATTATCAATGCCAAGAACATTGTGCAGCATGTATGGAATAATTAACCAATACATTTAAGTGCATAGTTTCCAGTGAATCATTTGCAATAGAATCAAGATACACATTGCAGCTCTTGTCCTGGGTCTCTCCTCAGCTCAAAGGGGCATCCGTGCAAGTGTCTAGGGTTCCATCCAGGTTTGACATCCTATTAATTACCACGAAGCTTTGTTCTTCCCTTTCCCCTAAATGTATTAATCAGGTGTTGCAATCAGTGGACTTTTTAAATGAACTTTGATTCTGAAACTTGGTAATGTTTATTCTAACAAGCTTGGGTATAGCCACCAGCAATTCTGTTAAATTATGAAGTGAGTATGTGATGTACTAAAATAGTATCTAGAAGAGATCATCACACTCTCTTACCCTGGTAACTAAGATAGAATTCAAGGCCAGCTATCCACAGGAAAATAGTGATTATTTTACCTACTGAGGTCTCTCAAATTCCTGAACTAAAATGGTTCACTTTTTCTTTATTAATTTTCTTTTATTCTCCTTCCTCCTCCTCTTCCCTCTTCTCTTATTCTTCTTCTTTGATGTGCAAAATTCTGAAAATAAAACAAAAACATTTAAGACTTCTTCCAAGTTTAAAATATTTTAAAGGAGATAGCTCTTTTTATTCCGAAATATCAAAATATTAGAAAATATGTGAAAATGTTTTCCATATTTTATTAATTACAATTTACTGATATCAGAGATTTTAAAATTACTTTAATAGCAGAAGAACTGAAAATTTCTGATTGGTCTTTCATAACTACAAATTATCAAAAGGTACTAAGTTTTTTGTTTTCTAAAAGTTAAATGTGACAAAATCTGATTTAAGAGGAACTAAATAAATGTACATGTCTATTATGATGAAAATAAAAATCAATACTTTATAGAATTTAGTGTATAACTTGATTTGTAATGATTTTAATTACTTCTATATTTTAACCAAGAAGTCAAAGGTATGGTATATAAATAGAATTAGGACACCCTTTCTTTTCTGTCTTCTTCTCATCTCTCCTCCCACAGGCCACTCAATGGAATAGTAAATGGTGAAATTACTTCTCTTGCATCTTGAAAATTATTATGTATTGGGGATTAAAATAAATTATTTGGATGGACTTCTCTATTATATTTTGAAAAAAGGGAACTCTGACAATAAAACATTGATTTCCTTTTAATTTCATTTAAAAAACTGCAAAGTATGATGATGAAACACATGGAAAAGGGCAGCTATGTATTATATACATATATTTTGTATATAAATATAATATATAAATGTGTGTCCATCCATTCCCATTTTATATATATTATAGATAATATATTTTATATTATATATTATAGATAATATATTTTATATTATATATTATAGATAATATATTTTATATAATATATTATATATATTATATATATTATATATATGGATTTATATATATAATATATATTTATATTATATATATAATATATACATATAATGGGAATCAATGGACACACATTTATATATTATATTTATATACAAAATATATATGGCCGGTGCGGTAGCTCACGCTTGTAATCCCAGCACTTTGGGAGGCCGAGTGGGGTGGATCACCTGAGGTCAGGAGTTCAAGACCAGCCTGGCCGACATGGTGAAACCCTATCTCTACTAAAAATACAAAAAATTAGCCAAGTGTAGTGGCAGACGCCTGTAATCCCAGCTACTCAGGAGGCTGAGGCAGGAGAATCACTAGAACCTGGGAGGCAGAGGTTGCAGTGAGCCGAGATGGGGCCGTTGCACTCCAGCCTGGTCAACAAGGCAAGGCTCCATCTCAAAAAACAAAAAACAAAAAACAAAAAAACTGAAAAGTATGATGATGAAACAGTATGGAAAGGGGCAGCTATAATATATATATATGTATATATGTATATATATATGTATATATATATAATGGGAATGGATGGACACACATATTTACATACAAAATATATAAATATATATATAATATATACATAACATATAGCATATGTATTAGAAGTGGTGCTAAGAGTGGGGAAATAAAAAGCAAGTCCACATTTTACATTTTTTTTTTTAAATAACAAGTGAAATGAGGAAGTGGAATGAAGAGGCAGTGGAGGTCACCCTGATGGCAGGGGCGAGCTGGCTTTCCTCTTGGCCCACATGTCTGTGATGCTCCTAGGATGGTCTTCCTTCCTAAACAAGCTACATGGAAATTTCTCCTTTCTACTTACCCCTCGCCAAATGCTACTGCAACACAACCAGAGCCGTATAAACTACACGCATCAGGGCAAATGAAGAGAAAAGCCTGGATTTTAGTTTCTGAAGAGGCCAGCACCTCAGAAACATTGGCTCCTTTTAAGAAACAAGGTCTTTAGTGACTTCCTCTAGGCAAGCAGGAGGAGCAAGAGAAGAGCCGCCATCCTGGCCGGTAGGGGTGGAAGTGGGTAAAGGTGAACTCTTCATGGTTCTGTGAAAATCTCTGTCTCACTAATACTGTTTCATGTGCAGTAATGACGTAAGTGTCACTCTTTTTGAAAAGCTTTAGTTTTTGCATCTTTATCAGGGACCGCCCACGCTGAAAAGGAAGAATAATATGAGAAATTCACTTAGTGTTCAACCAATGTAGTGAAACTCACACATTCAAATGAACTTTTCCCCTTTATTGTTTATTTTATTTTATTTTTTTGTTGTTGTTGAGACGGAGTCTCGCTCTGTCGCCCAGGCTGGAGTGCAGTGGCTCCATCTCAGCTCACTGCAACCTCCACCTCCCAGGTTCAAGCGAGTCTCCTGCCATAGGCTCCCGCGTAGCTGGGATTACAGGAGCCTGCCACCATGCCTGCCTAATATTTGCATTTTTAGTAGAGACGGGGTTTCGCCATTTTGGCCAGACTGGTCTCAAATCCTGACCTCGTGATCCACCCGCCTCGGCCTCCCAAAGTGCTGGGATTACAGGCATGAGCCACTGCACCCGGCCTCCCCTTTAAATTAACTACCTAGAGAGGTTCTAAAAATTACGGTTGACTCTGGAACAACCTGAGGCTTAGAAGTGCTGACTCCTAGGCAGTGGAATACTCAGGTATAATTTTGACTTTCCCCAGACTTAACTGCTGATAGCCTGTGGTTAACAAAAAGCCTCACCCATAACACGAATCACCGATTAACCACATTTGTATGTTATATGTATTCTATATTCTTACAATCAGTAAGCTAGAGGAAAGAAAATGTTATTAAGAAAATCATAAGGAAGAAAATAGGTTTACTATTCATGAAGTGGAAGTACACTATGATAAAGAGCTTCATCCTCACCTCCACATTGAGTAGGCTGAGGAGGAGGAAGAGAAGGAGTTGGTCTTGCTGTCTCAGGGGTGTCAGAGGCAGAAGGAAATCTATTTATAAGTGAACTGGTGCAGTACTGACCCATATTGTTCAAGGGTCAACGTATAGTAGTGTTGCTATTACTCAAAGTATTTCTCCAAATTCTTTTTTGGTTTTGCTGTCTTTTTCAAGAGGGTAGTCTCACACTTGCAAATTTTGTATTCTTTTGGAAATAATTTTATTTTTATAACAACCAGCCCTAAATTTTAAGGAGCATCTTATATTTTTAAGCTACGTGAATTTTTTTTCTATTTTTAAGTGTTGTACTTACATAATTATGTGGCTTATACGATGGCAACAGAAATAATTACCACTGTGATCAAGATGTATTATTGACATTAGTCAACAGTGGGTAGCTATGCAGAAGTACAATATTTACTTAAATATATATTTTAACATGCTGTCACTTTATTTTAGTATCACAGTTCAAAAGGAAAACAGTTCACCCAAGTGGTATAAGTTGGTATTTTCTGGTGTCATGAAGATCATGAATACAGTGAAGACCCATTACATTTGCAGTTATCTTTGTTATAAATCAAACTTAAAAGCTGATGCAAACTATAAACCATTTCATTTGAATTCTTAGTATTTTCCATTTGTTCTGTGCCTAGGACCAAAAAATATCATTTATGAACTTTGAAAACATCTCCCAGTGAAAACTTGGGGGCTCGATTACTGTAGACCAGTCCTTTTATATATAAAATTGTTGCCGCTGACCCTCTTATAAATATGGTGTGGTCTCTAAGTTGTTTTTCCAGTATGGGTGATGGGTTTATTCCATCGCCTTCAAATGCTCTGTCCTGTCCCTTTATAACCCACAGCACACTTTTGCCAGACTGCTGCCTGGAGTTTAAAGAATATGTATTGTAACTGTGGGTCTATGCACAGCAAATTGAACTATACAGTATCATGACAGTTTGGCCCTACATTTTTATAAAAGCTTTGATGCCTATTTGAAAATGAAGTACACCCTTGTTCTATAAGATCATCTACAGGAGTCTACCCACCTGGAGTATTAATCTGATGACCACATAAGAGAGATGGAGAGGAGAGCTGTATTATCCTTTACATGACATCCAATTTAATCATGTAAATCATGAGCTCATGTATTCATATATATCAAGTAACTATAAATTTTCTTATCATGTTATCTTTTATAAAATGATAAAATTCCCTGAGCATATCCGTCCTTATAATCAGTAGCTTAAAGGAGAAATCTAATAAACATAAGCAATGCATTGACACGATATTAATATCTAATAGGCATCCCATCTATTGTATTTGCCCTCTCATGTATTATTGGGCGTTTTTTCCATTGTATCCTTAGGATAATCTTTGATTATAATTTTAGCTTGAAGTATTTGTTTTTTTCATAAAATTCAAAATTTAATGTAAGATGTCATTTTAGCAAATTTTCAAAATATTGTGGTGACACAAAATTCCACTATGTAAGAAATAATCTTAAAGACTACTGCACCATGAAATGGCAATTGCACAGCTGGGACGACCCCCTTAAGAGAGAAGAAAAGCATATGTCAAATCGCCTTAGCTACAGATCCTTCAGGCAAAATGCATCCCTTTTTTTTCTTTTTTTTGGCACTGTCAAGAACTTAATAAATCAGAGATAAGTGAGTTAAAATGTCAGTGCCACTAGGACTGAGAAAAATCTACCACTTTTCCACAATTCAGTAAAATATTAACCATGGTACCCCAGTTCTTTGTGTATTAATAAGAAAACCATATCTTCCTAATCACTGGAAGACATTGTCAAATTTCCAAGAGACCACAACTATTGTCATAAGAGATTAACCTGGGTGATATAAATGTTCTTGCTAAAAGGTTTTAAGTCTTTGCTTATTTATAGACATAATCCTTTCTCCTCTGTCTCATCAATCACTGTTTTTAAAATACCAACAGTGTGGATGGCAATTTAGATTCCTACTGCTTTTAAAAATTGTTTGCTATTTTAAATCACCTAAATGGGACTTGGTGAATTTCAGTAGAAAATTATTTTCTGAGGACTGTAAGTAAACTCATTAAAACTGGGAAACTTGCTAAACTCAGAAAGATAGGCTAGGGCTAAGGACACTGGCCGGCTCATTGATCACCAGTGACAGCAAATAGTGACCTCATGCCAACAGAATGTAAACTTCCAAACTCATTGATAGCATTCCTGGCTTGGGGTTAGAATTTATGTCTTCTCCTTATAAACTGTTTGACTTAGATGATGAATGGCGGTAAAGGTAAAAGTGCAGCAAAACTGATGAAAATGCAGCTGCATTCAGGTTATTTTAAGTCTGGCTTTCTTTGAAGTTCAGTGTAAGGCCTTGAAATACTATAAAAGAAAAGTTATCAGCATTGCCTTGTCTTTTTTATTTTAGGAAGGAAAATTCATTTTACCAATATAATTTATGCCAAGTCATTTTGTGAAAATAATTTTTAGCTTCCAACTTTGATTTTCTTTTTAATTTGACAAGATACAGATTTTGACTACCCATAGTTTTTTTTTTTTTACTGTTATATATTCAGACTAACTAATTTTTAAAATGTTACTTTATCTACTGTTTACAAAAGAAGCCTAAAGAGATTGTTGGGGAATTCTTTTACCTGTAGTCATTTTTTTTTGTTGTTAGTTTGTTTGTTTGTTTTGGACATAGCAGAAATGTTTCTAAATTGGCTGAATCTTCCAAAATTTTCCCAATAAGTTGTCATTTCAAAAGAATATATTTTACTCCCTCAAAATATTCTCTCTTTTATTTAATTCATGTTTAATTCATCTGACAAATGTTTATTGAGGATGTGTCCGTGGGTTCAGCTACATAATATGTTATAGTAAAGATGGTAAAATAAAACAAGATTCATAAAAATACAAAAGGAGTAAAAATAATAATGCACATATTCACAAAATTATTTCTACTATTTATTGAGCAACTGGTAATAATGTATAGCATTTCATTTACGCTATAAATAACATCTCTGCAAGGCTGAATGTTATAGGACTACAGAGCCTGTATTAGGTCTTCTATTTCCTTATAGATGAGGAAACTGAGGCTAAGAGAGGCCTCTGCAAGGCAGGAGCATAATAAGGGGCATATCCAGGATTCAAACAGAGGCCACAGGAAAATCAGAAAGGAGTAAATACAAGGTTACTCGCTAGAGGGTATGGGAAATCAGAGGGGAAACAGCCCTTATGATTAAAGGGATTGTCAAAGGATCAATGCAAGAGGTGGAATTTAGGTGGCATCAGAGATTGGATGTGCCCAGCCAGATGGAGAGAAGGGACAGCTGGATGTGGTCACACTTGTACCTTATAGTAATCTTTCAGAGATTAAAATACTCTGGAAAGAGTAGAATACTCTCTTTGAATGTTCTGGAAATCCCCTTACTTGGGCACATGCTGGTTCATTGTATCTCACATGTTGACTTCTATTCTTGACAGAGCAGTCATGTTTAATAAAGTAACTTTCTAAGGCCTCCAAATCCTCTCAGCAGAAGGAATCCACCACTTCAGTGGTTTCTTTTTTCTATTTTTGTAATTGACAGAAATTGTCTTCATATATGTTTATCACGTACCACAGAATGTTTTGGTGTAGGCATGCATTGTGTAATGCCTCAACTGAGCTCATTAGCATATGCTTTCCCACACGGGCTTATCATTTGTGTGTGTGTGTGATGAGAACACTTAAACGTGTACTGTCTTTACAATTTTCAAGAATTCAGCACACTGTTATTAACTATACTTCCGCGGTTTCTTTAAATGCTACTGAATAAGCATGAATAAACTCCGCATAACAAAACGTCGCAGAAGAGGGTCACCTAGAACCACTGGAAAACCCAATGTACTTCTGTGGTAATTAAAAAGAGGCCGTTTGCCATGATTACCGCTCCAACCCCTCCCCTGAGCTCTAGACTGGAGATATCTTTGCCTGTTTGGGTGTCAGAGGTATCTCACACTTGCCATGTTCAAAACTAAACTCTTGGTTTCACCCAACAAAACCTCTCATCCCAATCTTCCTCATTCAGTAAATGGCAACTCTGTGTTCATTCAAAACCAAAACCCTGAAGTCACTTCTGACTCTCCTCTTTGTCTTGTATAAAAACTCATTCGCTCTTTCTTCAGAATATGTTCAGAATAGGAGTGAGTATCACTGATCTCTCCAATATTATCTTAATCCAAACATCATCCTCTGGCTCGGGCCCGCTCAGCAGCTTCCTCTCAGACCTGCCTGTCCCCACCCGTAGTTCCTGCAGTCCATTCTCCCTGCAGTAGCTCAGAGGGACCTTCTACAAATAAATACAATGACATCACTCCTCTGCCCCAACCTGCAGTGGCTTTCCATATCACATCAAATAAAATCTAAAGGCCTTTCAGTGTCTCTTTGGGAATTGAATTCTCTGCTCCAGCTCACTCAGTCTCACTCAGACTCGCTGGCTCGCTGGCTCCCTGGCTCTGCCAGGAGCACACGAGGTCCCCGCCCACGTCAGGCCCTTGGCACTTGCCCCTCCTGGGCCTGGAATGTGCACCCCCAAATGTCTGCAGAGCCAGCTTTCTCATCCCATTTAGGTCTCTGTTTAAATGTCCCCTTATCAAAGAGTCTTATCCCGAGTACCCTGTATTAAATAATACTTCTCCAAAGATCCTTCTCCCCAGGCCACCATGTGTGGCAGTGCCTTGTGCCTGACACATGGGTGCCTGGGGAGGAGGTGGGCCAGGCCTGTGACCCACCTTTAAATTCTTAAAAACAATGGTGTTTTTTTTTTTTGGAAATGGATTCTCACTCTGTCGCCTAGGCTGGAGTGCAGTGGCGCGATCTCAGCTCATTGCAACTTTCACCTCCCGGGTTCAAGTGATTCTCCTACTTCAGCCTCCCGAGTAGCTGGGATTCCAGGCGCACGCCACCATGCCTGGCTAATTTTTGTATTTTTAGTAGAGATGGGGTTTCACCCTGCTGACCAGGCTGGTCTCGAACTCCTGACCTCGTGATCCGCCCGCCTCGGCCTCCCAAAGTCCTAGGATTACAGGCGTGAGCCACTGTACCCGGCAAAAGAGTGTCTTTTTAACTTACAGTGGGGTTATGTTCCGAAAAGTTACTATAAGTTGAAAATATCATAGTTGTAAAATGTATTTAATACCCTGATAAATCTATCATAAAAATGAAAAATCATATCATGAGTCAAACCATGGTGAGTCAGTGACCATCTGTTTATATATACATGCACACACATATGTACACACATATAAAATATCATATATACATATGTTTACATAATAATTACACATATGGTTATATATATATAATCTCTCTCCCACCAGAATATAACCTAACTTTCACCAGAATATAAGCTTAGCAAGACAGAAACTTTATTGTGCTGTATTCTGGGTTACCCAGCTTCTAGAACAGTGCCTAGCATTTGGTGAGCAAAAAACAAACAAATATCTGTCGATGAATTAATGGATAAGCCAATAAATAAATTGTATGTGCGTGGGAAAAATATTGTAAGTGTATCTGAGTATAGAAGTTCCAAAAATATTTAAGATATTCAGAAGCTATCATAATATTTTAAACAAAACTCATCACTCAAAGAATGAAGGCACAATTGAGATAGTGGATTAAGTTAGAAAGGGTGTTGTGTGAAGTGTTTGTTGAATACTGGTTGAAAAAGATAGGCTTTAGCTTTTGTAGACCTGCACATTTTTGTTTGTTTGGTTTTTGTTTTTTTTGTTTTTTGTTTTTTGTTTTTTTTGAGACAGAGTCTTGCTCTGTCGCCCAGGCTGGAGTGTAATGGCGCGACCTAGGCTCAGTGCGTCCTCTGCTTCACGGGTTCCAGTGATTCTTCTGCCTCAGCCTCCCGAGTAGCTGGGATTACAGGCACACGCCATCATGCCCCACTAATTTTTGTAGAGACAGGGTTTCACCATGTTGGCCAGGCTGGTCTTGAACTCCTGATCTCAGCTGATTAACCCACCTCGGCCTCCCAAAGTGCTGGGATTACAGGCGTGAGCCACCACGTCCAGACTCTGCACATGTTAATTCGGGGTAATTGCTTTAATTTATGTGTCCCAATGTGGCATATTATAGAATGGTTGATTTGGTTCGAACGCATTTAACCAAAGTCATAAAAAGGGAAAATTATCTTACTTTGTAGGAATTTTAATAAAAAATTTATTTCCTTTATCTCTAGCCTTTACAATCTGCAATGAAGCAAATGACTAACTCATTTTCTTGTTGAAGATCTAGTAGAGCATTTGCATCAGATAATAAGTCTAAAGAGTTATATAGATGATAATTGTTATTATATATTACAAGATAGATGGCTAAATGGAAATTCAGAGGGTTCAAGTGATTTGCCACATTGACATAGGAAGCAGGGACACAGCTTGGACTGGACTCGAATCTCCTGCTGAGCCTACTGCTCTTTTGACAGCAGAGTGTTTTCTCTTTATGGAACAGATGTTACCACTCCCTGTTTGTACAAAATGTTCCACAGCAGCTCCAGAAGCTCAACCACCTACTTCATCTGGTTCCTTCCACCTGTGTCCTTTGGAAAAATAAATTGACATAATACATAATCATTAGGAGAACCACTTGCTTGGCCGCTCTTCCCATCCTATGTCTTTACCATCCTGATGCTATTAGCCAAGAGAGTGCCAAAAAGCTGCTTCTCCTCCCTACGATTTAATTCCTAGCTTTTATTGTTCATTAAATACATCTAAATCAAATCTTTACTGCCTGTTTTATGTTCATGGAGGTACTGAAAACTCTTCTTGCCTGGGTCAGCACAGACGCTCAGAGTTGTTGACTCTACCAATGGTATCATCTTTCAAGCTGAAGCTGAGTAATAGATATTTTGGCTGGGATTTTTCTAGAGCCATCCTAAACTTCTATCATCTGTAGGTCTCTTGCTGTTTTTCTCTCTCACACACACACACGCACAGACACACACACACACTTGCGTGTATGCTCACACACACACGTGCACAGAGCACTCAACACTCGGTAGCACCTGGTGAACAAGGAGATGAAATTAACCCTCATTAGGCTTTATCATAAAAAGAGCATGTTTGGCTGCAATAGGTCTTCCTAATCTGGTTTTCATTCCTCAGAAACCACACATTGGCCTACCATGAATACTCTGCATCAGGCAGCAGGAGGAAGTGTTTTTGTGAGCTGTAATTGAAAGGCTATTTATACCCCACATGCAATTATCAGCTCTCTGTTCCTAGCTCTTAAAGATGCCTAGTTTGAAGAAGCCATTCAATTAGTTGCACATGTGAATGATTTTGCTGCAATATTACCTGCAGCTGCTGAGGATAGCAAAGTTTATCATTCTATTAACCCCACAATTAACCCTCATTACATGGCCTGCTCAGTACAGGTGCACCCCCAGAATATGTTCAGTTTCTGAATGGCCAAACCCATTACACAAGGAGACACTATTGTGGCTGAAGAGTACATGCCTACTACATGTGCTTCTGATTTAGAGAGTGACTGACTGATTGGATTGAGCAGGGTGTCTTTAGCAACAGCACATGAACAGCAGGGGTACACCATTTGCAACCTATGTAATTTCCAGCTTGGCTGCTTGCCACTGCAGAGTACTGACTCTCACAGCCGTGGCCACATAACCACTGTGCCCATAGAATGCCAGGCCAGACCCTCCTCCCACCCCAAATCATCATCACCCTAGGCAGGAAGAACATATGATGTCCTGGATAAGAAAGGTGAGCAATGGAGCCGGTTTTACACAGACCTTTTGCCTCCTTCAAATATTGTCAGGATCCTTCGAAGTCATAAACTGGACCATTTTAGGGGGAACATTTTTCTTGTTTGGAACATTATGCTTTGTAAGGTGTTGGTATTATAATAGCTAAACCCAGTGCCTTCCTTATTCTCTTTGATTTTTGTTGTTGTTGTTTTGTTTTGTTTTTGAGAAACAGGCTTCTGTTGAACCGACCTAATCCATGCTGTTAGAACAAATAACATTTCTTAATTTGATCCTCAGTAAGATTAAGTGTATCCTACAGTTTGGCACTTAAAAACCATTTTATTTCTTAGGAGAAAATTTTCCCTTCAGCTCCACTTTTCTCCTGTGTTGAATTTGTCTCTCTTGCATGTGGAGGGCGTGGCACATTGCTAACTGCACCACATCCATACCTATCGCCCCAGAAGGTCAATAGAGGCTGGCAGGGTGTGACACTGGATCTCTTGACTTGCAGAAAAATGGGTCCAGTGACTCCCAGAGCAGATATTTCCCACTGGGAGGAGTCAGACTTGGTGGCCAGTGAGTCAGATTTTGGCTTACCGGCATTGCTCTTACTTCCACCAACTTTGCCGGCATGGAGTCGTCAGTCAATGCAGAATCCCTTCTTTATTTATCTTAGACCTACTGACCTCAGTGAATGAAAAACAGCTGTTTTCACACTGCTGGCTTCGATGGCCAGTGGAGTTCAATGTCCATGATAACTGCAGAGTGGTGATTTGAGTTATATGATCAAAGTTTATGTTAAGTCATCTTCAGTTAGCAGGACTGTGTCTTAAATTGCTAACTCTGTGCAGTGACAATGTAATGAAAAGCATACTGTGTTGAGAGCCAGAAAATCTGGCTCTGCTGCTCACAGAATCATGGTCTTCAACAAGTCAACTTAACCCTTCCAGACCTCAATTTTCTCTTCTGTTGAATGAAGCAAATAGACTGAATCCATGCATTAGAAAACAAAACAATGTATATATGACAGAAGACAATGGTGAACAAAAGACAAATAGACTGTGTTTCTATAAAGTCCAAAGTCTAAACAAATGAAACAAACACAGGTATGATTAGAGAGGATTATTGATTGTATTACCTTTGGGGTTCTATGAGAAATAATCAGAGTGAGAAAACAGCTCTCTCTGAGGAGGTGATGGTTGAGGACCAATATGAAGAGGACAAAAATCAGGCATGTGTAGAAGGTGGGGGCTGGCAGAAGAGGGTAGATATTGGTGAGCTTGAAAAACCAAAGAGGCCTTTGTTTGGAGCGCAGTGGCATGATCTCAGCTCAATGCAACCTCCGCCTCCCTGTTCAAACGATTCTCCTTCCTCAGTCTCTTGAGTAGCTGGGATTACAGGCACTCACCACCATGACCAGCTAATCTTTGTATTTTTAGTAGAAACGGGGTTTCATCATGTTGGCCAGGTTGGTCTTGAACTCCTTACCTCAGGTGATCTGCCTGCGTTAGCCTCCCAAAGTGCTGGGATTACAGGTCAGGTCAGAGATAATCATGGCATCTGGTAAGTGAGAGAGAAGAGCAATAGGAAAGATTCTAGAGCAAAGACGAGGATGAAATCCTGCAAGGCCTATGGTCCAGATGAAAATGTCTGAAATACAAGCACAGCGGGAAAAGAGTTTGAAGCAGAGAAGTATGATGATCCCAATACATTTTTTTTTTTTTTTGAGACAGAATCTCACTATGTCACCCAGGCTGGAGTGCAGTGGTGCGACCTCGGCTCACTGCAAGCTCCACCTCCCGGGTTCACATGGCTCCTAATACATTTTTAAATATCTCTCTCCATGCAAAGTCAGAGGAGGAATTCAGGGACACAATCCACTGCACTGGGAGAGACAAGGAACAGGGCCAATTAGTATTATGTTGGTGCAAAATAAATTGCAGTTTTTGCCTTTTAAAAGTAATGGCAAACACTACAATTAATTTTGCACCAACCTATGAGATAGAAATCAAGTTTGCAGTAATATATAGACAACAAAGTGATGAAAACTTATGAAGAGACAAACGAATCAGAGGGAAGCAGTCAGAATTGTAGAGTGCCTTATGTTCTTTCAATAGTAAGAATCAAGGGAAGTCAGTGAAATGAGGATGCTGGAATTTAATCCAGTAAAGACCAGTCACCTTGACAATGAGCCCCCACACTTTGATAGTGATGATATAGTAAAAAGGAAGAAAAAACAAAAAAAAACCACCAAAGCTTATGAAGTAAATAATAATTAAGATCAGACCTACGTATGGTCTCTCTAGCTGCCCCTTGGGAAATGTGTGCCTCAAATAAAAGATGGGACCATGATGGGAAGAATTGCTATTTTGAATAGAAATAATGAATTTTGTCTGCCAGCTCAAATGCTTCTGGTGGTGCTGCAGACCTGCTGTGACTGACACTGGTTTACTTACAACCCATATAAATCAATCCAGGCTCTCAAGGCCCTCCACCTTCCACCCCACCTTCACTCCCAAAATATTTTTTAAAGACTTTAAAAACCACTCTACTACAATGTGCAAAGGCATCACCTGAAGATGTGGAAATGTAGATTCCGGGTCAGAACATCTGGAGTGCGGCCTGTAAGTCTTCATTTCTTTTTTTTGTTTTTTATTTTGTGAGTTGGAGTTTCCTTCTTGCCGCCCAGACTGGAGCACAGTGACATGATCTCAGCTCAATGCAACCTCTGCCTCCCTGTTCAAACGATTCTCCTTCCTCAGTCTCCTGAGTAGCTGGGATTACAATCCGCCTTCGTTAGCCTCCCAAAGTGCTGGGATTACAGGTCAGGTCAGAGATAATCATGGCATCTTTGAATAAGACAATGACCACGAAGATGAAGGAAAAAAAAAAAACAGATTGGAAATATTGTGAAGGCCAAATTAGCAGAGTTGGTGCCACATGAACAAAATGAGAGAAAGGCCCCTAAATGTCCAGCTTGAGGAAGTGAGTGAGTGTGTGCTGCTCCAGGAATGGGACAGGTTACATGAACTCTGAGGTCTCTGTTGGCTCTGAAATCTGGAATTCTAGGCCACCATGAGCCTTAAGTGCTCTCTGTGGAGTCAATATTTTCATAGATGGAGTGTTATGCAGCTATGGAAACACCTTACAGCATAGCGATTTATCAGCATGGCTTTGGAGTCAAGCAGACTTGCGTATTTTTCTTAGCTCCAATTAAGTTGATAGTCCCTCTAAGCCTCATACATCTGATCCATAGAACTTGGATAACATAATATCGACACATAGAGTCACTGTGAGAACAAACTGAGAAGATGTAGAGAAACATTTAGCCTGCTGGCCAGCACCTTATCACCATCATCAGCATTAGTATAGAACATTCTGTATTTGAGAGGAGGTCTCACTATGTTGCCCAGGCTGGTCTTGAACCCCTGGGCTCAAGAAATCCTTCAGTTTCAGCCTTCTGTGTGTCTGGGATTGTAGGTGTGAGCCACCACATCCACTTCATTTCTTAATTAGCTTTCTCTAAGAACAAAAAAAAATTTAGTATAAAATTATGTATTTTTAGTAAATTTAAAGTTGAATTAAAATATATGAAGCATGAAGAAATAACTATAAAAGTATTTAATCTTTTTACTTTAAAAATTTTGTTAAATGGATTCTTGTGTTTTTTTAAAAAAAATCTCATGTCGGCTGGGCACGGTGGCTCACGTCTGTAATCCCAGCACTTTGGGAGGCTCAGGTGGGCGGATCACGAGGTCAGAAGATCAAGACCATCCTGGCTAATACAGTGAAACCCCCTCTCTATTTAAAAAAATACAAAAAATTAGCCAGTCGTAGTGGCGGGCGCCTGTAGTCCTAGCTGCTTGGGAGGCTGAGGCAGGAGAATGGCGTGAACCCAGGAGGTGGAGCTTGCAGTGAGCCGAGATCATGCCACTGCACTCCAACCTGGGTGACAGAGCAAGACTCCGTCTAAAAAAAAAAAAAAAACTCAATGTCTCCATTAAATGAATGAATTTGAATTTAGATTACTTATATTTTTCTCTATTATTTACCACCACTTGTTAAAATAAAGTAGCAGCAACAGTGATATGTCCCAGGGTGTAGATTTTCCCCTCTGTGTGTAACGGCAAGGTATTCCCCTCTCAATCCATCACTCAATTCCCCCATCCCATGCCCTGCCTCCCTCTCTCTCTGTCTCTCCCTCTCTTACTAGAAGGCTGTAATTAACTTCTGCACAGTAAATATTTGTGTTCCCAGACCTGTCACAACTTTTGGTTTTAAGGAAGTTTTCAATAAATGCTTCTGAAATGAAAGAATTAATACATGAACCAGGATGAAGCCCCTATTCTGTCCATCGAGGAAAAAAAAATGATTTTCAGTTCTCTAGGTTCATTTTTATATGTGATAAAGACAAAACATTTCCAAAGGACTAAGAAGATGCCTATGGTATGACTAAATGTCTACATTTCATGAATTCCAGTATTTCGAGATTTTCTCAGCTACATGCCTAAATAAACATCACCTTCAATTTCTTGTAAACCTATAAACCTAAAGCATACCAAGCCGACTTTGCTAAATAGAGCTTTGCTTTTTTGGTTGTTTTTTGGAGACGGAGCCCTGCTGCTCTGTCTCCCAGGCTGGAGTGTAGTGGCGAAATTTCGGCTCACTGCAACCTCTACCTCCTGGGTTCAAGCGATTCTCCTGCCTCAGCCTCATGAGTAGCTGCGATTACAAGCACACAGCACCATGCCCGGCTAATTTTTTTGTACTTTTTCGTAGAGACGGGGTTTTGCCATGTTGGCCAGGCTGGTCTTGAACTCCTGACCTCAGGTGATTTTCCTGCCTTGGCCTCCCACAGTGCTGGGATTGCAAGAGTGAGCTACCGCACACGGCCAATAGAGTTTGCTTTTAAGGGATGTCGTATGTGATATTTCCATTGATGTATTTTGGTACAGATTTCTGTTATTAAAGTTCAGATCTATATTTGATGACACCTAAGATCACAACAATCCCATCTTCAGAGGTGCTGTGTGGTCCTGTGAATCACTCCCTGACCATAAAACCCTCTCGGGGCAGCAGTACTGTCAATATAATGTGCCAACTGGACTCATTCAAACCAGGATATGCAGTGAATTGCCAAAAATTAAGCTGAGTTTTTTTGACAGGTCACTGCATTTTTTTCCACTTAAGTTTCTGGTGTTTATTCATGGCAATAGTAGGGGGTCAAATGTTCCTATGGTGCAATACGGTACTTGAGAAAAACCTGGCATGCAAAATGGCCATTCCGCCCAGGTCATTTCTTGTGGGCATGTTTGAGACAAACTGGTCCAATGCATTGGTCACTGGTGTTAACCGGGTTGAAACTCATGTTTGCTGACTGAAAATATTTGTTATACATTTGCTTTTGTTATGTTTCATTTTTCAATCAAATTCAAGTCTGGCAAGTAGTTTTGGGTTGAGGCAGGATTTATCCACCCATCAGCCACCACTATAAATCTGCCAGTGAGAAATTGAGTAGAAACCATATGGAGGCCTTTCAGAGGTTTTCACAACACATGAGGCATTTTATGCTTTTAGAATATTTATTTAACCAAAGGAAGCACATGGAAAATGGGAGGAAATGGACATCAATTTGTGTTTTTACTAACTTCCCCCACAAAACCTTTTGGATTATATAGTTTAAAAATACAGTTTTAAAAATCTTGTAGGGAATTCCAGTTAAATATAGTTTAAAAGAGTGGTTAGGACTCACCCTATTTTTATTTTTAGGTAGAATTCAATAAAATTATCTTGTGGTAACCGTCTTACAGACAAAAATCTATTTGAATTTTACACTTTGGTGTGTCCAGAAAGCGGAAAGAAGTTGGCACTCATTATTTCATTTTGTCAAGTTTTTAATGAGGCTGATTATCGATAGACAAGGATTATTACAGAAACTGCAGCTCATTGAGTTTTAAAGACCTTGTGTTTTGTGATAGTAATGCATTATATAAGACTGCCCAGGTTCGTGGCAAGAGACTATTGTTACAGAAGCCAGAATGTGGTAGAACTTTTGTTTTTTAAGATGGAAAAAATGATCTGAGTTACTCTTTTCATTTCTGGCTTCTCAGAATACCCCTTGGCATGTGCTTTTACTTCTTGGTACTGGAAAGTTGTCACAGCCAGAGAGAGAGTGCCCAGGTCTGCTGAGAGCTGGCTAGCCAGGAGAAACCACTCAAGCCTGCCAGAAGGGAGTTGGATGAGATGAGCCCCAGGGCTCCCTCCAATAGTGACAGCCTATATTTTATCAGTTCCTCCCTTCAAAAAATGCCACTTCTCCCATAGCTGGCCGGGTGTATTCTAATTCACTTTCAAAAATATGAGGAGAGCCATTAAAACTTGAGTAGATCTAGTTTCATTTATTGTATTAATAACTTGGGAAAACTAAGAGACAAGGAAGTTAACTGATTTCTCTAAGTGTGCTCACCTTATATGAGGCCAAGTTAGACTCAAACATCCTAGTGCAGTGACCTTTCCAGCCCATAATAGTGATGTGACAAAGGACAGGGTCAGGCTGGGTCAGTCAGTGGAAAATCCAATCAGTGGACTATGCCACTTAAACCAAAACACTTAAGCCTATAGCCTCTGTCTCTGTCTGTCTCTGTCTGTATATATACAAAGAGAATGTATATATATATATATATAATCTCTATCTCTAATTTCTCTCCATTCTTTCCCCCTCATGGGTAAGAACCAAGACAATTCATCTAGTAAATATTAAAATGTCAGATGGATATAGATCCATTTTTTTCAATGCCCATGAATAGAACCTAAAGAACAAGTCTGCCTTGTATACTATAATATATATTTTAATTACTAAAAGTTAAACAAAATACAAGTTATAGTTGCAGAAAATCCCTATACTATGTTGGAGAAAACAGTAAGCATTGCTTGGGAGCTAAAATGCATTCGAATGCTCTCACTGACATCTCAGTTCTCATCTGTCATCAAATCATGTTGTCTTGACACTCAAAAAATAATCAAGAATATGGCCATCCTTACCACCTCCACTGCTGCCACTCGGGTCCAATCCACCACCATCCTGTGTGGGTCATGTAACTTGCATCCCAGCATTTGCCTCCACCTCCCTGTCTTCTGCTTTCAACACAGCAATACAAATGACTCTGTTCAAAGTTGAGACAGGTCATGCCATCCCTCCATTTAAAATGTATCAGGCCAGGCCGGGCACAGTGGCTCACAACTGTAATCTGAGCACTTTGGGAGGCTGAGGCAGGCAGATCACGAGGTCAGCAGATCGAGACCATCCTGGCCAACATGGTGAAACCCCGTCTCTACTAAAAATACAAAAATTAGCAGGGCACAGTGGTGCACACCTGTAATCCCAGCTATTTGGGAGGCTGAGGCAGAAGAATTGCTTGAACCTGGGAGGCGGAGGTTTCAGTGGGCCAAGATCAGGCCACTGCACTCCAGCCAGGGGATAGAGTGAGACTCCATCTAAAAAAATTAATAAAATAAAATCAATCAGTAAAATGTACCAATGGTGTCCTCTCACATCTTGAGTGAAAGTGCCAATTCTTAGAACAGCCTATGGGATCCTCCAGGGCACCTGATTCTGCATTCCCTCCCCGATTCATGTTGCCAAATTCCCACTTCAGGTGACACCAGGCTGCTTGCTGTCCTGTGAGCATGAGGCAGTCTCCAGCCTCAGAATCACTGCTTCCTCCCTGTTCCTTCAGGTTTTCACTAAGATGACCCCTTCTCGATGCCCCTTTTCTGACTATCTTATCGAAATCTCACATGCCTTTCTTCTGTCTTCTATCCCTATTCCATCTTTTATTATTCCTCCTCAGCTCTTATCACGATCTAAGTAATAAGTTCGTGGTTTTGCCCTGGTCCTGCATGTGTTGGTCAGTGGTCCTTCACTAGCGGACTAAGGTGTCCATCAGCAGAGGGGTTTTCGTCTGTTTTCTTCATTGCTGTATCCTCAATGGATCATAGGTTCTCAGTAAACATTCCCTGAGTTAATGAATGCACCAGTAAACAAGAGTGCAGGCACACTCCTGACCCAAGAAAGAAGGCATCTCCAATCTCTGAGGAAGGTTTTGACCCAGGAAGGCAGGGATTAGTCAAAACAGATTGCTTGCCTGCATCAGAGGTCTTAGGTTATTGAGAAATATGTTTGATACAGCAGAGAAAAGTGTCTCTTGAACATATCCTGGCTTACTGCATAGGGAGCTTTCTAAGTCTTTGAACAGAGGAAAGCCTCCACACTAATGGATAGCTGGGTGGCAGATGGGGAGAAATGCCACCTTCTGGCTTGGATACAGTTGTAACTGGGACTTCAGGAACCCTGGCAGTCAGAGCTACAAACTGAGTCATGCCAGGGCTTGTGGCCTCAGTCCATCCATGTAGAAATATTAAAAACTGGCCTTGGCTAAGCGCGGTGGCTCATGACTGTAATCTCAGCACTTTGGGAGATGAGGTGGGTAGATCACGAGGTCAGGAGTTCAAGACCAGTCTGCCCAACATAGTGAAACTGCGTCTCTACTAAAAATACAAAAAATTAGCTGGGCATGGTGTTGCATACCTGTAATCCCAGCTACTGAGGAGGCTAAGGCAGGAGAATTGCTTGAACTCGGGAGGCAGAGGTTGCAGTGAGCCGAGATCGCGCCATTGCACTCCAGCTTGGGCGACAGAACGAGACACCACCTCAGAAAAAAAAAAAAAAAAAAAAGGCCTCGGGCCTATTCAGTTTCTGAGACAATGAACATAAAGTCTAGGATTGGATTAGGAGCCTCACTTGACTAATGGACACAGACTAGGAGTGGGCCACATGCCTGATCATAGTAACCTGCCTCATGCTCTGGCCAGGACTTGTAGCCCCATACGGATAGAAGAGGTGAGAGTGGCGTCGTTGCCTAGTCCCAATCTCAGAGGAAAGCTCTCAGCTTTCACCATTGAGTATGAGTATGATGTTAGCTGTGGGCTTGTCATATGTGGCCTTTATCATGTTGAGGTGCTCTTCTTCTATACCTAATTTCTTGAGTTTTTATTATGAAAGAATGTTGAATTTTGACAAATGCTTTTTCCGCATCTGTTGAGATAATCATATGCTTTTTGTCATTCATTCTGTTAATGTGGACATATTTCTGTCTTTTTTTTTTTAGTCTAGCTAAAGTTTTCTCGATTTTATCATATCCCCACATCAACTATTACTTGTGTTAACTTTTTCTATTATTTTTATAATCACTGTTTCATTTATTTCTTCTCTAATCTTTATTACATCCTTCCTTCTACTAACTTTGGGTATATTTTGTTCTTGTTTTTCTAGTTTCTTGAGGTGTGACGTTGTCTATTTGAGATCTTTCTTCTTTTTTGCTATTGGTATTTACTGCTACAAAACTTCCTCATAGAAATGCTTTTGTTGCATTTCTGAGTTTCAGTATATTGTGTTTCCATTTTTGTTTGTCTCAAGAAATTTTATAAATTTTCCTTTTAATTTCTTTACAGACCCATTGATTTCTTCAGAACATGTTCTTTAATTTCTATGTATTAGTAAATTTTCCAAAATTTCTACTGTTATTCATTTCTAGTTTTATACTGTTATAGCCAAATATGATACTTGATGTGATTACAGTCTTCTTGGATTTGTTAAGACTTGTTTAGTAGTCTAACATCTGATCTATGCTGGAGAATGTGCCCCATGTGCTTGAGAAGAATGTGTGTCCTGCTGCTGTTGGATAGAATGTTCAGTGTATATCTGTCAGGTCTGTTAGGTCTAAAGTGTAGTTTAATCTCATGTTTCCTTATTGATTGTCTGTCTGGATGATCTTTCCATTTCTGAAAGTGGGAATATTGAACTCCCCTATTATTTTAGTATTGCAGTCTATTTCTTTCTTCAGATTTTTTTATATTTGCTTTCTATATTTAGGTGTCCATCCAGCCTTAAGATCTAATAAAATTAGCCTTGCTAGGTTTTGGAGCTTGGGACCCACTACTCCTTTATTTTTCCAATTTCTCCATTTTGGAACAGGACTCATCTTCCTTTGTTTTTCTGATTACTACTCCCTTTTGAAACAGAAAATTCTATTTTATTTATGTCCTACTATTGTATTTTGGAAGCACACATCTTGTCTGATTTTACCGGTTGATAGCTGCAGAAGAATTGTGCTTCAGGATAAATCAAATCTTGAATCTCACCCATACCTAACTTAGTTGATATTTAGATGAGACTTTGAACTTTTACTTTAGCATTGATGCTGGAATGAATCACTATCATGGGGGCCGTTGAGGTGAAATAAATGTATTTTTTTGCAGGTCTAAGGACATGAATTAGCCAAAGGTAGAATGCTATCAACTGAATTGTCCCCCATCATCAAATTTCATATGTTGAAGCCCTAACTCCTGATGTGAATATATTTGGAGATGGGGTCTTTAGGATGTAACAAAATTTAAATGATATTATGGGGTAGGGCCCTAATCCAATAAGACTGGTGGCCTTATAAGAAGACGAAGAGAAGGAGACGATCTCTCTGTCTCTCTCTCTCTCTCTCTCTCTCCCTGTCTGCATGCACACACCAAGGAAAGGCCCTGTGAGAACCCAGAAATAAGGTGATGTGCAAACCAAGAAGAGAGCCTTCCCTAGAAACTGACCACACTGGTACCCTGATCTCATACTTTCAGCCTCCAGAACAGTGAGAAAATAAATTTCTGTTGTTTAAGCCACTAGTCTGTGGTATTTTTTTATGGAAGCCCAAGTTGACTGATACAAACCTGAAGGGAGAGAGGCATGTTGAGGATTGTGGACCCAAGGGTTTATAATGGAGAAGGGCCAGCAGAAGAGCAGGGTAGGAGCAAACAAGAAATGGTCTGGAAAGTCTCTTCAGGCAGCTCTGAGCTTTCTGTGATTCTTCTCTGTGGACCAGGGTTGCGGGAATGTAGGCAGGCTGGCTTAAAGTGCCAACGGGCAACCAAACAGTAGTCTGCAATGGTGTGATTCCCATGCTAGTCACAGTCCTTTGTTGTCACCGTTGTCACTTAGTTCTTATCTCAGAATTTCTTGCTTAGCACTTTCTCCTGCTAAAGTGGCTACATACAAAATTCCATCATATCTTTTTGTTTATTGTTTGAATTTTTCTTTAAAAAAATCTTATTTCCATAGATTTTTGGAGAACAGGTGGCATTTGGTTACTTGAGTAAGTTCTTTAGTGGTGATTTGTGAGATTTTGGTGCACCCATCACCCAAGAAGTATACACTGAACCCAATTTGTAGTCTTTTATCCGTCACCCCCTCCCAAGTTTTCCCCCGAGTCCCCAAATTCCCCTGTATCATTCTTATGCCTTTGCGTCCTCTTAGCTTAGCTCCCACTTATGAGTGAGAATATACGATGTTTGATTTTCCATTCCAAAGTTACTTCACTTAGAATAATGATCTCCACTTCCATCCAGGTTGCTGAGGATGGCATTATCAGTTCCTTTTTATGGCTGAGTAGTACTACATTGTATATATTTACCACAGTTTCTTTATTCTCTTGTTGATTGATGGGCATTTGGGCTGGTTTCATATTTTTGCAATTGTGAATTGTGCTGCTATAAACATGCGTGTGCAACTATCTTTCTTTTTTTTGAGACAGAGTCTCGCTCTGTCACCCAGGTTGGAGTGCAGTGGCGCGATCTCTGCTCACTGCAACCTCTGCCTCCCGTGTTCAAGCTATTCTCCTGACTCAGCCTCCTGAGTAGCTGGGACTACAGGCGCGTGCCACCACACCTGGCTAATTTTTGTGTTTTTAGTAGAGACAGGGTTTCACCATGTTAGCCAGGATGGTCTCGATCTCCTGACCTCGTGACCTGTCAGCCTCAGCCTCCCAAAGTGCTGGGATTACAGGCGTGAGCTACCGTGTCTGGCCTGCGTATGCAAGTATCTTTTTTTTTTTTTTTTTTTTTTTTGACACAGAGTCTCGCTCTGTCGCCCAGGCTGGAGTGCAATGACACCATCTCGGCTCACTGCAACCTCCACCTCCCAGGTTCAAGCAATTCTTCTGCCTCAGCCTCCAGAGTAGCTGGGATTACAGGCACGTGCCATCGCGGCCGGCTAATTTTTTGTATTTTCAGTAGAGACTGGGTTTACCATGTTGGCCAGTCTGGCCTCGAACTCCTGACCTCAGATGATCCACCCATCTCAGCCTCCCAAATGGCTGGGATTACAGGCCTGAGCTACCATGACTGACCACAAATATCTTATTTGTACAGTGATTTCTTTTCTTCTGGGTAGATACCCAGTAGTGGGATTGCTGGATCAAATGGTAGGTCTGCTTTTAGTTTTTTAAGGAATTTCCATACTGTTTTTCACAGTGGTCGTACTAGTTTACATTTCCACCAGCAGTGTAGAAATGTTCCCTTTTCACCACATCCACGCCAACATCTATTATTTTGTGATTTTTCAAATTATGCACATTCTTGCAGGAGTAAGGTGGTATTGCATTGTGGTTTTGATTTGCATTTCCCTGATCATTAGTGATGTTGAGCATTTTTTCATATGTTTGTTGGCCATTTGTATATCTTCTTTGGAGAATTGTCTATTCATGTCCTTAGCCCACTTTTTGACGGAATTGTTTGTTTTTTTCTTGCTAATTTGTTTGAATTCCTTGTAGATTCTAGATATTAGTCCTTTATTGGATGTATAAATTGTGAAGATTTTCTTCCACTCTGTGGGTTGTCTGTTCCTTTAGCTGTGCAGAAGAAACTCCTTAGTTTAATTAATTCCCACCTATTTATCTCTTGTTCATGATATCTTTGCCTAAGACAATGTCTAGACGGGGTTTTCCGATGTTATCTTCTATAATTTTTATAGTTTTAGGTTTTGGATATAAGTCCTCGATCCATCTTGAGTTGATTTTTGCATAAGGTGAGAGATGAGGATCCAGTTTCATTCTTTTACATGTGGCTTGTCAATTATCCCAGCACCATTTGTTGAATAGGGTGTCCTTTCCCCACTTTACATTTTCCTTTGCTTTGTCAAAGATCAGTTGGCTGTAAGTATTTGGGTTTATTTCTGGGTTCTCAATTCTGTTCCATTGTTCTATGTGCTTATTTTTATACCAGTAACATGCTGTTTGGCCACTATGGCCTTATAGTATAGCTTGAAGTCAGGTAATACAATGCCTCCAGATTTTGTTCTTTTTGCTTAGTTTTGCTTTGGCTATGTGGGCTGATTTTTGGTTCCATATGAATTTTAGGATTGTTTTATCTAGTTCTGTGAAGAATGATGGTGGTATTTTGATTGCTTTTGGCAGTATGGTCATTTTCACAATATTGATTCTACCCATCCATGAGCATGGGTTGTATTTCCATTTGTTTGCGTCGTCTATGATTTCTTTACCAGGGTTTTGTAGTTTTCCTTGTAAAGGTCTTTCACCTCCTTGGTTAGGTATATACGTAGGATTCCATAATATCTTAAACCCAAGTTTACTGTGGCTCTGACAGATCTGGCAGGCCAGCTAGGTATTTACCAAACCAGTTTTCCAGCCTCTCTTGGGGCAGGCTCTCTTGGGATAGTCGTGATACTTCCTGAGTTCCAGCCACTGTAATATAAATAACATTTTGTTGTATCTGGCTCATAAAAACCACCCATGAGTTACTTCCTGCTTTTTCCCCCTCCACAGCTGGATATCTTTGCCCAAGAATAACCTGTCATGCCATGTATTCAAGATGGCAGAGCCTTCATTAGCCTGGATCCCTGAAAACTATGCGGAGCAGAGCGTTGCCAGCTTGATACTACCTTGGACTATTAAATTTAGTGAGAAATGTGCTTTGGTGGTGCTTAAGCCAGTATACATTTTGGATATATTTGCTGCAACATTTCACCTACTAATACAAAGGAATGCTAAAATCAGATGTGAAAGAAACAATGATGATTTACATACAATGTGGGGAGAGGATGGCCCAGAGTCTAGGTAACAATGTAGATGCTTCTCAACATCGACTAGCATGGAAATTGCTATGCAAGCCCTGGTTGTGCCAAAAGCAGTCATTGCACTTTGATAATCTGTTACTGGTCCTCCCACTCCACAGCACCCACCATCGTCCTGACTTCATTAGAAGATGCACTGTCCCATCTGGTTCTCAGTATTCAGTCCGGCCCTGCACTGCCACATCACTCCCTCATTCTCACTTCAGTGTCCTCAGACTCTGGCTCTTTATCAGCCCACTTTCATTTTATGCTCACAGGAGACATTTAAAGTCTTTCAGCATCACTTTATAGTTCTATAAGACTGGGAGAGGCAAAGATTCTTCGCCATATACATTTTCTATCTCAATGAACAATAATATTCTACATTTCTCACATTTTGTTTGGGTTCAGAACTTTATATCACATGCTGTCATAGGCCCATTGATTGGGAAAATTCATACAGATATGTTTTTCTCAGCGCTTCTCGTGTCCCTCCAGGACTCAGGCAAAATCTGGAGTCTGGGGTTGTGGTCTCCAGGAAGAAATGCAGAAGCTGTCTTTATTCTGGGATCATCCACACCACCCATGGCTTTAATTATCACCTTATACCAGTAGGTTTGAACCTAGTTAGAGGGAAGATGCAGCCCGTTTTACACACTTCTCTGCTTTTCTAATTTGCTGGGAGATACTAACATGAGTGGATATAGAATTTTGTCAAATGCTTGTTCTCCTTCTATTAGTATGATCAAATGGTTTCTCTAATTTAGCCTGTTAATATGGTGAATCAGACTGATTAATTTTCAAATGTTGAACCAACTTTACCTTCTTTGGATGAACTCCCCTTGGTAATAATGTATTGTCCATTTTAGACATTGCTGGATTTGAATTGCTAATATTTTGTAAAGGACTTTTGCAAATACGTTCATGAGGATACCACTCTGTAGTTTTGTTTGTTTTCTTTTGTTTGTCTTGTAAACTGTAATTTTTTTGGTACCAATGTAATTTATGCCCACCTCATAAAATAAGTTAGAAGTATTCTTTCTTCTGCCTTCTAAAACAGATCATGTATCATTGCTGTTATTATTATTACTATTACTATTATTATGCCCTTTGTCAATGTCTGGTAGAATTCACCAATGTAATCATTTGGATCCGAGGATACCTTTATTAAAATGTTTTTACCTGCAAATTCAGTGTTACTTTACAGATGGACAATATAGGCCCATTACAATCACTTTTTACTTTTATTTATTTATTTATTTATTTTGAGACGGAGTCTTGTTCTGTTGCCCAGGCTGGGGTGCGGTGGTGAGATCTCGGCTCACTGCAAGCTCTGCCCCCCGGGTTCACGCCATTCTCCTGCCTCAGCCTCCTGAGTAGGCGCCTCAGCCTCTGGGACTACAGGCGCCCGCCACCATGCCTGGCTAATTTTTTGGTATTTTTAGTAGAGACAGGGTTTCACCGTGTGTTAGCCAGGATGGTCTCTATCTCCTGACCTGGTGATCTGCCCGCCTCAGCCTCCTAAAGTGCTGGGATTACAGACGTGAGCCACTGCGCCCGGCATGGTCACATATGTCTTCTTCTTCTCCTCCTTCTCCTTCTTCTCTTCTTCCTTCTTCTTCTTTTTCTTTCTTTTTTTTTTTTTAATGGAGACAGAGTCTTGCTCTGTCGCCCAGGCAGAAGTGCAGTAGCACGAACTTGGCTCACTGCTACCTCTGCCTCCCAGGTTCAAGCAATTCTCCTGCCTCAGCCTCCCGAGTAGCTGGGATTACAGATGCACGTGACCATGCCTGACTAATTTTTTATTTTAGTAGGGACAGGGTTTCACCATTTTGGCCAGGCTGGTCTCAAAGTCCTGACCTCAGGTGATCCGCCTGCCTTGGCCTCCCAAAGTACTAGGATTGCAGGCGTGAGCCACCGCGTCCGGCCACATATTTCTTCTTAAATGAGTTTGAGTAGTTTGTGAGTTTCAAGGAATTGGCACGTTTAAGTTGCTGAATGTATGAACTTAAAGTTATTTGTAGCATCCTCTCAATGTCTTCCTTGTATGTGATGTCTCCTCTTATTACTGATATTGATCATTTGTGTCCTCTCTTATTTCATGTTTCTCCAATTGGTTTGATTAGAGCTCTATCAATTGTAATGATTTTTTTTCAAAGAATCAGCTTTTGACTGCATTGAAATTTTGTTCATCTATTTTCAATGTAATTGATTTCTGATCATATTTCTTTCCTCTGCTTGTTTTGGCTTTAATTTGCTGCTTTCTTACTAGCTGATTTAAAGTGGGAACTTTCCTTACTCAGGGAAGGCCTTTCCCATTGCATAATAAAACATATCGGCCGCGAGTGGTGGCTCACGCCTGTTAATTTCAGCACTTTGGGAGGCCGAGGCAGGCAGATCACGAGGTCAGGAGTTCAAGACCAGCTTGACTAACATGGTGAAACCCTGTCACTACTAAAAATACAAAGCCGGGTGTGGTGGCAGGTGCCTGTAATTCCAGCTATGTGGGAGGCTGAGGCAGGAGAATCACTTGAACCTGGAAGGCAGAGGTTGCAGTGAGTCGAGATGGTGCCACTGCACCCCAGCCTGGGTGGCAGAGCAAGACTCCGTCTCTGGAGGGAAAGAAAAAAAAATGTCAAGCTGGTTGGACGTGGTGGCTCACGCCTGTAATCCCAGCACTTTGGGAGGCCAACGCAGGCAAATCACCTGAGGTCAGGAGTTTGAGATCAGTCTGGCCAACATGGTGAAACGCCGTCTCTACTAAAAATACAAAAATTAGCCTGGTGTGGTGGCAGGTGCCCACAATTCTAGCTACCAGGGAGGCTGAGGCAGGAGAATTGCTTGAATCCGGGAGGCAGATGTTGCAGAGAGCCGAGATCATGCCACTGCATTTCAGCCTGGGCCACAGAGTGAGACTGTGTCACAAAAAAAAAAAAAAGAAGAAGAAGAAAGAAAGAAATACAAAGAAAGAAAGACACGAGGAAAGACTAATTATAATGAGTTTAATTATAATCTATAAAATACAAATATTAGACTTCATTTCTAATTTATTCTAATTTTATTACAATCTATAAATAGGATATGTTTATGTTTCTTGATTTAGTTAGAATGCTTTCAAATTCTTTTTGTTTTTTTCTTGTTTTGTTTTGAGACAGAGTCTCTCTCTGTCACCCAGGCTGGAGTGCAGTGGTGCAATCTCTGCTCACTGAAAGCTCCGCCTCCCAGGTTCACGCCATTCTCCTGACTCAGCCTCCCGAGTAGCTAGGACTACAGGCGCCCGCCACCATGCCCGGCTAATTTTTTATATTTTTAGTAGAGACGGGGTTTCACCGTGTTAGCCTGGATGGTCTCGATCTCCTGACCTCGTGATCCACCCGCCTCAGCATCCCAAAGTGCTGGGATTGCAGGCGTGAGCCACTGCGCCTGCCATCTTCAAATTCTTTCATCAGCATTTTGCAATTTTCAGTACAGAAGTCCTCTATGTATTTTATTAGATTTATACTTTAGTAAACCAATTTTTGAGAAATCGTAAGTAGTATTTTATTTTGAATTTCAGTGCCAATCTCTGTTATATAAAAATATTATATTTATTTATTTATTTATTTATTTATTTATTTATTTATTTATTATTGAGGCAGTGTCTCACTCTGTTGCCCAGGCTGGAGTGCAGTGGCGTGATCTCAGCTCCCCGCAACCTCTGCCTCCCAGGTTCAAGTGATTCTCCTGCCTCAGCCTCCCGAGTAGCTGGGATTACAGGCATGCGGCACCACACCCAGCTAATTTTGTATTTTTACTAGAGATGGGGTTTCTACATGTTGGCCAGGCTGGTCTTGAACTCTCGACCTCAGGTGATCCGCCTGCCTCAGCCTTGCAAAGTGCTGGGATTACAGGCGTGAGCCACCGCGTCCAGCCAAAAAAAAAAAATGTGATTTATTTCTGCATGTTTATCTTTTATTCTGTGATACTGCTACATTCACTTCTAAGAGTTTTTCTGTAGAATACGTGGGGTTTTCTAAGGAGACAATTATGTCTTCTGTAAATAAAGACAGTGTTCATAGAGAGAGACAGTGTTCATAGAGAGAGACAGTGATATTCCTTCCTTTTTGATCTACATGTCATTTGCATATTTTTCTTGCCTTATTGCACTGACTAGAATTTCCATCAATTTGAATAAAGAGTGGTAAGAGTGAACGGTTTTGTCTTGTTCCTAATCTCAGTTAAAAAAACATTTAACCTTTCAACATTGTGTTATGTTAGCTACAGTTTTGGTTGTGGATTTTTCTTATCAAGTGGAGGACATTTTCCTCTGTTCCTATTTTTCTCAGTTTTTATCCTGAATGGGTATTGAATTATGTTCTGCAATGATTGATGTGATCATGTGATTTTTTTTCAAATATTGGACCAGTCTTGCATTCCTGGAACAAACTCCCTGTGATCGTGGAGTATAATTTTTTTATATATATATAGTACCACATTTTATTTGACAATATTTTGTTTGGTGTCTTTGCATTTGTATTCATGAGTGGTGTTGTTCAGTAGTTTTTCTTTTTGTGCTTTGCCTGATGTAGGTATCAGGGTAACATCACATTCAGAAAATGTGTCAGGAAGTGTTTCCTTCTCTTTTATTTCCAGTAACATAGATTATGTAAAATTGGTATTCATTCTTATTTAATATTTTGATAGAATTCTCCAGTGAAAGCATCTGGCCTACAAATTAACTTTCTGGGAGTTATAAAATTGTGACATCAATGTCAATAGTTATAGGGCTATCAAAATTATCTATTTTATATAGGGTGAGTTGTGGTAGTTTGTGTGTTCTTTAAAGAATTGACCCATTTAGGCCAGGCGCAGTGGCTCATCATGCCTGTAATCCCAGCACTTTGGGAGGCCGAGGCAGGCAGATCACGAGGTCAGGAGATCGAGACCATCCTGGCTAACACGGTGAAACCCCATCTCTACTAAAAAATACAAAAAATTAGCCAGGCGTGTTGGGCACCTGTAGTCCCAGCTACTCGGGAGGCTGAGGCAGGAGAATGGCCTGAACCTGGGAGGCGGAGCTTGCAGTGAGCCGAGATTGCGCCATTGCACTCCAGCCTCGGCAACAGATCGAGACTCTGTCTCAAAAAAAAAAAAAAAGAAAAAAAAGAAAAAGAATTGATCCATTTAATCTATCTTGTCAAATAATGTTTTGCTTGTAGTATTCTTTTCTGTTCCTTTTGATGTCTGCAACGTCTATAATGAGGTGCCTGTAATATTCCTGACATTGGCAAATTTTTCCTATCTTCATTATTTCCATCTTTCATTGCTTTGAGCTTTTTTGGCTCCTCTCTTTCTAGGTCCTTGAAACAAAAGCTTAGATTGTTGAATTGAGCATTTTTTCTTCCAATGTGTCTCTTGTTTTTTGAGACAGGCTCTCACTCTGTCACCCAGGCTGGAGTGCAGTAGTGTAATTATAGCTCACTGCAGTCTTGACCTCCTAGTCTCAAGTGATCCTCCCACCTCAGCTTCCCAACTGGCTGAGTATAGGTGGACACCACTATGCCTGGGTAATTCTTTTGTATTTTTTTTGTAGAGACAAGGTCTCCCTGTATTGCCCAGGCTGGTCTTAAATTCCTGGACTCAAGAAGTTCACCTGCCTTGGCTTCCTATTGCTATAAATTTTACTCTCTCCACTGCTTTAGCTGTGTCCTGCAGGTTTTGATATATCATATTTTCATTTTCATTCAGTTGATAGATTTTTAAAATTTCCATTGAGCCTTCTTTTATTAATGGAACATTTATAAGTGTGTTGTTTCATTTCCAAGTGTTGGGTATTTTCTTGTTAACCTTCTGTTACTGATTTCTAGTTTGGCATCTAGTCAAAGAACATACTCTGTATAAATTCAGCCATTTTAAATTTGTTAAGGTTGGTTTTATGGTCTAGGATATGGTCCATTTTGGCATATGTTGGTTGGCACTTGAAAAGAATGTGTATTCTGCTATTGCTCCTTGGGGTGTTCTGTTAATGTCTATTAGATCCTGTTAGTTGATGGTATTGTGGAGTTCTTCTACCTCTTTGATGTTTTCCTGTCTAGTTGTTTTTTTCAGTTGTTGAGAAGGGGGTGTGGAAGTGTCCAGGTATAATTGTGGAGGATTTGTTTCTTTCTCCTTTCAGTTCTATGAAAGGTGTAAGGTTAGTGTTTAGATTCTTTTTTGTTTTGTTTTTGTTTTTTAGCATGTAGATGTCCAGTTTTTTCAGCGCTATTTGTTTAAAAAGATTAACCTTTCTTCATTGAATTGCTTTTGCTTCAATGTCAAAGATCTATTGCCTTTATTTTTGTGAGCCTATTTCTGGGCTCTCTATTCTGTTCTATTGATTTATTTGTCTATTTTTTGGCTAATACTCACAAGGTCTTTTTTTTTTTTTAGAAACTGCTTTGTTGAGATATAATTGTATATTCCACATTTTGCTTAATGATGAATACGTGGGTTGCATCCACATTTCAGCTGTTGTGAATAGTGCGGCTATGAACATGGCTGTAGAAACATCTCTTCAAGGCCCTGTTTCCATTTCTTTGGGTATATACTCAGAAGTGGAATTACTGGATTATATGGTAAGTCTGTGTTTAATTTTTTGCAGAATCATCATACTGTTTTCCATAGTGGCTGTAGCATTTTACATTGCCACCAACAATGTGTAAGACTTTCAATTTCTCCACATCCTCACCAACACTTTTTATTTTCTGGTTTTGTGGTTAATAGTAGTCATCCTAATGGTGTGAAGTGGTATTTCATTGCGGTTTTGATTTGCATTTCTATAATGATTAGTGGTGTTGAGAATCTTTCTATGTGCCTGTCGGTTTCTTCTGTGTCTTCTTTGGAGAAATGGCTATTCAAGCCTCTTGCTTATTTTGAATCAGAGTTTGTTGTTGTTGTTGAGTTTTAAGTTATCTGCATATATAACTTGCAAATACTTTCCTCCATTCCATGGGCTAGGTTGCTTTTTTATCCTGTGGACAGTGTGTTTTGATGTGCAAATTTAAAATTTTTTTTATGAAGTACAATTTCTCTATTTTTATCTTTTCTTGTCTGTGTCTTTGGTATCATTTGACCAAGAAATCATTGCCAAACCCAATGTTGTGAAACTTTAGTCCATAGGATTTTTTAAATTCATGTAAACCATCAGCGTAATTTTTATTACACTCATTGAGTTTGGTTTATAATCTAGTTAGATTGACTAAATCCTTTTTCTAGACTGACTTTGAAAAGGGCTAAGAAACTTTTCATTAGCTTTTTCACGCTTCAAGTTGCCAGTTTTGACTACATTTTAATCCCTTAATTTTTGTTCCATCTCTTATGGGATCACTGTAAAATTATATTTGTACCTACCCGGCATGAACACATGAATAGCAGTAGTAGTTATTAGTCTTTTTCACTTGCCTTACTTGGTTTAGATTATCTAATAACCAATAACTACTACTAAAGATAAGAGTTTATGTCCATAGGCCTGAGGCAAAAGTAAAATATATATATATATATATATATATATATATATATATATATATATATATATATATATATATATATGTGAAAAGAAATTTCTGAGGCTGTGAGCTACAACACTGTCTTCAAAGGACTTTAACAAATAGAGTTCCAAGAAATGCCTCTGGAATTGAAGAAAAAGTCATAATTGAAATTTTAAGTGCAGTGGATGATTCAAACTGCTCTGCATGTTAGATGCCATTAAAAAGAGCATTCGTAACTCAAAAATACCTGAACAACTACGCAAATCTGAAGAAATTATGCATGATAGAGTAGAAAGAGAAAAGGAGATGCCAAGGATTCTTGCCTATTTTGATTGCTTTTTCTCCTTTGAATTTAGATCAGTGCCTGGCATATAAGGCCTCAGTGAATATTTGTGAAATGCATTAATGAATGTGCTCAAATTTTGAACCTTACTTATATGTGATTGTAAAATGTGCATTTTTGTGTGCAATTGTTTAATAATTTAAATTTTGATTCTTTAGTTTGTAAAGATGTATGAAACTTCTCAGGCCAGGTGCGGTGGCTCACACCTGTAATCCCAGCACTTTGGGAGGCCACAGTGGGCAGATCACAAGGTCAGGAGTTCGAGGCCAGCCTGACCAACATGGTGAAACCCCGTCTCTACTAAAAATCCAAAAATATTAGCTGGGCATGGTGGCACATGCCTGTAGTCCCAGCTACTTGGGAGGCTGAGGCAGGAGAATTGCTTGAACCTGGGAGGTGGAGGTTGCAGTGAAGCAAGATTGCGTCATGGCACTCCAGACTGGGCGACAGAGCGAGACTCCATCTCAAAAAAAAAAAAAGAAACTTCTCTATTTTTTATTTCACTATTTTTGACATACACACACACATACATATATATACGTATAGATATATACATGTATACGTATATATGCAGGAAGGAATACATACAGGAATATACGTATATATACAGGAAGAAAATTCTGATGTATTCTGCAACATGGATAAGGCTTGAGGACATTATGCTAGTGAAATAAGCCAGTTGCGAAAAGGCAATGACGGTATGATTCTGCTTACGTGAGGTATTTAGGGTAGTTTAAATCATAGAGGCTGAAAGTAAAATGGTGGTTGCCAGGAGCTGGGGAGCAAGGAAATGGTGACTTACTGTTCAATGGGTAGATTGTTACAGTTTTCAAGAGGAAGAGTTCTGGAGACAGATGGTGATGGTTGCACAACATTATGAATGTACTTCATACAACTCAACTGTACACTTAAAAACACTTAAGATAGTAAATTTTGTTATGTGTATTTTACCACAGTAAAAATTTACACCCGGCCAGGCACGGTGGCTCACGTCTGTAATCCCAGCACTTTGGGAGACCGAGGCTGGTGGATCACAAGGTCAGGAGTTTGAGACCAGCCTAGCCAATATGGTGAAACCCCCTCTCTCCTAAAAATACAAAAATTAACTGGGTGTGGTGGCAGGCATCTGTAATCCCAGCTACTCAGGAGGCTGAGGCAAGAGAATCGCTTGAACTCGGGAAGTGGAGGTCACAGTGAGCCAAGATTGTGCCACTGCACTCCAGGTGGGCGACAAAGCAAGACTCCATCTCAAAAAAAAAAAAAAAAAAAAAAAAAAAAAAAAAATATATATATATATATATATATATATATATATATATATATACACACACACACCCAATCCTCTTTCTAATTTATTGTTTATTAAAATATGGGTACATATCATCCTGGTCTATGCAAAATGAAATCTCTATTGATTTTAGGAAAATACACATGAAAGAACATACACTGTTGAATAAGCATTATGTTCCCCAGTGGAGTGACATTGGAAGGACATATTTTTAATCAAAGTGATATTTCTTCTGCCCAGAAGTTTCTAGAAATAATTCTTTGACAAATGCTTTCAGGAGTCATGTCAAAAACTATTTGAAATAACTTCAATTTAGTATATATCTGACCACTTTGGAGGTGAATTTTGAATTTGAGAATATCATGTCATTCAGAGCCAAATAGTAACTAAGAAAACATTCAAGTTGAAAATCATTATTTTTGATCCAAAAAGTACAATATAGAAGTAACTTTTTAATAAGGTTGTAAATTAGAATTCTAGAAATAATCTTGTTAACTCCCTAACCTTCATAATCATGGTCTAATTCTCAAAAAAAGTTCTTCAAATGTCAATTTCGTTGGATGTGTCTGTGGTGGTTTTGTTTGTTTGTTTGTTTGTTTGTTTTTGGCGGAGTCTCCCTCAGTCACCAGGCTGTAGTGCAGTGGTGCGATCTGGCCTCACTGCAACCTCCCCCTCCGGGGTTCAAGGGATTCCCCTGCCTCAGCCTCCCAAGTAGTGGGACTACAGGCATGCGCCACCATGCCCAGCTAATTTTTTTTTTTAATATATATTAGTAGAGACGCGGTTTCACCACGTTGGCCAGGATAGTCTCGGTCTCCTGACCTCCTGATACGCCCACCTTGGCCTCCCAAAATGCTGGGATTACAGGCGTGAGCCACCGTGCCTGGCCTGTGGTGGCTTTTTAATGTCCTAATTTAAATTTTGATTGTTTTGGAGTCATACTTTGTATAATTTTGTGTAATTTGTATAATGTTAGTTTATATTATTATTTATATAGATAAATCACATTCTTAAAATTATAAATTTGTTCCTTTACATACAATATTTCTTTGACCTGGCAAGTCAGTAGAGTACATATTAAAAAGATACTTTATTTATTTATTTATTCTCCAAGTCTCTGTATCATTATCATTATGGATCCTTTTTTTTTTTTTTTAGACGGAGTCTCGCTCTGTCGCCCAGGCTGGAGTGCAGTGGCGCCATCTCGGCTCACTACAAGCTCCACCTCCCAGGTTCACGCCATTCTCCTGCCTCAACCCCCAGAGTAGCTGGGACTAAAAGCGCCCGCCACCACGCCTGGCTAATTTTTTGTATTTTTAGTAGAGACGGGGTTTCACTGTGTTAGCCAGGATGGTCTCGATCTCCTGAACTTGTGATCCGCCCGCCTCGGCCTCCCAAAGTGCTGGGACCACAGGCGTGAGCCACGGCGCCCGGCCCATTATGGATCCTTAAACAATTATATACTGATGTCAAATTTCTTTTACGTTTACAAGTGTCCTTTATTTGAGTTTATTCTGCTTTCAGTGTTACCTTCTGTTATTTATGAGTTCATTCTTTTAGAAACATTCAGATGAATTTTTCCACATTATAAGAAAACCTCATTTCATAGCTTGTAGAGGGTTATCTTAAGATCCCTCAAATGAAGTACATATGTATTTGGCTAAATATTATATGCAGTCTTTGCACTCAAAATAGTATTAAGTGCTAACACATTGAAAATACATAAGAAGAAAATTAATCAAAACATACACTCTCTTTAAATGAATCCACCTAAAGAGAACCCAGTCTGGAGTACTTGGGTTTGATTGAGGGAACTTAAATGTGAGAAAAACTTATAATATATAGATTAAAAATTACTGGAAGCTGGGGAGGGTAGGGTGATGAAGAGGAGAAGGGGAAAGGTGGAAAATGGGTACCAAGTCCAGCTAGACAGCAAGAATAAGCCCTGGCAGTCTATTACACAGTAGAGTTACTATAGCAAAAACTAATGTAGCGAATATTTCAAGATCGCTAGAAGACTTTGAATGCTATCACACACAGAAGTGATAAATATTTAAGGAGACAGATATGGTAATTACCCCCATTTGATCATTATACAGTGTACATGCACTGATACATCACACTGTTCCCATAAATATGTAGAATGATTATTTGTTACTATAATTTTTTTAAAAAAGACAATTACCAAAAAAAAAAAAAAAAAAGGAAAATCTCATGGAGCAATAAGCTAAAGCTAGAAGAGGTGCCCTCTAGTTACCAGAGAGACATAAAGCAGAAAATGCTCTCACAGTGCTACTGATGCTTGGCAAACCCTCACCCTGTTACATCTGATAAGACAAAATTGTTAAAAGAATTGGTGCTCAAATTATGTTTGTTTCCCAATTTGCAAACACCAGTTATTCAATTATCAATTTTGTTATTGGATATTGTACTGTCCATTCTTGTTCAAAGAGAAAGGTCAATTTTAAACAAATGTTGTTTCATGCTCTTTCTCTACTATGTTCCTTCTGTTTACATATGTATTCCATCTCCTAGAGAATGCATGGCATCATTTTGAAACAAAGCTGGCTTCCTCTGCTTCTTTACTTCCGTTTCTTCTGTGTTATAATCCTTCTATGCTATTGCCAATGCTTAAGCTTCTGGCTCTGTCTTTACCACTTCTCAAAGTTATCCCTAAGCTAGCTCTCTGAAGCAATAATTAATAGTGATTTGCATCATTTAACAAATATTCTATTGATCACATTCCATGCCCAGGCTTTGCTGTTTATACCAGGCACATTAATCAACGCGGCCACTATTCCAAGCAAAGTTCCTTCATACAACCTTTACTTTTGGGCAGCTCAAAGAGTCCAGGTTTAGAGCGTTCTTCTACTCCCGGGTTGCTTAGAAAGTACTCAAAGGCCACTTTTTGACTTCATCTTGTCTGCGAAGGAGAAGTTAACAAAAAAATTACCACTAAAAATCTGACAATGAAAGAAAATGTTTACAACAAATCAATTCCTTTTGATTTGATTGCTTGAGAAACATACACACACACACACACACACACACACACACACACACACACATATTTATAGCACATTACTACTTTTTTTTTTTTTTTTTTGAGATAGTCTTGCTCTTGTTGCCCAGGCTGGAGTGCAGTGGCGCAATCTCGGCTCACTGCAACCTCCGCCTCCCAGGTTCAAGTGATTCTCCTGCTTCAGCCTCCTGAGCAGCTGGGATTACAGGTGCCTGCCACCATGCCTGGCTACGTTTTGTTCTTTTAGTAGAGACGGGCTTCTCCATGTTGGCCAGGCTGGTCTCAAACTCCTGACCTCAGGTGATCCTCCCCCTTCGGCCTCCCAAAGTGCTGGGATTACAGGCGTGAGCCACTGTGCCTGGCCCATTACTACATGTATTTTAGTGCTTTTCTCAAACTCTACTAAAACTAAAAAGAAAAGGGTTTATGTCTTCTCACTCTTCAAATTCTCGGCTCTTAGAAAATGTAGAAGATATTCGATAAAAGTTTAAGAAATGAATTAATATACTGATGAGAATATTGATGTTTGTATTAGGTACATTTGATCTACTTTGACTAAAATGCTTTTTTTAAAAAATGTAACCTTTTGTAGAAGCTCGAAATAACCCATTTCGCCTTAATAATCAACAATTATACCATTACTGGATTTAATGAAAAAAATCTAATCATTATAATTTAAAAAGGAGAATTATATCACATCGATATTTTTTTCCAGTAAAGTTTCAGAAAATGGGAAAGAAATATACAACATCAAGGAAAAATTAACAAGAATAGGAGGAAAAGCAAATGTTTCTAGCACTGAGCTATTTTCTAGCCTATTCTATTTTAACCTAAAATATAATATTTAAGTGAATATATATATAATATGTTCCATTAAGAGAATTCCATTCCATTGTAATTGCATTACATTAAGCGAATGTGTGTGTATATATATTTCATTCTTTTCTTTGCGTATGCAGCCATAGAGCACATTCTTTCCATTCTCAGCCTTGACCTCCACACATGGGAAGTGTGAAAATCTAACTAATCAACACAATCGTGGGTGGCTAATTATTAAATCTAATAATGTCTACAGGTTCTTGAAAGTCTCTTCTTGTGTGTGTTAAATGTGTTATAACAGAAAGTGATTGTGGCAATAAAGAGTGGATATAATTGAAAGCTATATATATTTCAAACAAATCTTTGATTTGAACTTAATCCTTAAAGAAATCTTTCTGTCCTGACTAGGGCTGTTTTTATTTGGTGCTGCTCAATGTAGGGAGAGCATTTTATTAAATGCTTTGTCTTTAGGAAAAATAAAAACAAAGAAAGACATTCTTAGAATCACAGAAATCAAAGCTTAAAACAACCAACTATTCATTTTTCCCATCCCTGGCTAGTAACAGATTTTAACTTTATTCAAAATTTCCATGTGTTACAGACTAGCTTAAAATAGTATAGGTTAGAAAATAGCTCAGTACTAGAAACGTTTGCTTTTCCTCTTATTCTTACTTGTTAATTTTTCCTTGATGTGGTGTATTTCTTACCCATTTTATGAAACTTTACTGGAAAAAATGTATTGATGAAATATAATTCTCTTTTTTAATTTATAATGATTAGATATTTTTTCATTACATCCAGTAACAGTATAATTATTGATTTATTGAGGCTAAATGAGTTATTTTGAACTTCTTCTACAAAAGGCTACATTTTTTAAAAAGGCATTTTAGTCAAAGTAGATCAAATGTACCTAATAAAAACATCAATATTCTAATCAGTATATTAATTCCTTTCTTAAAGCTTTATTGGATGTCTTTGTATTTTCTAAGAGCTGAGAATATGAAGAGCAGGAAGACATAAACCCTTTTCTTTGTGGTTTAGTAGAGTTTGAGAAAGGCATTAAAATACACGTAGTAATGTGTCGTAAATTCTGACAACTTTCAAATCAGAATCTTCAGTCTATACTTCTACCCTGAACTTCAGACTTATATATATGGAACTGCATGTTAAATATTTCTACCTGTAGATGCTATAACTACTCACCCCCAGTGAAGTGGTCACCAAAGCCAGAAGCTTGAATGTCTTCCTTCCCTTTCTCAGTCTATCCCTTTTCCACCCAAGCTAAATAACCCTAAAATCCTACTGATGATATCAACTAAAAAGTTTGTCATCTCTACCCTCCTCTCTGTCCTTGCAACTTTCTAACTAGTTTTCCCATCACCTACCTTATCCTACTGCTGTGTGGCCACCCTGGAGCTCCCATTTTAAATAGAGTCCTGCTTCAGAAGCATCACTGGCTTTGTCACTTACAGGACAAAGTCTCAGCTGTTTACGGAAGGAGACACTGCTCCATGTGATCCATTTCAAACCTTGTCTCGAGCTTCACTGTTGGTCACTTCCGACATAAAATCCTAGCAGAACCAAATGCAAATCATTTCCTGAGCCCCTCATTCTTTCTCTCCTCCCTTTGCATCCTGCAGGACGCGTGTTTCCTTCTTTCCCATGGGATTAGCTCCTATTCAAATGGAGAGTTTCGGCTCACACAGCACTTCCTCCAAGAAGCCTTTCCTGAGCATTGGTATGTCCCCACGCAGGCTGCTTCGAGGCTCTGTGAGCACCTCCTCCTCTGTGCTTCTGCCCGGCTGCATTAGTGTAGGATGGCCGTACCACATCACCACAACCTTGGTGGTTTACAACAACAGAAATGGACTCTTTCACAGTTCTAGAAGGCAGAAGTTCAAAACTAAGGTGTTGGCAGGGCCATGCTCAGTCCAGAAGCTCTAGGTAGAATCTACACCTTACCTCTTCCTGTTTCTGATGGCAGCCGGCATTCCTGGGCTTGTGGCTGCATCCCTTCCATTTTTGCCTCCATCTTCACATCACTTTCTTCTGTTCATGTGTCTCTGTCTAGTCTTTCTCTATCTTTCTCCTTATAGGAATACACAGGATTGCATTTAGGGCCCATCTAGATATTCAGGAAATGTCTCTTCTCCAGATCCTTCACTTAATCACATGTTTTGTAATATCATGTAATAGTCACAGATTCCAGGGATTAGGAAGTGATGTCTTTGAGGGACCATTTTTCCACCTACTACACATTTGTGGTCTGACAACGTCCCCAATCAGGCTATGCCTTATTTTCTTTGTGTTCTCAATGCCAAGCGTAGACTAGGTTAAATATTGTTTGTGGAAGGAATAAATGTCAATATGCAGGACCGCCAGGACCAGTGTTTACTTTAGACACAGCATTCTGGCAGAGGTGGGAAGGATGTGCTGGAGGAGCATAGGATGAAGATGGGAGGCTGTAATATCTCAGCCTGGAGACACTGAGAGTGGAAATCAAGTCAATGAGAATGAGATGTTAAGGGGACAGAATTGACAGGACATGATCTCAGGCTTCATATTGGTTGGTTTTTCCTGAGAAAGAAAATCTGACATGGGGAGACTTATGAGGAACAACAATGAAAAAGCTAATGCTTAGTGAGTGCTGATCCTGTTCAGGTATTATCCCAAGAATTAGGTCTGAAGTTACCTATTTAACCACATGACCACTCATAGATGGTCACTGTTTCATCTGTAGGGGGCTGAATGATGCACTCTCAAGATGCATATTAAACTCAGATGAATAAGCAAATAAAGAGTACATTAGCCTTAGAAGAATGTCCCCCCAGGCCCCCCAAAAGATATTACACCCCATTCTCTGGGATATGTAAATGTTGACTTTATTTGGAAAAAAGGATCTTGGCAGATGTGATTAAGTTAAATATCTTGAAAGGGAGAGATTATTGTGAGTTAGCCCAGTGGTCCCAAAATGCCATTATGTGTATCCATGAGAGACAGAGGACATTTGACACAGACAGAAGAGGAGGAGGCAATGGGACCATGGAGGCAGAGGTTGGAGTGATGTGGCCATGAGTGGGGCAGTGCCGGCAGCTGCCAGGAGCTGGAATAGGCAATGCCTTATTCTCCCCGAGAGCCTCTGAAGGGTGTGCAGCTGTTTTCACACCTTGATTTCAGCTCAGTCACACTGATTTTGAACTTATGGCCTTCAAATCTGTAAAAAATAAATAAATTTTTATGATTTTTAAGCTAATAAATGTTTAGTGATTGGTCACATCAGCCAAAGAAACTTATAATACATGATATGTCTACATTATAAAAAGAAAAATATTAATATTAAGTGACCTGCTCAAGGTCACATACCCAGTCAGGTGCAAAGCCAGGCCTTGAGCACAGGCAGGCTTCCTCTGCAACCCGTGGTAGATGCTGTTGGCCTGGCTGTGTTGTTTCTGAGCTATGAACTACATATCCAGGGGAGACATGGTGGTATTATACAACTGTAGGGTTAGGAGAACAGTTGATGTATATGTCAAGACATACATGTCACCAAGGCATAACTAACAGAGGGATAAGAATGGATAAGGTCCCTCTGAAGAGTACTTAGGTTCTGAGGAAAAAGATATAAGGATCAACGCTATAGGTCAACACCTAGCTGGTGGAAATAGTGAAAGAGAACTGCAATATGAGCCTGAGAGGGAAAAATAAGACAGAAGAGAAGAAGCTGTGCTCATTTATGAAGAAGCTGTGTTCATTTATACAGTATCATGGGTGTCTATGCGATAGGCTATATATAAGACCCCTTTTCCTCCAAGTGTAACTTTGTTTGTTCAAATGCTCTCAGGTGTAAAGCTGTCTTCATCAACTTTAACCCCTGTGAAATGATTTCAGCTAGCTTCCTTTCTCCATTTCCAATCATACATATCTTTATTTACTGAATGTGTCTGGCAACCTGTTAATGCTACAAGCATGAAAAAAATAAGTAATGATATCTGCCTACAATGAAATCAGAATTTAATTATGTAAATAAACATAAAAATAATTTTATGTCACTATGGCTATCTTATCTAAGATGATCCTTATCATCTTATTTATCTTTATTTAGCCAATTCACAGAAGTGTTCTGTATCCCATTTGTTATTCAATAAATATATTTAATTTTTTAAAAAAGAGGGAAGAATGACATGTGGAGAACAAAAGAGGAAAGAATTTAAAGATAGGTGGAGGGGAGTGAAAGACGAGAGAGGGAGTGAACAAAAGGAAGGTGCAGTCTTCATTATAAAAATTGATGTAGCTGTATATTTGTGATTTATGCAATGTACTATATATGTGTTATACATTAATACACATTTACTTTAAAAACGCTACAAGAAATTTAAGAAAGATAAGAAGTGAAAACAAATTCACTGGATTATCAATTGAAAGGCACTAGTGGCCCTAGTGAGACACCTTTAGGGTCCTGGTCGTGGTAAAATCCTAAATGCCTTAGGATAAAACAGAAGTGAAGACGGAGCAACAAAAAAAATCTTCACTCAGCTAAGGAGGCATAAAACACATTAAAGAAGAACATGCTTTAAGCTCATGGGGAAAGGTTGTTTTGTAAACATCCAAGATTATATTTCATTTATATGTTTATTTTTCTCATTAAGTGAATGCCTTCCTCTTTATATAATCACTTTCTTTAACAAGTTGAGGTGCGTGTTTTTTTTTTTTTAATCACTCACCTTGTGTGCAGCTCAGGAGTCATCTATTGTTCTCAGAATGTTCACAAATATCCTGTTAATGTGTTCCATTATTTCAAAAACTATTCATGTCTGATTTGTAAGAGAGTAATTTACAAGTTCACTGTTTATTCTTATTTTAAAGGTTAATATGAAACTCTATGGTTCTTCTAGCTGCTTCTGCCTCTATTAGATCAATTTGGATTTCAAAATGGTGATAGGTGGTAAATCGGTTTTGTTGCTTTAGGTATACTCAGGTTAAGATTTTAAATGCTCCTTCTTGCCAACAAGTCTTTTTGTGCTGATATATTTTCTTTGATTTTTATCTTGAAACAAGATTGATTTAAGATTTTATGATATTAGTTCTCAAAGTTAGTTGATTTTGAAACACCCAATTTCATCACTATATTGTCCTCAAACACTATTATCTGTGTTTAATAAATGCTTTTATCTTTATTATATTTTTTCCCTTATTTTCCAGAATATACTTCATTTTTGGTTAGGGAAAGAGTGGCAGTCTTGGGAGGGAGGCTTTCAGTTGTACAAATATATAGACAAAGGTGAAAGGAGAAGAGAAGGATTATTTGGAAAATTTAATCTGTGTGTATACAAAATCCAAATTCTCAAACTCTGTCTCTTGCTTTCTTTTTTTTTCTGTTTTTCCTTTTATTTTTCAAAATAAATGTATCTTACCAGACTATTGCTGAAACTACCTACTAAGAATTCAGCAACTATATTTTTGCCAAGAAAAAAATATTGAGGCTATGTAAAACATCATCAGGATTTCAGGAAAATGAATAGACTTTTAAAAGAGAAAAGCAAATTTATCAGCAAATATATCTATAGTTACTATATATCTTGGACTATTCAGGGTGCCATAACAAAATACTGTAAACGGAGTGGCTTCTAAACAACAGAAATGTATTTCTGAACAGTTCTGGAGGCTTGAAAGTCTAAGATCAAGGTGCCGGCAGATTTGGTGTCTGGTTAGGGGCCACGTTCTGGTTCATAGCTGCATACTCCAATGGTGTAAAGAGATGCGGCAGCTCCTGGGGCCTTGTTTACAGCAGTGCCAACTGCATTCATGAAGGATCTGCCCTCATGACCAAATGACCTCATAAAGGCCTCATCTCCTAATATCATGACATTTGTGATTAGATTTCAACATAAGCATTTTGTGGGGAGTACATATTAATATATTCAGACCACAGCACTGTCTTAGTAATATATGACCAGTAATTAAACCACAGAGCTCTTGATGCTTGAAAAAATCCACTAGAGGGGAATAAACATGTTTTCACAAATGGGGCTGAGAGCTAGAAATGCATTATGGCCACCCCAATGAGCAAGAAGGAGATCCTAAAAATTCAACCTGGGGACACATCAAGCTGCCAGCAGTGACAGTCCATCCGGGCCTGGGAGAATAGTGTCTAGGGCTTGCTTCTAATCATTTTCTCCCACGATGAACAGGAAAGATGCCACGCACATGCCCAATATACTCCCATGAGAGTGAGCAGATTCGATAAAACCAAACAGATTTTGCATGGAAGAAAAACATCACAATTTTGTAATCATTGTAATTAGTGATGGTCCATCAGTAGCAATCACTCAGGAAAAAAATAAAAAAGTACTCTTGAAGCTATAACAGATCACACATGCCAAGAGGTAGAATGAGAATTGAACCAAAAGCAAAGTGCAGAGTGCTAGGCACTTCATACGGAAGGGTTTCCTCCTCTCTATAAATTCAAACATTTTGGTATTAGATAGGACTAATTCTGATGTTGAAGAACATAAAAGATTTTCACGTGGAAAAGGCAGAAAAAAGATTATTTCTGGCAGAGTAAACTTTCCTACACAAAGAAGAGCAAATTCTTACCAGCTGAAAGCCAGTGTGACTATCCCCTAGGCTAGATAAAAAGGGATGCAAATAATGATTATGAAAAAATAACCCAAAACCAAATTGTGAAGGCTTATTGTATTTGTTACTCATTTTGCTATTATCTAACAACAACATTTTACCCTTCCTTTAGGTTAGCTGAAGATACCTTAAAGGAGAAAATATTTTATTATATTTGTCATATAAAATGGCTGTTCTTTATATTGATGCTTTAATCTAGTGCTTTCCATTCTTTAGTAACAGTATGTGATTTTATTTTATTTACAGATTATGAAAGAAAATCTCTACTTAGCTAAAATTTTGGAAATATACATGTATAAATATATAATATATACTATAATACATAATTATATACAATGACTTTGTAAAATACAACTCTGTCATCTAAATAGAGTAATCTGGATTAAAAAAAACATAATTAGTCATCTTCAGCTTTTGGGTGCCACTGGATTGATTCTGACATTGCTATGAGGATTTAGTTAATTTGTTTTTGGTAAAGCTAGTTTTTCCTAGATTTTCTACTGCTTTGGAAGTTTGAGGGAACTGGGTCACCAGGGTATTTTATTCTAATCCGTTACAGTTATATCTTTTGGAATCCTTGTAACACGTCATCTTACAATTGGTATATACAAGAACAATGAGAGTCTATTGACATATTCGTGTACTTATGAGAAATACTGGAGGAAATAATCACAATGCACACTACGCTCTTTACCTGTTTTAATCAGGATAACTGTGTGTGTGTGTATGTGTGTGTGTGTGTGTATGTGTGTGTGTGTGTGTGTGTGTGTGTGTGTGTGTGTGTTTAAATCCAGTATTTCATGTTAAGTTGTTTAAAATGCAGAGGGAGATGGAGATAACCTTTTAAAACCACTCAGTGTTCTTTCTGTTCCCAGCACAGGGTTCTATTTGCCCTGTCTGTCATGATGAGGGAGTGCGGTAAGGAGAAAGAAAGGTCATGGGCTTGGGATCTGCAGAAAGAGAAGAAAAATGACTTATCAAGTACAAACAAATCACCAAAATCGATGGCACATTTTTTTGGGTTAGCTGCAAGCCAGTGATTGTTTAGGAGCCATCCAAACAAAGTATGTGGCATATTTATTTTGAATTCTTTAGTAATAAACACAAGGTTAAGTGTAATTGAAAAAAAAAGAAAAACAAACAAACAAAAAACCCCGTCACCGTTTGTTGAGAGTAACAAATGAATTAAGGAAAGAAACAGGTTAAAAAATATCCTGGCTTTACTCTTCTCATGCTGGAAGCTGTTTTTTAAAAGAATGGATTACCGGCGGAGCGCGGTGGCTCACGCCTGTAATCCCAGCACTTTGGGAGGCCGAGGCAGGCGGATCACAAGGTCAGGAGATCAAGACCATCCTGGCTAACACTGTGAAACCCCGTCTCTACTAAAAAATACAAAAAATTAGCCGGGCGTGGTGGCAGCGCCTGTAGTCCCAGCTGCTCAGGAGGCTGAGGCAGGAGAACGGCGTGAACCTGGGAGGCGGAGCTTGCAGTGAGCCGAGATCGCGCCACTGCACTCCAGCCTGGGCGACAGAGGGAGACGCCCTCTCAAAAAAACTAAAAACAAAAAACAAAACAATGGATCACCTCATTGCGTATTTGTTGAATATTCATTTCTGTCCTATTTATATGTTTTGTAAAATTAAGTTCAATTTATCAAGTTAAGTTCAAAAAGTTCAAAATCTTCAAGAAAAATAGCATTTTGTTTAAAATAAGCTAATGAGATTTTCTAAAATTAATCATTGAAGGAGGTGTCAGGGAGGGGAGATAAAGTGATTTGAGTCATGGGTGGACAGAAGGGAAACCCAGCATTTTTCAAGCAAGAACCCAGAGAGTTGCAGCCATGAGTCTCTCAGGAACAGAGTGATGGAGGCGATTAACCTGCGGAGATCAGAGGCTTTTCCCAAGCTGCACTTTGTCTCCTAAGGAAGAACACAGGGATCTATTACTCACGACCTTAACTTCAGTCTGGTCACGCAATATAGAGTGAGCCACTCAGGCATTGCTTCATCCCATCCTAAATTTGGAGGATGTCTAGCTATTTCTAATTGAAGACATACTTACAGGAGTTCTATTTGGAAAAATATAAAAATGAAATTACTACTATATTTTCTAATGCAATATTTGCCTGACAGCTATTTAAAGCACAAGTAAAAATACCCTGATTTTTTTTTTTTTTTTTTTTTTTTTGAGACAGTATCGCTCTGTTGCCCAGGCTGGAGTGCAGTGGCGCGATCTGGGCTCACTGCAACCTCTGCATCCCAGGTTCAAGCGATTCTCCTGCCTCAGCCTCCTGAGTAGCTGGGACTACAGGTGCACACCACCACGCCCGGCTAATTTTTGTATTTTTTAGTAGAGATGGGGTTTCACCATGTTGGCTAGGCTGGTCTCGAAATCCTGAACTGGTGATCTGCCCACCTTGGCCTCCCAAAGTGCTGGCATTACAGGTGTGAGCCACCGGGCCCAGCCAAGACTTTTTTTTTTTTGTAAATTTTCTTTGCTCAAAGGTGATATCCATGGTGGGGTGAGGGGAATATCTGATTTAAAATTTTACATTTTACGTATTTAACTCCATCACTAGCTTGATGATATTAGAAACTGTTTTTTGGTCAGGCATGGTACCTTATACCTGTAATCACAGTGCTCTGGGAGGCTGAGGCAGGAGAATTGCTTGGGGCCAGGAGTTTGAGAAAAACTTGGCAACACAGACCGCGTCAAAAAAAAAAAAAAAAAAAAAGGCGGCCTTGGTGGCATACAGCTGTTGTCCCAGCTTCCAAGGAGGCTGAGGTGAGAGGGCTGCTTGAACCCAGGAGTTCAAGGCTGCAGTGAGCTATGATAGTGCCAGTGCACTCTAGCCTGGGTGACAGAGTGAGACCCCTTTGCTAAATTTTTTTAAAAAAATTAAAAGTAAAAAAAGATACTGGCCAGGCACAGTGGCTCACGCCTGTAATCCCAGCACTTTGGGAGGAGGCCGAGGTGGGCAGAGCACAAGGTCAGGAGATCGAGACCATCCTGGCTACACGGTGAAACCCCGTCTTTACTAAAAATACAAAAAATTAAGCCAGACGTGGTGGTGGGCACCTGTAGTCCCAGCTACTGGGGAGGCTGAGGCAGGAGAATGGCGTGAACCCGGGAGGCGGAGCTTGCAGTGAGCCGATATCGCGCCACTGCACTCCAGCCAGGGCGACAGAGTGAGACTCCGTCTCAAAAAAAAAAAAAAAGATACTATAGGTCAGGCATGTTGACTCACGCCTGTAATCCCAGCACTTTGGGAGGCTGAGGTGAGCAGATCACGAGGTCAATAAATCAAGACCATCCTGGCCAACATGGTGAAACTCCGTCTCTACTAAAAATATAAAAATTAGCCGGGTGCAGTGGCAGGTGCCTGTAATCCCAGCTACTCGGGAGGTTGAGGCAGGAGAATCGCTTGAACCCGGGAGGCAGAGGTTGCAGTGAGCCGAGATTGCGCCACTACACTCCAGCCTGGTGACAGAGTGAGACTCTGTCTAAAAAAAAAAAAAAAAAAAAAAAAAAAAGGAAAAAAGATACTATATTTTTTAAGGCATCATTAAGGAAACTGTAGATTCTGAATATTTGTAAATATCTAAATACCATAATTAATGTTATTCCTAAATGTGATTTCAGAATATCTTCATATTTAAAATTATCTTTTATACTGGTGCATACTATTAAGAAAAAGGTTAAGTTGTGTTACCATCTTCATTGCCCGCATCACTATAGAGGAAAAGTCAGACTCTCTTTGACCAGTGTCTTAACCTTCACTGAAGGAGCTGTCGCTGCCTTAGCCCCAAGCATGTAGACAGGAAAGACTGGTAGAGGTGGTAACAAATGAGGTCTGAAGCATTTTTAGCCTTTGTTCAGCTTGAGGAGGAGGCTAGGAGCAAGATAGCATGCATCTTAAAGAGGGGAGAAGGGAGGCTCATTCCTGACAGCAGCCCCCAAGGATGGATGCCTGGGCTTAGCCTCCACCACAGCCTCTTTCAGAATAGGCAAAAGATGTCCCAGTGCCCATATCGACAAAGGGCATGGAGCAGTCTTTATTTTCTTCCTCTGGCACTGCATAAACCCAAATCCATATTCATATCTGAGTCATTTCCATTCAGGGAATGAGAAAAAAATGTAAATGGCTGAGACTGAACTTACTAACATCTGAGTAGGTTAAGTCCTGGAAGATGTTATGTCTAATTTACAGCTTTATAGAAATGTGACTTTTCAATGTACATTGTCTCCAATTAAATTTTATGCACACTGCATAAAATTTAGTACTCCATGGGTGGAGTACTATAGTTGCTAGTTCTCTAGGCATCCTTTCTTTCCCGCATTTTGAGACATACAGTTAATCATTAAATAAATAAATAAATAAATAAATATTTTTCCCTGGAAGAGTTAAATAGTTCTTAAACAGGACATTAAAACACCTAACTGTAACAGGACAAATTTGATACTTGTGAATACATTAAAGTAAGAAAATCTGTTAATCCAAAGGCACTATTGGTATAATAAAAATGAAAGCCAGAGAATACAAGAAGATATTTTATACGTGTATCCTGAATATCTGAAGGATTCAAAAAAAGATAGACAGTCAAATGGAAATATGGCAGAATATTGGAAGAGATGCTGCATAAGATGGGATAGTCAAACAGCCAGCATCCACACGAAAAGATACTTGCCTTCCTTAGTCACCAGAAAAATACAAATTCAGATATGACATTTCTACACACTCATCAGAATAGCAATTAAAAAAAAAATACAAGGATTGGCTTGGCAACTGGAACTCACAGACACTACTGGCAGTTGTGTAAATTTGAAAAACTACTGGCAATATCTATTACTCACACCCTATGACCCAGGAATTCCACTCTAAGGAACATCCCCAGAGAAATGTGTATATGTTTTCAGAAAAAATATGTTAAACATTATCATTGTAGCACAATTGGTATCAACCCCAAACCAGAAACTACCTGTCTGTGAATAAGACTCTGAATAAACAATCTCTATTCACATGGAATACAATACAGCCATGAAAATGAATGAAATATAGCTACTCACAACAATGTGGATGGATTTTGCAGAAAAATGTTGAATTTAAAAAGTCAGACATAAAAGAGAACCTACTGTATCATCCCACTTTTGAGAAATTTAAAAACAAGGAAAACCCACCTGGAAGTCAAATTAGAAGTCAGGATATAGCTTTGGAGAGAGGCCAAGACTGAGCAGGAGGGAGAGGAGGCTCAATGCTGTTTCTTGATCTGTGCTGCCTGCACAGGTGCATCACTTTGTAAAGTTCTTTGAGCCACACACTTGTAATTATGCACTTTCTTGTATTAGGTTTTGCACTACATGAAATAAGTTTACTTTAGGAAATAATTATCTTTTTTTTTAAATGGCTTCTGCTTTTAGCTGTGAGTCAAGTTCTAATCTACAAATCCACGAGAGGAGATTCATTTTAAAAACCTGATGTTTCTAAATCATTTATGTAAATATATATGTTTATTTCCACTTTGGACCCTCTAAAATACTCTTTCCCATCAGTACATTTTAATAAAACATACTTCAATTATCTACTTTTAGTTATTACTGAATAATGTAAACAGGGAACTACTACTCCCCCATAAACAGTCCAGCTGATTAACTCAAAAGTATTCTCTCTCAGAGAATGCAAGGCAGAGAGAGAGAGAGAGAGAGAAGAGAGAGAGAGAGAAGAGAGAGAGAAAAATTCAAATCTCTGCGAGAGAATTTCAAATCTTTGTGAAATTCAAATCAAAGTTTGATTTGACTTGCTCTAAGCCTTACTAAATAGAATGGCACCGACTGAGCAAGTTCAAAGTAGTAGGTGGAGTGAGGAAAAGTATTATAAACATCTTGTTTTAGCATCAATAAATTATTTCAAATCTTCCACCTGCACAGAATACTTTTCTATACTTTAGTTTTTTAATCTGTGGAAGATCTGTGGATTCTAGATAGAAAAGCCATCAGCAAGAACAAAAACTTTCTTGGAGGGGAAGGAAAAACATTCTCTACAAATGATTCCATCTACAAATGATTCCATTAAGTAGATTTTGACAGCTTCCTACTACTCTGAAAGGCTTTCTCCTCCCTCCCTCTCTCCATCCCTCCCTCCTTCCCTTCCTTCCTTCCCCTCCCTCCATCCTTCCCTTCCTTTCCTTCCTTCCTGCCTGCCTTCCTTCCTTCCTTCCTTCCTTCCTTCCTTCTTCATTGTAACCACAGGAACTATTTAGAAATCAGAGTGCTACTTTACTGTTAAAATATTACAAATCCATACTCCTAAGTAAACAGTTTGCAAGTTCTATCGGTATGTGGCCAGAGCAAAGATAAAATAGATAAAACATTTCTTAAAAGCTCTATCAAAGTATAAAAACTCCTTAAATCTTTCTCAGGCATCTGAATCCTCAAGGAATATTTTTCTCCTTTTTTTCTCAGTTTCTCAGTGGAACCTGACTTAAGTAATTTTTGTCACATTTATCCAAAAAGCTTTTAAGAGTGTTTTGCGAATACTTCAGGGACATCTAATTTATAGATTACAATTACCTTTAGAATAATGAAATAAAATATCATACGACTTAATTCTGTTTTCACAATCATCTTTCATGTTTTATTTTTGCAAATTTGATATGTGAAAAATCCCAACAGAAAGAGGAGTAGGCGGGGAATGTTTAGGGAGAATGAATCCTTCTCTATAAAAAATAATACCATGGGCCAGGCGCGGTGGCTCATGCCTGTAATCCCAACACTTTGGGAGGCCGAGGCAGGCAGATCATGAAGTCAGGAGATCGAGACCATCCTGGCTAACAAGGTGAAACCCTGTCTCTACTAAAAATACAAAAAATGAGCTGGGCATGGTAGCACACACCTGTAGTCCCAGCTACTCGGGAGGCCGAGGCAGGAGAATCGCTTGAACCTGGGAGGTGGAGGTTGCAGTGAGCTGAGATCACGCCACTGCACTCAGCCTGGGCGACAGTGTGAGACTCCGTTTCAAAAAAAAAAAAAAAAAGAATACCCTGCTACAAATTATTTAGTAAGCTTCACAAACGTACTTGCCCTATGATTCAATTAATGGGCATCGATTTATGAGTAACTGGAAGAATGCTTATGTTGTAGAATATTAGCTACATCTTTACTCCACATTTTTATTTTATGATAAAGATGTGTCAGTATCCTCATTGTATATAGGCACAGAAAAATACTTCACAGAGGCATTTGCACAAGACCTAAAGCTGGCAATGTACCTGGGATTAAAATTCATTACTGCTGCCCACTAAGCCATCAGTTTTGGATGTCTCCACCAGAAGCAAAAATAAGAAAATAACACAACTAATTTGACACTATGAATTTTGGAATGTCTGTGCTTTTGGCTAGCTAATAGCTTTCTTTTCAGACCTAAAGAAATGATTTGTATGTTTCTATCCTTGTTTCTTCATATCTCAATTAGCGTAGCAAAACGATTTAAACATGACACAGTTGCTATACACGTTGGATGCTGAATACCTTGGAAAAAGAGTACTAACTAAAAGTATTGTTATTTTTGGCAATTTTAGCAGAATCTTCCTGTGGTCTGTGATGCTTAATTTTCTTGAGGAGCTCAGGATATTAATGTCATGAGTCAGAATGCTGAAGTCTCATAGGATAGTTCCTTTAGAAACACTGCCAGAGGAAATTGGGGGTATCATCAGGGATCTTTTTATTTTCTAAATCCAGATGAAGAATGACAGGGTCCAACAATTTGATAAGACATTTACTATTGCTTCTTGTATCAACATTTCAACCCGTAAATTATTCTTGGCCCTAATGCTGTGACAGGAAGTCTGCATTAAGGTAAAAGGAAATAATAAATTCAACAAGAATGATTTTTAGCGGCTGCTCAGTGCCCAGCACTGTCACAGACATCACGGTGCAAACCAAAGCAGTGCAAAGCACAGTCCTATCCATTTTGAACTTGAAAGTATGTAGGGATGCAGGACACACACATGTGAAAATGTTTGATGAGGCAAAGCAAAAATAACCAAATGCTAAAATTCAACGATTCACATGATACATGTCAATGGAAACTTAAGAAGAAAAATGGTCAAGGTAGGCAAGAAATTTTAAAGGTAAGTTTCGAAAAAATAATATGGAACTGAAGCTGGATCATTGAGACAGAACAGAATTGAGAAGTCGAGAGGTCTATAATTTCTGAAGAGTAGTCTGTTTCTTCCTGCCTCCGACCCCCACATGTTATTCACTCTACAGAAAAAATACGTATTTCTGCATCTCCCACTTTACCTCTGTACCTCATCCCTAGGCATTTAACTCCAAACTAAATTTTTTATTTTTGGTATAAAATGTTTCTCTGGGAAAAACTTATCTGATTCCCTGGTGTAGAGGTGGCATCATTATGTTATCATAGCTCTCTGAATTTTAACACTGTTTAATCTGCAATTATTGTTTAAATGTCCATCTCCTGATATGAATGTATTCTATATGGGGACAGGGACAGGGACTGTGTTGATCATTAGTATATACCCAGTGAATGGTACTTATCATTAATGAATACATAAAGGGTTAGGAGATCACATGTGTCATTCCCCTTATTTAAGGGAGTCAACAAAGGTTAAATGACATGGGTTGCACAGACAGGTGTAACAGACTCAACACTACAATCACAACTGCAGACTTTCACCCAGATGTTCTTTCCACTCTAGCGTCATGCTTCAGAAGTATTGTCCAAGGGAATAGAAGAAGGAAATGTCAAAGGAGAAAGTCCTCCAAAGGAGAAAAGAGTGAACGAGCAGGGCTTACATGGAAACTGCTAGAGGTTTATGCTTTTTTAAAGCACTCAACATTTACAAGATATTAGCATGGTGCATTAAGTACACTTTCTAGCATGCACTTTAATAGCCATTTCCCACTAATACCTTCAAGCACACTGTCCACCATCTTCCTTTAATATCAAATCGGACGCCTGTAATCCCAGCACTTTGGGAAGCTGAGGCAGGCAGATCACTTGAGGTCAGGAGTTTGAGACCAGCCTGGCCAACATGGTGAAACCCCATTTCTACTAAAAATATAATAAATTAACCAGGCGTGGTGGCATGCACCTGTAGTCCCAGCTATTCAGGAGGCTGAGGTGGGAGAATCAATTGAACTCAGGAGTCAGAGGTTCCAGTGAGCCGAGATTGTGCCATTGCACTCCAGCCTGGGCGACAGAATGAGACTTTGTCTCAAAAAAAAGTGTATATATATACACACATACATATATATACACATACACACACACACACATAAACACTTTATATACATATACTTTTTTTAGTATATATATGCTTTTTTAGTATATATATACTTTTTAGTGTATACATTTTTGTGTATATATATTTTTATATATACTAAAAAGTATATATATACTAATGAAAGTATATATATACACTAAAATTATACTTTTATATATAAATATATTAAAAAGTATATATATACTTTATATATACCTATATACTTTATATATGTATATTTTTTAGTGTGTGTGTGTATATATATATATGGGTTTTTTTGAGACAAAGTCTCATTCTGTCGCTCAGGCTGGAGTGCAATGGCACAGTCTCAGCTCACAGCGACCTCTGCCTCCTGGGTTCAAGCGATTTTCCCACCTCAGCCTCTCGAGCAGCTGGGACTGCAGGCACGCACCACCACTCCTGGCTAATTTTTTTTATTTTTATTAGAGATGGGGTTTCACCATGTTGGCCAGGCTGGTTATAAATGTATATATATATAATCAGACTCCACTTTACATAGGAATATATATATATATATATATATAAAATCAGACTCCATTTTACATAGAAACACAATCTTGTTCTTTTTAAACAGAAATCATTTCTGTCAACCTTGTATCACAATTATTCAGAAAGCTCTCCACTCTATATTTTTATAGTCTCCTTTAATACTAATATTGTATTCCATTTGAGAATAAAACAACACATCTTGTTTTATAGAGTGTTCTGAAAGAAAGCTTTTTTAAAAAACAGAATTTATACATGTGAGAATTTAGATCATTCAAAAGTTGGAAATAAGAGAAAAAATGTGTTAAAATATTGCAAGTTCAAAGCTAATAGAAATTTTAGTTTTTCGTCTAGGTGGATCTGAAGTAGTCTTGTAAAAACATTCCAAGTTTGTAGAAATACTTCAAACATTCAAAAAGAAGCAATGCAAATAAAAATGCCAGTTAAAGAAGGGAATTTCAAAGAAAAGCATGGAAAAGATTTCAAGAGCAAAAAACTTAGGTAAAGAATCCAAAGCTCTCATATAAATACAGAAACAGTATGTGAATGTGCTAACACATTGTGAAGAGACGTTCTCTAAAGAGGGATTTGGAGGAAAGAGACTATTCCAGTGAACAGTTTGCAAATTGAGGAGATATAGCCTTTTCTGTAAAACGAAGGTATGTTCCAGAGAACAAATGAGGGGTCTAGCTTTTATAGAGAATGTTCTTGCCCAGGTTGCCAGTCAGGTCCTCCCATGTAAATAAAGGATTAACATTTGCTTACTTCTAATGGGTGGGTGCAAGCCACAGTCTATTGGTTATTTCAGATGTTACGAACATGTACAGTCAGCTATGAAATTGCTAAAGTTAAGCAGATGTGTGTATTTTCCAGAAACTCAGAGGAAGATGTGACCTCTAATCAGCAAATGGTCATTTGGGCTCCTGGCTCCTTTGTTTTTTTTTTTTTTTTTAGACGGAGCCTCGCTCTGTCGCCCAGGCTAGAGTGCAGTGGCACTTGATCTCAGCTGACTGCAAGCTCCGCCTCCCGGGTTCACGCCATTCTCCTGCCTCATCCTCCGGAGTAGCTGGGACTACAGGCGCCTGTCACTACGCCCGGCTAACTTTTTCTATTTTTGGTTGAGACGGGGCTTCACCGTGTTAGCCAGTATGGTCTGGATCTCCTGACCTCGTGATCCGCCCCACTCGGACTCCCAAAGTGCTGGGCTTACAGGCGTGAGCCACCGCACCCGGCCCATTTTGGCTCCTTTTTAAATTTAGACCCAGTTAGCCATTTGAGCTTTATCTTGAGGGATTGGCTCTTAAAGGTTCATAACATTCAGGAACTCTCCATGTCTTACACATGCTTTTCTTTTCTTTGTCTCTTCTAAGAAACCTTCCATTGATGGCAATGCTTTATCCCTTAGGGAGAATGCCACATCACCATGCGCAGAAATCACAGGCAGGAAATGATCTGGGACTTTAAGCTATCAACAAAACAACTCACATAACAGAAGGAAAGAATTAAGAGTCTAACACAACAGGGGCTTCCATTTTTACAATTGATAAAAATGGTCACACCTCCTATTTCTTATTTTGACCTAGAAGTGCTAAAAGAAACTAAAGAGGCCAGGCGCGGTGGCTCACGCCTGTAATCCCAGCACTTTGGGAGGCCTATGCGGGCGGATCACAAGGTCAGGAGATCGAGACCATCCTGGCTAATGTGGTGAAACCCCGTCTCTACTAAAAATACAAAAAATTAGCCGGGCGTAGTGGCAGGCGCCCGTAGTCCCAGCTACTCGGGAGGCTGAGGCAGGAGATTGGCGTGAACCTGGGAGGCGGAGCTTGCAGTGAGCAGAGATCGCGCCACTGCACTCCAGCCTGGGCAACAGAGCGAGACTCCGTCTCAAAAAAAAAAAAAAAAAAAAAAAGAAAGAAACTAAAGAAAAACTATTTTGCTTATAAAGTTAATCTAACTGAAAGTAATATATCTCTTTTTTGGATTCTCAAAAAATTTTCTTTCTAAGTGATACGATTTTATGCTGGATAAGTAAAATAAGCACATCCAATGTCATACACAACACAAAAGTGGCTTGTACTGGTCTGGGGCAGAGAGAATAACAGTGAAAGTCAACATAGACTGGAAATGAGTATTGGTGAGTATTCTTGACAAGAGAAGCTCTCAGTGAATTGTACATGTAAATTATGATGTCACTCAGACTAAAACATAATGAAAGTAGCATGAACAGAATTTGTGTCTGTTCTAATAGAAATCAGAGAGATATGGTGGGATGTAATTGTATATCATGAGAAGATTGCAGTTTTACATGATGCAATGCAAGATGAACATGAAGCATGGTTATTACATCCAACCTGAAGTGCATGCTGACAATGCTAATTTCATGGCTTTGAATGTAAGAAAACTCAGTGCCTGCTTCACTTTGTGTTTGCTCAGAAAGTATCTAGTTAAGGCTTACCATACTCAAAGCGCTATAATAATCCTCATAGGAAAAACAAATATGGCACCAAGGATCAGTGACTGATTGCAGAGTCATGATATGTTAACTGCTTCCTGGTCAACATTATTCACTGTCGAGAACTAAGACGTGTAGTTTGACAGTGGCCTTTCTGTTCAGTTTGTTTATACTTTCTCATGCCCAATTTCCATTCCAATCAGTGCAATTTTTCAAAGAAGTGTAACCAAAACTAAGAATGAAGTGTGTGATTTTTTTATGTAAAGTAGAAACAAACTCTAAATTAAAGCACCCATTAGAATTTACAGACATATAAGTTATTCTTTGCACATGTATTAGCCAACAACCTTTTAGTTGTAAATAAAAGATCTTCAAATGAGTCTACTTTAGACTAAAGAGATAACTTACTAGTCTGCAGAGTCCATAGGAAGGGTTGAACCACATGAGCAGGCAAAATGGGACAAGATTCTCTGTCCCTCTCTCTTTTTGATTGACTTCTCTCAGCATGCCAACTCCATTTTCATCACACTCAGTTCCTTCATAATGGAAAATGTAAACTTTAATTGTTTTCAATTTCATATTTTATGGCTTGAACCACCAAGTAGATTTCCTAAATTCAAAAACCCAAAATAAGTTTGATTAGGTTCTTTCTCTTAGACCAATGTCTTGAGATGATCAAGTAAGAACACAGTAACTTTCATTGGAAGCTCTTGTTTGGAGCTGAAAGAGAAGCACTTTCTTAAATAAGGGGTTGATAGCGGTCAAAATAAAAGCAGTCCCTTAGACCATATGTTTGCAAAATCAATGTTAATCATGTTTGTTACTGCCCCTCATAAAAGGATCCAAGTGATGAGTACCCATAATTTATGACCGGAAAAGGATTTATTCTCCCAAAGCTATGTTTTATTGGACAATAAAATGACAGAGCCTATTATGTTTCCTATTTTTGCAGTTGCTACCAGAAACTTCAGAATTAAAATATACAGTCAATAGCCAGCTTACTTCAGGTTGATGGAAACATTTTCTACTATTTTCTACAAGGTTCCTTACTTTTTAAATTTTTTTTACTGTATTTTTCTGTGCCTTAAAAAAATTCTTTGAATTACTTTTAGGAACAGATGAAGAAAAATAAATATAAATGACAAGAAGCCAATATTATTGACCTCATGGGTACTACACTTGCTAAAATAATCTCCTCTAATGAATGTCATGGGCAAATTAGTGTATGAGAAAAAAATTCTCTGATAATTAAAAAGAATGTTATTGGTTTTCCTCTTCATCAATTTGGACTGCTACACAAAAAATGCCATAGACTATGTGGCTTATACACAACAGAAATTTATTGATCGCAGTTCTGGAGCCTGGGAAGTCCAAGATCAGGGCACTAGCAGATTCCATGTCTCGTGAAGGCCTGTGTCCTCATAGACAGCTATCTTCTCACTATAACCTCACATGGCAGAAGGGTGAATGAGCTCCTTTGGCTGCTTTATAAGAGCAGTAATGGCCTAATCACCCCCCAAAAACCGTACTCCTAATACCATCACCTTGGACGTTAGGATTTTCACATATGCATTTTGGCGTAAACAAACCTTTAGACCACGGCAGCTGGGTAGATTAATTTTATTAATCACAAATCTGTTTTGACTTGAAAATTTAAAGCATTTTACTATTTGTAATTACTGATCTGTCATGAGCATACTGTGTTACTTTCCTAATACCTAGTTCTCCATTCTTCATAAGAAGTAAGCACAATTCTTGCAGATGTGTAGATATCTTCCCTCCAATTACATACAACTTAAACTGTCTTCTTTTTTTTTTTTTTTTTTTTTGAGATGCAGTCTTGCTCTGTCACCCAGGCTGGAGTGCAGTGGTGCAATCTCAGCTCACTCCAAGCTCAGTCTCCCTGGTTCATGCCATTCTTCTGCCTCAGCCTCCTGAGTAGCTGGGACTACAGGCACCTGCCACCACACCTGGCTAATTTTTTTTTTTTTTTTTTTTTAAAGTAGAGACAGGGTTTCACCGTGTTAGCCAGGATGGTTTCGATCTCCTGACCTCGTGATCCACCCGCCTCAGCCTCCCAAAGTGCTGGGATTACAGGCGTGAGCCACAGCGCCCGGCCCCAGAACTTAAATTGTCTTCTAATTCAAGAGTAGAAATAATTTGCTTTGCAAAAGAAGACATCTTGTCTTGGTTGTCAAGGAAACAGCAGTGAGAGCAGAGGCCAGCCCGGCACCGTGAAGGCAGAGAGAGGAGAAGCAGCAGAATAGTTATGGCGGTACAGACTGGTTCCACTCTAGCTGCTCAATGTTATTTTCAACTTCTGTTTTTAAGTGACTTGGACTATTTACTCCTTCCCATCTGCCTATAATCAGGATAAAAACATTCCTTCCCACCTTTCAAATCTCAGCCTGCAGACCTGTATAGGAGTGAATGAACATAAGTTAGTTGATTTTAAACCAGTGGCAAATATCTTCAGAGGCAGAATTTTTCTTTTCTAAGTGACTGTGGCCCTTGAGATAATGGTCCTATTGCTGACTTTCTTGACATGTGAGTGAGACGTTGTCAATTGTGTACAGAGACTGTTGACGACCATTAGCATAAACAATATAGAAATAAATTTATAAGTGAGGCATCGTTTAGTGATTGACTTAAAGAATTATTATTATTATTTTTGAGACAAAGTCTCGCTCTGTCACCCAGCCTGGAGTGCAGTGGCGCAATCTCAGCTCACTGCGTGCTCCGCCTCCCGGGTTGGCACCATTCTCCTGCCTCAGCCTCCCGAGTAGCTGGGACTACAGGTACCTGCCACCGCGCCTGGCTAATTTTCTGTATTTTTAATAGAGACGGGGTTTCACCATGTTAGCCAAGATGGTCTCGATCTCCTGACCTCGTGATCCGCCCGCCTCGGCCTCCCAAAGTGCTGGGATTACAGGCGTGAGTCACCGTGCCCGGCCAAGAATTTTTTTTTATTAATATTTGTATGTTCTGACTTCAAAATAAGGATGGTTTTAGAATGTGATTGTAGAAAACAAATCTATTATTTTAAAGAAAAATTATTTAAATGAGGTTTAACAATGGCAGTCATTTGAGGTTTTCTTTTTCTTTTTTTTTTTGAGGTGCACAAACACAAACAATTGTGCAACAGCAAATGTTAGAAAGCCTCTTGCTTGTGATGACTGACTTGGGTCTCTCATAATTTACCAGACTCCAGGTTTTTGCCTCCACAAAACATGACTTTCAATGCAAAGAATGAAAGTTTCTCCTTAACTTGGGGAAAATATTATTTGGGCTTGTAGCACATCTCTCTATGTATAGAGATTTTGTATAAATTTGTATAAATATAAATTTGTAAATTTATATTCATTCCTGATGACAAGTTTTTCAGTGACACATTGCTGAGGCACAGTGGCTCTGCCCAGCAATTTGTAGGAGTGTTAGACAATGTGGTGGCACAAACCAGGGATTCTTAGCCCAACTTTAGTGCAATTAACAGTGTCTTTGCCTCTTAAGGCCTAGTCTCAGATGTTCCTCAAAGTCACTTCTGCACCATATTATATTAGTCTAACCAAGTCCTAAGAGGAGTACAGATTCAATGAGTAAACAAAAAGATATCATTTCTTTCTTTTTGGTTTTTTTTGTTGTTATTGTTGTTGAGATGGAGTCTCGCTCGCTCTGTCACCCAGGCTGGAGTGCAGTGGCAGGATCTCGGCTCACTGCAAACTCCACCTCCCAGGTTCAAGCAATTCTCCTGCCTCAGCCTCCCGACTAGCTGGGATTATAGGCCTGTGCCACCGTGCCCAGCTAATTTTTGTATTTTTAGTAGAGACAGGGTTTCACCATGTTGGCCAGGCTGATCTCAAACTCCTCAGGTGATCCACTTGCCATGACCTCCCAGAGTGCTGGGGTTACAAGCGTGGGCCACTGCACCTGGCCAATGGAATTTCTTCATGAGAGAACCTGCAAAGCACAGTGGGCAATGTTCTCACCCTCTGTACCTATATGTGACTTCTTTTCACCTGTAAAATATTTTCACTGCCACCCCCAAAAGTCTAATGGCTCCCAGGCTTCTGACTTGGTTAATGGGGTGGTGTTTACTGCTTTGCAGAACATGTTGCATTGGAGAAGACTTTGTGGCAGCCAAGTGAAAGTTCGCTCTGTTGCTCTGGATGTGGATTTTATCTCAGAGAGAGCTTTGAACTCGTGATATGTATTTTTTGAATCATCATTTTATATCACTGAAGGGGATTCCATAGAATGAGTAGATAAGATAATTTACAGTTGTTCCCTAAGGAGGAACAAGATTAAGGAAAGCCAGAAATACAGAGCAAAGAAGACCAGGAGGAGCAGTCAGCAAGCTGGGAGAAATGTTTGAGAGGAGCAGTATCAAAAAGTTGAGGAGAGACTGGTCCAGAGGTAGCAAGTTATCTCAATCTCAATTGTTCACGGTCAGTTATAGATTAAACTCTTTGTTATATTCCCCCCCACCCCCAGCTCCTTCTCACTACTGCACTTGACTAGTTTTAGAACAATACTTAAGGAAGATGTCAGGCATTTAATATGAAGAAGGAGAGAACACCATCAAATTCTTTGAATAGATCAAGAAACATAAGAAATAAAACACATACATACAACATCTTGGAATATCTGAAAAAACAAGCATCACTTTTCCTACAAAATTACATTACTATTACCAAGGTATGCATAGTACATTAAAATATATTAGGTCATAAATTTACATTAGTGGATAAATACTCTATAGCACATTATTGAAGAGTAGATTTGTGACCAAAGCTTAAATATCCCTCATTGACTTCATCGAGTGAATTAAAAAATTGCAAAAGATAAATTTTCTGTTTCAAGGCAACTTGGTACTAACAAAGGATGAGAGATAGAAAACATAATGCAAGATAATACTGAGATTTTAGTCAAATAAAATAGAGAAACTCAAATTAACTTGTTAACAACTCCCTTCTTGACTTAGGTATTACACCCCCAATGCATGTGCACACATGCACACACACACACACACACCCCAGGCATGGTGAAGATCACTGATGGGATGGGCAAGGGGCATGACCAGGGGAAGAACAAGGGTGATTAGATTAGTTATCCAAGAAATAATTGCAGTGTCAAGGAAGTAGTGAGTAGATTTCCATTTTCCCTTTTTTTGTTTTTTTGAGACGGAGTCTCGCTCTGTCGCCCAGGCTGGAGTGCAGTGGCACCATCTGGGCTCACTGCAAGCTCCACCTTCCGGGTTCACACCATTCTCCTGTCTCAGCCTCCCGAGTAGCTGGAACTACAGGTGCCTGCCACCACGCCCGGCTAATTTTTTGTATTTTTAGTAGAGACAGGATTTCACCGTGTTAGCCAGGATAGTCTTGATCTCCTGACCTCGTGATTTGCCTGCCTCGGCCTCCCAAAGTGCTGGGATTACAGGCATGAGCCACCATGCCCAGCCTCCATTTCTCCTTTCTAATGGAGTTACATTGGGTGTGGTAGGAGTTAACTAGACTTTTAGGTGTAACTTGTTAGACCATGAGGAACCACATCCAGGCCTGTCTGAAAAGATGCTTATTACTCAATACCTTGGCTTGGAAATAATGCAAGACAGATATTTGTTTTGGGTTATATTTCTTTGGTGAGAGAAAGATTTCATTTCTTATAGTACATAGAATAATTTCTGGTGTTAGGAATACTTTTGGAAAGGTCTATATATAGAAATAATAGTGCAACCAGGCGCAGTGACACATACCTGCAGTTCCAGCTACTCGAGAAACTGAGACGGATGGCTTGAGCTCAGGAATTCCAGACTACAGTGAGCTGTGGGCAACAGAGCAAGACCTTGTCTCTAAACAAATAAAAATAAAATGCAAAGTAAAAGAAGGAGACACAATTGAAAAAAGAAATAATAATGCATGCCAAAGTATCTTTTTTGAAAAGAAAGGCCTACCATTACCTTTCCAATATCCTTAGTGGCCACAGGGCCAGGCACATAATCTATGCTGGATCATTCGGAGAATCCTCTTACTCTATCAACAACTGGTTCAGAGAAGATTTTGTAATCTAAGTACAGATAAACTGATATTTTTTTCTGGAATTCTGTAACAGGATCAAGAGGAAGAAAAAGAGATTGGGAAGACAAAGTTAGAGAAAGAGCGAGAGATAGAGAGAGAAAGAGGTCTCACATCTATGTGTCAAACTTTGTAACTAGAAGTATGTCAGTTAGAGGCTGCCAACAGCTATGTATATGCATATAAAAGTAAGCCCTAGAGAAAAAGTAGAGTAGAGAGATTGGGGGAAAGGGACAGAGTCCTGGCTGGCAACATTGTTATAGTACCTGGATTTCACTGGGCCTGATGATTCTCCTTGAGAATTCCCAGTAGGGTAAACCAGTGAATTCTTAAGCTAGTTTGAATTAACTTTCTGATATTTGAATGTAGGAATTTTTAATATGATCATTTAAATCAAATAAGACACAAATAACAAGCACCAGAAAATACAACATAGCCCTACAGAAAATGTGGGAATTTAGAAGTCAATATTAGGAAGTGTTGGGTAAATTATTTCTGCCCTAATACATGAGCAAAATCTTGCAATTATGCCCCCAGGGTCTTAGCTACGTATGATGGAGGGAAATGAACATTCATCTAAAATTAAAAATTTACATATTAAGCAATTGAAGAGTAAAACCATCTGCTATCAGTCGGCCCAGTAATTATTCTTTGTGATACCCTAAGTGTCATAAAGACAAAATAACAGAAAATGACAAAACTCACACATTCAAAGGTTGACCTATAAACACATATGCGTCCATGAGCTGTATTCACGTATACAACAAACACAGGGGAATGGTTAAAAAACATATACATATTTATTTAAAAATAAATCTTCTGGCCAGGTGCGGTGGCTCACGCCTGGAATCCCAGCACTTTGGGAGACTGAGATGGGTGGATCATGAGGTCAGGAGATCGAGACCATCCTGGCTAACACAGTGAAACCCCGTCTCTACTAAAAATACAAAAAATTAGCCGAGCGTGGTGGTGGGTGCCTGTAGTCCCAGCTGCTCCGGAGGCTGAGGCAGGAGAATGGTATGAACCCAGGAGGCAGAGCTTGCAGTGAGCTGAGATTGCGCCACTGCACTCTAGCCTGGGCACAGAGCGAAACTCTGTCTCAAGAAAAAAAAAAAAGTATTTTCTAAGCCATGACCCAGTGAAAGAGTCAGCCATCTCTCCAGTGATACCATCAAGTAGGGGAGGTGTAAGGCATTCTGTCATGCTTTGAGGGACTCTGAGATTAAGGGAGGTGTGGTGGGCAGAATAGATCCATATGTGGGAATAATTTTTCCCATCTTCCTCACTGCCTGCCAGTCTACACACATGAGCACACACACAGACCACAACTGCCGCTGCCACCACCGTACACATTTCATTCTATGGTTTCTCCCCTAGCATTTCTAAAAAAGACCACAACATCCAGTTCCAAAAATTAAATAAAAATGTTTTTTCTGCCTGACTCCTTGTACCCCAAATGTCAATCCTTGTATTCCAAATCAAGCTTGTAATCCAGAGGCTTAAAACTCTTGTGATCATCTAACATTTCTTCTAACTAATCAAATTCCCATTATGCTATTATGCTTTAAGCACCAGGAAGCTGAAAGCCAAATTTGCAGCAGTTCATTAGACAGCCCTGTGTGCTTCTCTGTACATGGTTATGGGCTGAATTACACTCCCCCACCCCAAATTATCATGTTGAAGGCCTAACTCCCAGTACCTCAGAATGTAACTGAATTTGGAAATAAGACCTTTAAAAAGGGAACTCAAATAAAACGAGGTCATATGGGCAGGCCCTCATTTTGTTCAGTGTGTCTGGTGTTTATATGGTTTGGCTGTGTCCCCACCCAAATCTCACATTTAATTGTAGTAATCTCCAGGTGGGGCCAGGTGGAGATAATTGAATCATGGGGGCAGTTTCCCCCGTACTGTTCTTGTGGTAGTGAATAAGTCTCACATGATCTGATAGTTTTATAATTAGATGTTCCCCTGCACAGGCCCTCTTGCCTGCCGCCATGTAAGATGTGACTTTGCTCCTCATTCACCATCTGCCATGATTGTGAGGCCTACCCAGCCATGTGGAACTGAGTCCATTAAACCTCTTTCCTTTATAAATTACCCAGTCTTAAGTTTGTCTTTATTAGCAGTGTGAGAACAGTCTAATACAGTCATCCTTATAAAAAAAAAAGAGATTAGGACACAGACGTATACACAGGGAAAACCATGTGCAGACACAGGGAAAAGGGAGCTATTTATAAGCCAAGGAGAGAGGCCTCTGAAGAAACCAACCCTGCTGACTCCTTGGTCTTGGACTTCCAGCCTTCATAATTATGAGAAAATAAGTTTCTCTTGTTTAAGCACCCAGCCTGTGTATTTCTTAGAACAACCCCAGAGAGTCAATATACTGAGGTCTTCCCACTGCTTCACAATTTATCAGCTCAACTTTCTGTTTCCAGAACTGTTTATTTTATTCTCATTATTGTATATTTTCTCATAATGTACATCACCTTTGGGTGTGTGTGTGTGTATACTGAATAGATTTTTAAAACACTCATAGTGCTGTTCTCTCAACTTCACTGTGTTGAAATTTGTGATAGTTTACAAACATCCTTAAGTTTTTAAATCATTTTTAAAATTCACACTTTTTGTATGGGTCATAGCTTTGACTAACACATTCTCTGGAATCCTGGAGGTACCAAACGTTCCCTTACAGTTCAGTTTCTGTTTAACCAGAACCCTAATCCTAATGCTCCTTTGCATATCCCACAATGATAGTTAAGCTTGCATAGCCTTGAAAAAAAAAGTGAGTGGTCAGTGTTGCTAAAAAGTCATAAAAGTCCTAAGAAAATGATCCTTCCAAGTCTTTGGAGCAAACATTTTAAGATGAATGAGTAAATAATCAACCATCAGGGATAACCTGAAAACAGTTAACCAAAGTAGTTTCTTTTTTCTATGACAACTGGGAAGTCTAAATCGCCCATGCAGATTAATTCTGCTGTCCACTTCAAGGAGATGATTCACATTCCGAGTCACCAAATTACTCATTTTCAGTGTTATCAGCAGTAACTGGACAGAGGTTGGGATGAAAACCTGATAAACACAAACTTTCTCTGTTTTTCACCTGCAATTGCTGATTCATATATTTCCTAGATACCTAACAAAATATTCATTTTCTTATATTTTTAAAATACATTGAAATGAGGAGTTGGAGAAGGAAGGCAGGGAGTGAGAGAAGAGAAAGGAGAGAGATGAAGAAATGAAGGGAAGAAGGAAGGAGGTGAGAAGAGATGAAGAAAAGAAGGAATAAAGGGAGGAAGGAGGATAGTAGGGAAGGGAGGACAGAAGAAAGGAAGAAAAAAGAGAAAGAATTAAGTAAAAATAGAAGAAAACAAAAAAGATAGTAATAAAGGAGGAAGAAAAGAAAATAATGAAGAAAATGGTTAAAAATATAAATGTCATTAGGCCATAAATGTAGTAGAATGCCTTCAGCCATTCAGCCTTAATTGGTGTGTTCCATCCACCCAAAATATGATAAAATATATTCAGTATGAATTATTCTGGACTGGTTTATAATATGAAATCTTCAATAGGTATTTTCATCTCCTTGGTGGTACTAAGCCTACTGCTCTGAAATGTAACAAGTTACAATTCCTTGTGACTCTGCAAGATGCAGCTGTGAGGATTCCTGAGGAAGTGACAAGAAATACCTTCTTGTCCATGTGGGTAGGGTTTTATGCAATTGGGAAGTTTTTCGGTTTAAATATGTAAACTGTGTATTACTCTTCAAAGTCATTAACTTGACACCTGCCAAAAAAAGAAATGAAATCGATATAAATCAGTGCACAGCAGTTGGAATTGAATCGTGCTTCCAACCCTCCTGCTGTTTGCGTAGAGGAAACACTGTAGACACAGGCTTGGCATGGACCTCCTCCCAGCCTCCCGGCGTCTGATAACAGAACCGTAATACAAAGATGCTTCTGGCTGGGCACGGCAGCTCACACCTGTCATCCCAGCACTTTGGAAGGCCAAGGCAGGCGGATCACCTCAGGTCGGGAGTTCAAGACCAGCCTGGCCAACATGGTGAAACCCTGTCTCTACTAAAAATAGAAAAATTAGCCGGGAGTGATGGTGGGTGCGTGTAATCCCAGCTACTTTGGAGGCTGCGGGAGGAGAATCGCTTGAACCCAGAGGCAGAGGTTGCAGTGAGCTAGGATCACACCATTGCTTGAGAGACAGAGCAACACAGGAAGACTCTGTCTCAAAATAAATAAATAAATTAATTAATTAAATAAAATAAAAGATACTTCTGCATATTGGCCTATTTCTTACAGAGATGGAAAAAGTTACTTATGGCTATTGACTGTTTTCAAACAAAACCCCACTCCTATGCTTATGATATGAGTAAATCTTTGTAAGACTATTAGGAATGAAAAGTATATAAACGAGTCTCACCCCTACCCTCAGGGATCTAACCTGGTAGAGAATTAGTGAGGTGAGAAAGAGATTCAAATGTATTCAGCATTTCCTATAAACCAAGCACTGTGTTAAGTACTAGGGTCAGATATAATTTCTGAGTTCATAGAGACTGAATCTTCTAAAGAAAGCCATTGATTTGGCCAGGCGCTGTGGCTCACGCTTGTAATCCTAGCACTTTGGGAGGCCTAGGCGGGTGGATCACGAGGTCAGGAGATCGAGACCATCCTGGCTAACACGGTGAAACACCGTCTCTACTAAAAATACAAAAAATTTAGCTGGGCGTCATGGCGGGCGCCTGTAGTCCCAGCTACTCGGGAGGCTGAGGCAGGAGAATGGCGTGAACCCGGGAGGCGGACCTTGCAGTGAGCTGGGATCGCACGTCTGCACTCCAGCCTGGGGGACAGAGTGAGAGTCCGTCTCAAAAAAGAAAGAAAGAAAGCCATTACTTAAATTTGCGTGTAAGTGTGAGGAATGCATGAATGAGAAATGCACAATGTTATAAGCTTCTATATTTGGGGTCAAGAAACTGCAGCTCATGGGCTAAATCCTGCCCACTACCTGTTTGCATGGCCTACAAGCTCAAAGTGGTTTTAAAAATTTTAAATGATTGCATTTTAAATGCTTATATAGCTACTTACATAGTAACTTTAATTTTGCCTGTCAGCCTACAAAGGCTAAAATATGTTCTATCCGGCCCTTTATAAGAAGAGTTTATAGATCTAGAGATTTGACCCAGTTGGGGTAGTAAATATTATATATCAACTAAAAATTACAAAAGACTATGAATACAAACATTTTAGTAATATATTTTATTAATAATTTAATAGAAAGAACATGTGAACATAGATTACATAAAGTTACATGGCATACGCAACAGTGTAGAGGATCATAGGGTATGTTGAGTTCTTGCTTAAGGTGACCTGGGGTTTGGATATTAGGCTTTTCCATGTGTATCTACTGCAGGGACAATTATCATGGAAAAAGTTTTTTCCATAAAAAGTGTCTCTATACAATGGGATAAATTTTGATTATTGTAGATGAGAAAAAAATAATTTACTTACTTTCTTGTTAGAGAATCAGGGAAGTAAACAGCGTACTTAAAGGTTGGAATTGGAGATGAGATTTTTTGTAGTCCCAGCTGAAACATGATGTGTGAAGACAGCAGGAGTGATGGAGGGCAAGAACGGGGATTTGCAATGAAGAACATGTTTTGCTGTGTTTTCTCAGTATGAATGGAATCAGATTATTGTGACCAGAAATCACCAAAATGAGAAAGAACAAAAGCAACTGTGGTGATATCACTGGGAACTTTTGGAGCATGCCTAAGCTTTTCAAGCCAGACCTGAACAAGCAAAGATAGTTATTTTTGAAGTCCTGAACTGTTCCATGATATCCATTTTAGTTTCTTGAGGTTTAAGAGATCCTTTTCAACATTTTCATTGCTCCAAAGATAAAATCTGACACAACCTGTATGGGTAAGAAGTGACCTGGGAGTCTACACCACTGCTAGAATGTAATCTAATGGTAGGCAAGAGCTTTACCCCCACTGTCTCTGCCTCTCCTATGCAAGTGCTAATAGCTCCATAAATATCCCTCAATAAATTCTGGTATTTTTGAACAAAATAAATAACTGGATGAATTAATGAAATATATAGCTAAATTCCACCTAGCAATTAGAAACTTGTCATTTTAATCTTTATCCATGACTTTATATTTTTTTCTGTCTTGTTTATTTGGAAATTTTAACTTCTTCAAGTATTTTCAAACTATTTTTGTCAGCCATTTATAATTCTTGTTTCACAAAGAAAGATATGAATTAACAAACAAGCAGAGAGATTGTGGCATATCTTGAGCACTTAGCATTTAGAATGGAGTGAGAGCAAGAGGGAAAGGAGAATCATATAACAATACTTACCATGGAGTTTTCCTTCTCGTGCACTCCACACGGGCATTACTACATCAGAAATAGTTACACCCCATTCTCATAGTAGGAATGTCCAAGTTCAACTTAGGAATCCATAAGCTGAGCTCATATAGCAACACAATCCATCTCTGGTCTGACATACCTCTTATTTCCTGTTTCAGATATTGTGATACCCAATAAGCCTAAGAAGGCGGCCCAAGTAAATAACACCCAGGCGTTCTGGTGGAGTTTAAAATCATTATGTTATGTAGACTGGGTTGCAGATAGATTGCAGATATGAACTGAAGTTTCTATCAGTAAACAGGTCAAGACTTTGGGACTGACTGGCTCACTGGGATAGATATTGTCAAGTTTAAACAATGTTTGCTATAATGCAGGTAATAATAAAAATAATTTTTAAAAGCCTGCCAAATATTCTTACTTGGCCTGGTATAAGATCTAAAAATAGGAAGCATAGCATTCACTCTTTCTGAAACCTTTTATTCTTCATTGAAAATAACCTCATTTTCCTAGCTCAGCAGATATTTAGGTAATCCTTCTCAACAGCATCTCTAAATAAAAGCTAAAACATGACACTACCTGTTTATTAAAAAGAAAATGGCCAGGATTTTATATGCCTGATCCCAGCAGCAGGCTCATGGGATGAGAAAGTATAGGGAAAGCAATGGTGGTAAGTACATGTCTGTGTTTGCAGACCTTCATTTTTGTACTGATACAATTGTAAGAGAACATTCCACACTGTGTACTGGTTGATCAAACATAAGAATTTAAAGTAAGGCTGCTTTAGTTTTTGTTGTTTGTTCATTTGAATATTTTGCTTGTCAAAATAGTCTGGCACTCCCAGTGAGTTTTTTTTGGTGGTGATGAGGTTGGAACAGTAAAGGTTTCTGTTGAGTGCCTGGGCAGAAATCCCTTAAATGGAGAATATTTGCCATTGTCTGATAGAAATGGTACATAAATTGAATTCTGTGGAGCTATTTCCCTATTACTTGTAGAATAAAGATGATTTCTGTGGCTAGTCATGCAGGGCCGTGATTGCAAATTTTATTTTCTATAGTTTTTTGTTGTTGCTGTTTGGCTTTCTAGCTTTTATGATTTGAAAAAGAAGCTGAGAGACTAAGCTAGAAAACCCCAAGGCAGGAAAAAATCTTGTAGGCATTTAAAAAATTCCATGGAAATATTAATCTGCCATTGTTTTGCTTGGGGTTCTAGAGAACTTTGTTGTTTTCTACTGTATTCGCCCTCATTTCTGTAGAACATCTAATTTAACAAAATTGATTCATTCAGAAGTTGATAAGTAACGAAGAGGATTTCAGTGTATTAGACAAATAGCTTTTATAGATAGAATTGTTCTTTCTCTCCCTTAATAACTTAATCACAGAATTGCCACACATTGAAATTTTCAACTGTCAACAACAAATTAGAGGAGGAAAAAAACGGTGGAAGGAGTGAGGAGAGGATAAATGCGTCATGGCATCAAAAGACCAGACTTTCCTGCAAACTCTGATTTTACACTCAGCTTTTCAATTCTTTTCAAATGTTGGTACTTCTTGGCTGATGATCATTTAGTAAGACGACACAGATAAAATAACACTTCTCATTTTTCAGGCATGATTAAATTCAACAAAAGCAATATTCAAAACAGAGAAGATTAATACACAATAGATAATTATGTGCACTGAATTCTGTCTCCCAGCATAAAAGAACTTAATGAAACCTTAAGGGATGGTGCATCTCTGCTGAACATTTGTGCCAATTACAGCGCATGTGCCCTGATGAACTTCTAGCACTATGTAGGCTGCTGAATATTATTCAGCTGTTTCCTTCATTATAATTTTTCCGTACTTATATTTTCATTTGGAATATTTTCTCATACTAATGAGCTAAAGCAGTATTTAGTTTTGTTAAATGAAAATTATTTTAATTATTCTTCTACAATAATATACACACTTACACAGAGAAACCTCAGTGGGAAGTTTTAAATTGTTTGCTATTAGAATGAAACAAAGCTTGTTTCAACATGATTCAACCATGAATTTTATTAGTTCATTATCAACATACACTCGATTTACCTGAATTAACTTACTGTTTGTTCAAATTAAAGGTTTTATTTTGTCCGTAACTGAAAAGTCATTGGCTTTATTTTTTAGAGGGCATTTCAATTAATAGAGTAAAAATATGTTCAAAGGTGACAAACTGCAAGTACTACCTTTTGCAGTTGAGATTAACTCTGCTTCACCCTTAACTTTTTTTTTTTTTTTTTTTTTAATGAGATGGAGTCTCCCTCTGTCGCCCAGGCTGGAGTGCAGTGGCGTGGTCTCCGCTCACTGCAAGCTCCACCTCCCGGGTTCACGCCATTCTCCTGCCTCAGCCTCCCAAGTAGCTGGGACTACAGGTGCCCACCACCACGCCTGGCTAATTTTTGTTTTTTTTGTATTTTTAGTAGAGACCAGGTTTCACCGTGTTAGCCAGGATGGTCTCGATCTTCTGACCTTGTGATCTGCCCATCTTGGCCTCCCAAAGTGCTGGGATTACAGGCGTGGGCCACTGCGCCCAGCCTCTTAACTTCTTTTATCTTCTGTATTTATTAAAATTGTAAAACGAAGATTGTTTTACCTGTTTTAAATATGTTTTTTCAGGCATTTTTTTCTTTAAAGGGATTTAAACGAGTCCCTAAAACTAGATTTGCAAAATAAAATATATTTAAATAAAAACACCGTAATGATGATCAAGACCCATAGGAGATTAGTCTAAAATGGAGAATTCAAAGAATTTATTATCAGAATGAAAACTGCGGCCTATACAAAGAGATAGAACTTTGGAGGTAGAAAATCTTCATACACATATTGATTACACTTACATTACTGCACAAACACTGGTATCAAAAAGTTATTCAAGCTCATTTATTTAGCACAGAGGTTCTCCCACAATGGGTATTTATCAAATCATTTATAAAGCTTTGCTTGCTTCTTTATTTTTAGCACTTATGCTGGGACAAATTTGAAGATTTTAATTCAAGAGATTGTAAAAGGTCCCGTAAATCTGAAGAATTACAGCCTCCACAGATAATTCAGATTTATTTAGAGTTGAGATTGAAGAAATTTTTATTTATATTTAAAAAGTGATTAAAGCAATTGCACACCTAAACTCTTCTCTCCAAGTTGTATATTCAAGTTAACTGTTATAGAACATAGTTCTTAATAGTGACTCTGGAGGCAAACACATCAGCAATAACAACATGAATACCTGTCACAACTTTGCAAATAACTTTTGGGGAAAATAGTCTTTAAAATCATTTTCTAAAATGAAGTTCATCATGCAAACTGTTTGAGTCTGTGTTGGTCATATATTTTTTCTTTAAAAAAAGAAGTCTTAAATATTTTCCAACTTAAGAAGTCACATCATTGAAGTTCCCAATATGTGGAATTAGTAAAATTTACTCATTAATGAATGAAACATCTATTTAGTTCTGGCCAATATTAATATTAACTAAATCTAAATAATTAGATAATCAGCTAAAATAATTGCTGTCAAACTCAATGTCTATTAACTCTTTTTTCCTTCTGATACGTGAAAAAAGTATTCTAAGTAAGTAGTGGATTCAGATTTTTCTCATATTTTTTAATTAAGAAGGTTAAAAAAATTACACAATAATATAAACTATAACAAACATTCAAATAAAAAATAAGTATATGACAGGGCAGAATCAGAAGTAAAAGTTCTCTAAAATTATTTCTTTTTCTGACAATGTGGCAGACTATATAACCTCAACCACCATCCCACAGGAATAAAAAAAATTAAAACACTTTCAGTTGCCCTCGGGCGGTAGCCAGTTGCTGTAACCAGAAGAGGCCTCAAACACATTAGAAGTGGTACATTATATTTGTGATCCCTACATAGACCAAGCTGATCAAAAGTTTATAAATGCTGTGAAAGAGGTTCCCCCAAAATTCCAACCCACTGACAAATGAGATAAGAAAGTTTGCCTGTGTAGACCTGGGCTCTCATCGAGAAGGAACAAAACATCTCCTGCATCACTCAACAAAACAAGTGTAACATTACCATGACACCCTGAACCAGGTTTCAAGAGCTCTCAGAGAGAATTCACAGAGCAGGAGTCCCTATTCTCATCAATTGTTGTATTGGATTCTAAAATGCTCAGATAATAGATTTATCAGAGTAATAGTATAAACAGGTTTACAATGAAAAGACAATGGAAGAGCTTGATAATATTAGAAACTGCAGAAGACCAAGGAAAACGAAGGCTTGAAAGCAACCAGAAAGAAAAACAAATTATTGACTATCTACAAGGATGCTGGTAGCGGACATTTCAACAACTACAATAGAAGTCAGAAGAAAGGGGGAATTGCCATTGATGAACTAAACAAATTACTATCAACCTTGAATTTTAAACTCCATTAAATGTTATTTGAGAATGAGGAAATATAGGATATTTTTAGAACCAAAGAGTAATTAAATTTCAACAAGTCTCTAATTAAGGGAACTAATAGAAAAAGATATTTTAGAAAAAGAAATCTTTGGCCAGATGTAAGGGTTGAGACTTAAAGACGAATGTGAACAAAGAAATTCAGAAATATGTGGGCAAATCAAAAGAAACATAAAAAAATCACAATTATGACAAATGTTGGAGATAGGGTATAAAAATATTGTGGGTTTAAAATCCTGGAAAAGAGTAAATTATATTGTTTTGTGGGCCATTAGAGTTAAAGTTTTAACATAACGAGGAGGATAGAGACATTGATTCGTTTTCGATAAAAGTCCATATTACAAACTTATAGTAAATGTACTTTTTGTTAGAGTGTGGAAGTTTGAAAGAGACTATCAATTCCACCCCAACATTAAGAACAAGCATAATAAACTACAAAATTATTTCTTTCTATATCATAGAGCTAAGTATGCAGAGAAAGCTAAATTAACTAAATGCTGGTAACTGGTAAGGCATGTTAAAGACAAAGAGGTCACAAAGCTGCTTCCATCCCTGGCAGACTAACAGGGGAGGATGACTCTACTGTGGACATGAGTATATAGAAATGAGAGGGCCAGGCGCGGTGGATCACGCCTGTAATCCCAGCACTTTGGGAGGTCGAGGTGGGTGGATTGCCTGAGCTCAGGAATTTGAGACCAGCCTGGGCAACACAGTGAAACCGCATCTCTACTAAAATACAAAAAATTAGCCAGGCATGGCAGCGTGTGCCTGCAGTCCCAGCTACTCGGGAGGCTGAGGCAGGAGAATTGCTTGAACCTGGGAGGTGGAGGTTGTAGTGAGTAGAGATCGTGCCACTGCACTCCAGCCTGGGTGATAGAGCGAGACTCCATCTCCAAAAAAAAATTAAAAAAGAAAGAAAGAAATGAGCCCATCACAGCTGTTTGTTGGCTTTTTTGACTCATGAACAGCCTGAAGAGCTCCACCTGCAGACCAAGTTAACAGCCCCCTGCCAGAACTCCCTTGTGAGCCTTCACTGAGTACAAGGATGTTGCCTGATACATGCCACGGGCAAGGCAGGGAAACTGAGAGTGATCTTGCGACATGTGGGGTCTTCCTCAGTTGTAAGGCAGTGGCCCACAGAAGGGTGGGAGGAGAGCACAGCTAGAAGGAATCCCTCCAAAGGTACTCTGGGCCTTGACATATGCACTGTGGAGGTCCTCTGGGAGCTGGGGGCAAGACAGCAGGTTTTAGAGAGGTCTGCAGGGAATGGAAACTAGGGCAGGACTGAAGAGAAAACTGAAATCACGGAGGCCCCAAAATACCAAATCAGTGATAAAGCATAGACTTCCCATGGCTTGGAATGGCAATTAATGGGCTGGAAAGCATAAAGTAATCACTGGAAACTTGTAGGTGCTAACACCACATTCCCTACTCAAGATATACCTAAAAACACTATACGTGATCAGTGAATAAAATATAAATAAAACTGCAACAGATCCTAGGCCCAGTTCAAAGATAAGTTGGATTGCTTCAACTCACTGACACCAGCTAGTTGATCAAAAAAGAGACTAGCCCTTTACTGACTGTAAATAGTATTTACTTCAGTCTCCATTGTTCCTTTACAAACAATGCTCAGCATAAAATAAAGGGAGACACTCATAAAACAAAAAGATGTAGCTCCTGTTGAAGAAGAAAAATCATCAGTAGAAGCAGACTCATAGATTGCTCAGATGTTGGAATTATGACAGGAATTTTAAAAAAATGAAAAATGTGTTAATGAATAAAGCAGAAAAGACTGATATTAACAAATTATTTCAGCAGAGAAACAGAGGAAAGAGACCATTCTTGAAAAAAATGTAACATCAAAATAGATTCAAATGTAATAAAAAACTAAATAGAAGACAAATTGTATGTATGGAAAGGTTTATATTGAACATGCTTTATTGGACTGTTGACATTCCTGGAAACTTATTTCTGTGAGGAGGGTTCTTAGCTTCTATGCTTTTATTGCACTGAACTGAGAATGACTGATTTAGAATATAGACAAAGAGAAATGTCTGCATTGTAGGCCAAATAAAATATCAGGAGCCATGCTGTCTAAATAAGCAGGATTTATAATTTGTTATCAGAGCATATTTCTGGGATTGCTGTTGTCATCTGTCTACATTTTCTGGCCTTTATTAAGCTCATATTGTGCTATTACCATAAGTCACAAATGGGATGAATGTAGAAGATCATCATGGAATAAGAAAAAGAATGGTTATGGAGATTCAGAAAACAGCTGAAGCATATGAAGACAGAGTAAGAAATCACCATTTTCCTTGCTCTAGAAGTGAAAGTCAGGAAAACTATATGAACATCCTAGCTCTGTTTTTTAGAAGTTGCATTTGAATACTTCCCTGAATGTTTATGCACCTCATCTTTCCTATGCAAAATAAACTGAGTTTATAAGGTTGGAATAAAATAAGGTTCTTTTGGTTTTAAATTCTATGACCACAGGGATTTAAATAAGAACAATGAAGATCCCAACAACAGACATCAAGATAGTATAAAGTAAGAAAGATAACTTTTTCAAAACTCTTGAGATAGTCACTTGAAAAATTAACAGAGAATGATGGCAAGTTGAAATTATCATGATACTGATATAATTTACAAATGCAAAATTTTTCCATGGCAAACCATCTATCTATTAGCTTGAGTTGCTTCTCTATGGAGGGAATAATATAAAAAGGAAAATAAATGTGTGTATTTTCCTGGGAAGTCTGTGTAAACTAGCTGAGACTCAGCTTTATAATAAAGGAATAATAATGGTAATTTCATGATACTGTTGAGATAAGTGATCTTCTTAATGCTAGATTTTTTTGTTTGTTTGTTTTTTGAGACGGAGTGTTGCTCTGTCCCCCAGGCTGGAGTGCAGTGGTGCAATCTCGGCTCACTGCAAGCGCCGCCTCTCGGGTTAATGCCATTCTCCTGCCTCAGCCTCCGGAGCAGCTGGGACTACAGGCTCCCGCCACCACGCCCGGCTAATTTTTTGTATTTTTAGTAGAGACGGAGTTTCACCGTGTTAGCCAGGATGGTCTCAGTCTCTTGACCTTGTGATCCACCCCCCTCGGCCTCCCAAAGTGCTGGGATTACAGGCGTGAGCCACTGCACCCAGCAGCTTAATGCTAGATTGTTTAGTAAAATGCTTATCATAGTAGGGGCTCGTGAATAAATATTATAATATCCAGAAAATAATCCATTAAATGTAGACTATTATGGAAAACATAGCATGATAGCAGTAGAGCAAATACACTGTTAATATGTTTTTAATATCCACACAGAGATAATTCATTTATTTCACTGTGAAAGAAAAAAAAGGTGGCCGGGCGCAGTGGCTCGCGCCTGTAATCCCAGCACTTTGGGAGGCCGAGGCGGGTGCATCACGAGGTCAGGAGATCAAGACCATCCTGGCTAACACGGTGAAACCCCGTCTCTACTAAAAATACAAAAAAATTAGCCAGGCGTGGTGGCGGGCACCTGTAGTCCCAGCTACTCAGGAGGATGAGGTAGGAGAATAGCGTGAACACATAAGGCAGAGCTTGCAGTGAGCCAAGATTGTGCCACTGCACTCCAGCCTGAGCAACAGAGCAAGACTCTATCTCAAAAAAAAAAAAAAAAAGACAAAGAAAAAAAGGTTTAGAAGATTATTACAGGATATAATTCAGTTGTTAAAATTCAGGATAGAGGGAAGTAAGCTGGGCCTAAGTAACTAAGTATTTGATCTTACACTCAGATTTTAGTGAATCCAGTTTTTGCTTTATTTTTTTCCATTTAATTTTTCTTATCTACTATATATCAGCCTGAAAGATATATATTATATATATAAATATGGAATCATATTTATAGTAAAATAATCTAAAGTCTTTTTTTTTGAGATGGGGTCTCACTCTGTTGCCCAGGCTAGAGTATAGTAGCACGATCGTGGCCCACTGCAACCTCTGCTGCCTAGGTTCAAGTCATTCTCCTGCCTCAGCCACCCAAGTAGCTGAGATTACAGGTGCCTGCCATCGTGCACAGATAATTTTTGTATTTTTAGTAGAGACGGGGTTTCACCATCTTGGCCAGGCTGGTCTTGAACCCCTGACCTTGTGATCCACCCACCTTGGCCTCCCAAAGTGCTGGAATTATAGATGTGAGCCACCGCGCCCGGCCTAAAGTCTTAAAATCTAGTTGTTTTATAAGATATATTCATGGACTGAACTTGAAACCCTTGCTCCCACAACTGTTTTTTAAATCGCATATCCCTTTCAGTCTATAGAAAGAATTTCCTGTATTCTTTCCATATTTTTCTTTTCCTTCTCCTTGCAAATCTGTCTGAGAATGCTTCATTTTCTGCTGTGCCGTACAGTTCCCTCACATGTGTTTGCTTCTGTCTTTCTCCCATAGCAAGAATTCATCTCAAGAAATAATGAAATGAATGGCTTTCATTCATTTACTTTGTGTGAGTGGGGGTGTTCCCCAATAGCTAAGCTACCTCGGTTAAAAAATGAATCACTGGACTAGATGTGACATTTTTTGGCACAGTCTTTCCATTGAATAAACAAAATAATCAGAGCTTATGGTCTAGGCCTGGAAAACACATAGCAATAAACAAAATCCAAAATACTATGAACCATTTCTAACCCAACCCTGTCCCTGCAGTCACATTGGTTGCATTCTATTACCCTTACAATGTGAATATTTAAGCTGTGCAGGTCCAGCGTAGCAGACACATAACATAATTAACAAAATGCGTCTGTGTGGGAGACGAAGAGTCCCTAGTGTTAGCCCCAAATAATCAGCCTTCTGGGGAGAAGGTTACATGGGAAAACCTGTTTACACAACAGGATGCATTCAGTTCGTGAGTATCTCACATTGCCGCATCAGTGGAATAAATCCTTGTTCCAAAGTAACTTCTCATTACAAAAATATCAGAAACATAGTTATCTCGTGTTTTCTTATTTTCCTCATTATTCTTTCAAAAAGAATGGAGAAATCACTACCACCACCACCATACATACACTAGCACACAAGCCATAACTAATGGTTACATTTATAAAATGCAGTGTTTTTGTTTGTTTTGCTAAGAAGATAATGGAATTTGAACCAAAAGTCTCTGGCACAGTTTCAAAACCATGTTGTCCGATAGCCTTCCCTACCAATACCCTGTCCCAGTATGATAACATTCCCAGCACAGTGAATCAGCTGTTCTCAAAGCCATTGTCTCCAACAAATACAACTATTCATTAAAGAATTTCAAGTTAGAAGGCTAAAAAGAAATAAACTATCCAGCCATTGGACAGGGAGGAATCTTAAATGCATATTACTAAGTGAATTTAAAAAGCAATATGACAAGGTTACATACCATATGATTTCCTGTGTATAATATTCTGGAAAAGGCCAACTTCGGGGGCAATAAAAAGATCAGTGGTTGCCAGGGGTGTGTGGGGAAGGAGGGATGAATGGGGAAACACAGGGGGTTTTTAGGCAATGGAGTGATTCTGTATGATATTATCATGGTTGATACATGCCATTGTACCTTTGTCAAAACCCATAGAATGTACAAGATCAAGAGTGAACCCTATTGTAAACTATGGACCTTGGTGGATAACGAGGTCTCAATGTTGATTTATTGATTGCATCAAATGTACCCCAGTGGTGTGGGATATTAATAATGGAAGACGCGGGCCGGGCACTGTGGCTTAGGCCTGTAATCCTACCACTTTGGGAAGCCAAGGCGGGCGGGTCACCTGAGGTCGGGAATTCGAGACCAGCCTGACCAACATGGTGAAACCCGGTCTCTACTAAACATACAAAATTAGCTGGGCGTGGTGGCGCATGCCTGTAATCCCAGCTACTCCGGAGGCTGAGGCAGCAGAATCGCTTGAACCCGGGAGGCGGAGGTTGAGGTGAGCCGAGATCGCGCCATTGCACTCCATCCTGGGCAACAAGAGCAAAACTCCATCTCAAAAATAATAATAATGATAAAATGATAATTAATAATAATAGTAATGGGAGAAGCTATATGTCTGTGGGGGTAGGGGGTTTTGGGAACTCTCTGCAGTTTCTGCTCAATTTAGCTGTAGACCTAAAACTGCTCTTAAAAAAAAACATTTCAAATTCAGGCTCTTCTTCAGATTCAGATCTGGAATTGTAACCTTTCTTTCTGGAAAATTCCACAGCATTAGACAACTCTCCAATCATTTATTCCTCGATGTCTGCTTTAAAAAGCAAAGTCATATTTATGTCTTCCAATGTCTATTGCAAAGAAAAGTAAACACGAAGAAGAATTTTGCTTGAGTCCATGCTTTGCCGCTAATTTATTGAGTGATAAAAGTAAATTCTCTCACTCTTAGTTTCTTATTTGAATAATAGGTATAAATAATGTCTCCCCTCGTCTCTCAACAGATTTTCTTTATTAGATTTAGAAATTATATGGCATATGTCAAAATCATGTACACAGCATACATCTTTAAAATCAATGACAATATTTAGTTCCAGTGGCATGATAGATGTCTCAGTAAGGTAATGAAACCCTTGCTGAAGTGATGCTCTCTGCAACTGCAGCTCTAGCTTCCCCATCGGATGAGTCGGTGGAATGCAGGGGATCACAGAAAGCAGGTAGCACGCTTCCCACACAGGTGCTACTGAGCTACACAGTAGGAAATCCAATGAGACACAGGATGGGCATCCTGACACACAGTCTATGTGATGGAATGCAACTTTGTCTTGATCAAAAATTGTATAAAAAGATTTTCTAATAAACCAATTTGTGAGGAAAAATTTAATCAGGATATATTTACTCTTACAAAGAATTCTCAGTCTTTTCCACGTTCCTGTATTTGTCGTGAAATTTTCCTGTACTAGAACTCTGTGGTGCCATATGTGATAATCCCATTCTAATTTCCAGCATAGAGTATATGAGGACTCTCATGTTTCAAAGGCTAAATGGTCTGAGCTTTAACTCAGTGCCTCATCTTCATTTTACCTCAAGACTAATGAAAGACAGTGAAAAAGAGAATGACAGAAAATTCCCTCATAATTTCTGGCTTCGACTTTCAACTTACAGGACTGAAAATTACTGGCAATCTTTGCTAAACTCAAAAGGTATGTAATCAACCTTTGATTACTTAACAATAGAGGGTGCCAAGAAACTATATATCTCTGTGCATAGTTATTATGAATCTGATCCCTTATCAGAAGGCTCGTTGAGTCAGACATCTGTTTTCTTTCGTATTTAGTCATTCCATGCATGTGGACAGTGGCATTGATATGAGAAATAAACTACCTAATTGACATTTTTGTTTGGTTTTGTTTTCACTGGAAATTTCAGAGAGGAAATTTTTAGGTAAACCATTTGTAAATTTTGGGGTAAAGTTGTTGAAGGCCTTGGGAAGATTTCATAGTGAAAACAAATTATAACAAAGGTTAATATGAGCCATTGATAGTCAGTGCTATCTCCATTGAGCTCAGAAAAATAAAGCAACATAGATCTCAATCAATGCCTCAATAAGCACAAATAGATCATGGCAGTTTAATGACTAACATATTCATTTTCTTTTCTTTTTGGAGAAATATTATAAATGAAAGTAGGAATGTCTTAATACAGTCTGTACCCATTTAAAAATAATCTGCACAGCAGGATGTCTCCTGTCCCCGCTTTTTGATACTGACTTGGATGGCACCTTTGACTGATATATTAAGGGAACATGAAAAATTAAAAGTATCCAAGTGAGGTGAAAATGAGTTCAGGAAATGAATATTACATATGTAAGCACCCTATTGTTATCAGATAAAGAAGTTCCTGAACTCAGCCAAAATATCATAGCACTCAAAATTAGAGTGTGCTTAGTCAAAGTAAACCAAATATAAAGTTTTCGATGCAAAAAATCTATCAAAAGAAAGATTCAAATTTCAAATGGGCACCTAAAGGCATAAAGCACTTTAGAATAACTAAACTGTAAAAAAAAAAATACTTTAAATTTATTTAGACCAGACAGCAAGACCCATAAATGTCTTAGTACGGTCAGCAGGTTTTAAGGTAATAATATCACCAGCCAGTACCCTGTGTAATCACAAAATATATGTAGTTTGATGTCATATGTATGAATATAGCTAACTGCCATCTTCATCCTGAGTCACCATCCAAACGGAAAATTTCATTTTTTTTAAAGGCAGAATTAGGCCAAACTTAATAATAATGGTTAAGTGTTTACTTGACTTTAGTTTATGGGCTTGGGTGGTATTTCCAAGGGGTATCTAAGGTGGCCATATTTAATTATCATTAAAAACATGCAGGCCTGGTGCAATGGCTCATGCTTGTAATCCTAGGACTTTGGGAGGCCAAGGCGGGTGGATCATGAGGTCAGGAGTTCAAGACCAGCCTGACCAATATGGTGAAACCCCGTCTCTACTGAAAATACAAAAATTAGCCAGACACAGTGGCAGGTGCCTATAATCTCAGCTACTCGGGAGGCTGAGGCAAGAGAATCACTTGAACCTGGGCGGCAGGGGTTGTTGCGGTGAGCTGAGATCATGCCACTGCACTACAGCCTGGGTGACAGATTGAGACTCTGTCTCAAAAAAAAAAACAAACAAAACAAAAAAACACAAGCAACATGTAATAATACATTATCAAGACGTACAAATATGTAAATAATGGTTTTAGACCCATCAGACACAGTTTTCTTACCATTACTAAACTCTGTAGCAAAATAGCACTGATATATATAATCATAGCACTACCCCACTTAAAAATATAATGGCATACCTAGAACAATTCTCAAACTTTTTGATCTCAGGAATCTTCTATACCCCTAAGAATTATTGAGAACTTCAAAGAACTTTTGTTAATGTGGGTTATATTTTTCTTCATTTACTCTATGAGAAAGTAAAACATACATTTTTTAAACAAAAATATACAAATACACACTTCATTTCCCATACAAATAATTATGTTATTGCATGTAATGTAGCCTCTGAAAAATTGCATTGTGCACTCATGAGAGAATGAGAGTAAAGCATTAAAATTATGACTTAGCATTATTATAAAATTAGTTTTGGCCACATGCATGTCCAGAAAAGATCCCAAGAAGCCCCAGGGATTCACCGACAACACTTGGAGAACTATTGGCTTAGAAGACACCAGTTTTTTACTGTCATGCAATTGAAAGCCTATTAAATCCTTCATATTCAGCCCTGTTTCTGCCCATTATCTTTCTGTATCTCCTAAACTTTGTGTTCTTTAGCAATAGCCATTTATCGATCCTTGAACACAAATGTTTAATGCTTTTCTATGCACCTGGCATTGCTCCAGGCAAGAAGTAAATGTATAATCCTTGCCTTCAGGATCTGGGAGTATACTCAGCAAAACAGAAACATAATTTAATAATTGTATATTTTTATAGATTCTGTAATAGAGATGTGTACACAGCGCTGGAGAAGTGGAGAAGAGGAAGTCTTGCCAGATACTGGCATATTTTGACTCACCTGTGCTTGTTCTTCCATCTGTCTTTCTCTTCCTGCGTTCCCAAATTGTAAACTCTTATAATCCTTCAAGTCCATGGTCAGATATTAATTTCCATTTAAGTTTTATCCTGTTCATGCAATCACTTTTAACTCTATGGTTTTTCAAGTATAGCACAACATTGGGTGTTACATGACATTTTCCAGCTTTATTGAGGTAAACTGACAATAAAAATTGTATGTATATAAGGTATATCACGTGATATTTTAGACACACATACATTGTGAAATAATTTCCACAATCAAGCTAATTAACATATTCATATACTGTACTTGAAATCTATTCTCTTAGCAAATTTCAAGTAAATGAATGAAGGAAGGAATCTTCGGTCAAAATGGGTAGGACACATTGTCAATAGCAACATGATTTTACTGAAAAATAAATTGTAGGCTGGGCGCGGTGGCTCACACCTGTAATTCTAGCACTTTGGGAGGCCGAGGCGGGCGGATCACCTGAAGTCAGGAGATCGAGCCCAGCCTGGCCAACATGGTGAAACCCTGTCTCTACTAAAAATACAAAAAAAATAGCCAGGAGTGGCGGCACGTGCCTGTAATCCCAGCTATCCGGGAGGCTGAAGCAGGAGAATTGCTGGAACCTGGGAGGCAGAGGCTGCAGTGAGCCTGGGCGACAGGGCAAGACTCTGTCTCAAAAAAAAAAAAAAAAGAAAGAAAGAAAAAGAAAAAAGAAAATAAATTGCAGTTGCAGGTCAACTGATAGGAAGCCACTCTGACTGTGGTTGTGGAGTGAGTTGAACCCTCATCTTTGGACTGTGCAAGTGTCCTGGGTCTTTGAAACATTTAGGGTATGGAACAATTCCATGTAGAGAGTGTGGGTTTGCAGCAATTTTTGAGATGTGGGCTTAACCAGTATTCATTTAACTGGAGTAAAGTAGATGACTACATTTTATCTCTGTTTTGTGTTGTAGGTTTTACTGGTTATATCTCTACCACAATACTTGTGGTTGGTATATGATACCTACATGGCTGCATTGTAAACTAGCAAGAAAAATCTGATATTGGTTTAAAGAAACCAAATCAAGTTTTAAGGAAGAAATTTTACACATATTGCAGTTAGTGTGACAGGTTGCTGAGGACAAGGAGTCTTCTTTTCTGTAAGTATTCCAGAATAAAATATGGTCCAACCTGAATACTGAAAACTAATGTAGAGTTCTAAAAACATCCCCTTTGCCTTTATCCTCTGCTGCCTGCATAATTTTGCAGAAAGATAGATCATATCAAATGGGAGGGAAAAAGAGAGAGATTTACAATCTCGCCTTGACAGTGCTTTAATTCATAAGCATCTTCTTGTAAAGTATATTGGACCTTTTTTATAGAAAAACACTGAAAGATAAAGAAGAATCAAATCCATATTAAATTTAGAAAAGGAAAATGTGTTGGTAGAAAGGCAATCTACAAAACCATTGGATGCATTACGCTGTCAATACATCAACAAAAAGGAAACTCAGCCTTTTAAAAATGTTGTAATGGTCTTGAAAACCTTCCTATGTAAACAAACGAAATGTCTGCCTTTTAGGGTTGACTCATCGAGTTGCTTACTCAGGAAAATAATGATTTAAAAATGATTTTGGACTACATTGACTTTTGAAAAGCAGTGGGGGTTGGATACGAAGACAGAGTAAATTAACCAGAATCACTTAATATGAGGATGGGTAGAGTACTGATTTGGAGCAGTGGAATTTGTGAATAATTTGTCCTTACTTTATTTCACTGCTTTGATTTTTCTTAGTATATACCTTCTCTTAGGTTATATCATGGTTTGTTATAAATTAGGATTTGTATGCATTCACTAGGGCTTTACCATGTGCAGTTGTTTATGGGTTCATTATCTCATTTAATCCTCACTACAATCCTTAAAGCACACACCATTATCCCCAGCATGTATGAGGCAGATGAGCTCCACAGAGGTTAAGTGTCTTACCAAGGTCACACAGGTTTAATTAGAAGAGATAAAATTTAAGTTCATCTCTCATAACCTTTTGTTGAATGTTAATTAAAAGTTAAATCTAGACTATCATATTTCAAAAGCCTTGTTATTTTATTACTATTATCATAGTTTGGTAAATGTACTTAAAGGGTTCATATTATTTGTCTTATTTAATATAAAGTTACATTTCTTGTGTAGTAATACAATTATTTTGGCATCTTATAGTGAACTCTAATTAGATATGATTAATCATATGAATTATTCCTCAAGGTAAAATCTGTGAACTTGACCACATTTGTCTTCTATTAGAGATTTCTCTCCTCTGTCGGTTAGTGATTTCTGAGTTGACCAGGCAAGACTCTACCTTAAGGCTTACCAGAGTCTAAAGGTATTACCCTCTTTTTATTCCAATGCAGAAACTATGCTGCACTGGTAATAATTTAGGAAATTATCAAATGGTGCCAAGATGATTTAAGAAGTTTTCTCCTGGTCTCTGTTCAGAGCCTGACTCCATCCATTGTGTATGCACTGTCAAATAAAGATAGGCAAAAGCCTAAAGTTCAGATAATATTTTGCTGATAGATATTTCACTTCTGCATGCTCTGGGGGAAGTCTTCTGTTGCTCCATATCTGCTCTCTTATTACTAGCAAAAACAACTGTGAATATTCAGTTCAATCCATTTAATATCAAAACCGTGCATTAATTTTCTTTTCTTTTCTTTTTCTTTCTTTTTTGAGACGGAGTCTTCGCTTTGTCACCAGTCTGGAGTGCAGTGGCATGATCCCGGCTCACCGCAACCTCTGCCTCCCGGGTTCAAGTGATTCTCCTGCCTCAGCCTCCTGAGCAGCTGGGACGACAGGTGCGCACCACCATGCACATCTAATTTTTGTATTTTTAGTAGAGAAGGGATTTCGTCATGTTGGCCAAGATCTCTTGCCTTGTGACCCGCCAGCCTTGGTCTCCCAAAGTGCTGGGATTACAGGCATGAGCCACCACACCTGGCCACTTTATTTTCATATTAAAATTATATTCACATGCCTATTATTAAAAAGTCAAAAAATAACATGTAGTTGAGGGTATGGAGAAAAGGGAACACTTAGACACTGTTGGAGGGAATGTAAATTAGTTTCACCCCTAAGGAAAACACTATGGAGATTTCTCAAAGAACTGAAAATAGAACTACCATTTGACCCAGCAATCCTATTACTGGATATCTACCCAAAGGGAAATAAATCATTTTATCAAAAGACACCTGCACTTGTATATTTAGTATAGCACTATTCATAATTGCAAAGTTATAGGTTCAACCTAAATACCCATCAATGGTAGACTGGTGAAAAAGAAAATGTAATACACATATACCATGGAATACTACTCAGCCATGAATAAGAATAAGATCACGTCCTTTGCAGTAACATGGATGGGGCTGCAGTGAAATATCCTAAGTGAAATAGAAGCAGAAAATTAAATACCACGTGTTCTCATTAATAAGGGGCAGCTAAACAATGGGTATGCATGGACATAAAGGTGGAAATAACAGATACTTGGGACTTTGAAAGGGAGAAGGGTGGGAGGGGAGAGGATTGAAAAACTAGCTATTGGATACAATGGTCACTCTTTGGGAGATGGCTTCAGTAGAAACCCAAACCTCAGTATTACACAATATCGCCCTGGAACAAACCTGTGCGTGAAACCCAAATCTAAAAATAAAAAATAAACAAGGACACATTAAAGACTTGAAATAAAACAAATCAAAACTAGACAGCTTCTCTTTCAATCAGTCTTATTTTGCCCTGAGTTTTTTGTCTTTGGTTTATTGGGCCGGAGAACAAATAATCTAGCTGTACAACCAAAATGAATCACGGAGCCAAAACACAGTTACCCTGAAGCCTTCATGGTGCTCAGCATCTCTGCAGGGTTCCAGTACGGGTCCTGCTTGGCCACGGCTGATCCCCTTCCTAGGCCAGGACAGCCACTGAAGTGACGCACTGCAATGAGGGGATATGGATGATAAGTGCCATCTTTAATTAATGAGAAACCTCACATTTCCTTCTTAGAGGGCTATCATTTGGGACGCAGAGGGAGAAGACAGGACCGTCTCTGGCAAAAGCACACTGCCTTGTTGATTGTGCATTGTAGCAGTAATGTACAAATGCCAAAGGTAGGAGATGTGGGCACATGGCGAGCTCTAACTGGGACAATCGGCCTCTCCTGGAGTCTCACAAATACAGTGAGATACTAGAATGTGTGGTTAATATAAAATCAAATTCTGTGTTGAAAATGTAGTTTCCTTCTTCTTAAAAACATTATGTTTCTGGATTTGATTTCTTCCTAAAACCACAAAAATGAAGTGCCTGCCTTCGGCAAGATTGCCTTACCTTAACGGAAGGAGAGAAGTGAAGCTAGGTGACATTCGCTGAAAGGTTCAATGATCTAGGGCCCTTCTGCTGTGATTGTGTCTGTCAGATCCCAGCACCTCAAGAGCACAGTTCACTTTCTTTTGTATAAGAAACGGGCACTGATAACCACAGCAAAAAACCTGTAGTGTTTAAAATCTGTAAGTAGGTGAGAAACATTGAAGGTGAAGCAGCATCAGACTTGTTGTCATGGTTCGCTTTGTGTTGCTGTGAGGAGCCTAACAATACTGTAGAACTTCTAGATTCCTGAGTGACTAAGGTCGCCTCTTTTCATTAAGAGAATAGCCCAAATCAGACTTTGTTTTGTGGTTTCCATGATGGAAAATGAGAAAAATGAAACAAGCTTTGAATTAGTTGGAAAAATAATCTTCTCCCTTTAAAATGTTTACTTTATTCACATAATTAGAAATGAAAATGGGAATTAGGTTATCCAGTGAAGAGGAACCCATAGCTTCTATCTGTCATGGAATAATTCCTAGTTAATATCAAATAATGGATTTAAAATAACAGAAACGTTTGACAGAATGACATTCAATGACAGCAAATTATAATGATGAGAGATATGTGGAAATTTTAAAGATGTACAGGATAGAGTAAGTTAAAATGCAAGGTAAATGGAATGAGAACACTGTGATTGTAACAATTACAAAACAGTGCGTGCATACGTTAATATCACAAATTGAAATTATTAAATTGGGAAACATTTATATTTTATTTTTAATATTAACTCTTAATATTCAGCTCAGTCTATTTAATACCAAAACCATGCATTAATTACTTTTAAATGTTAAATACTTTAATCATATTTCATTTTTATCAATGCTGATGAATGTTCAGAGAATGTTGACGTGATTAGTTAATGAATTTTCATTCATATAGTACTTCAGATGCTTGAAATGAAGGAAGCTACAGAAAATGTAGATGAGTTTTGTACCCCAGAATAGAAATTAGATTTGTGGTTCCGCCATTAGTCTCTGCAAAAGTTGGTTCTTCATTTCACAAAACATCAATTTAGCCATTTCCCATACACAGAATACGCTCACCTCTTCTTCAAATGAGACAACACAAAGGTTAATCTTGTCACTGCATCTGGTTCAAAATCAGGCTTTTCAGAGATGCACTGTTCTCTCCACCAGAATAAGGGATTGAATACCAACCAAAATGGAGACAACTTTCTCTGCAGGAAATCAAATCATTCTATATTTCCTAGCACTCCTGAAAGGGAGCCAAGGCATGATTCTTCTAGCTTAGAAGTCCATTTCCATATCCAAATTTCAAAGCATAATGATACAGTTTATGAAATCAGAATTACCTTGACTTTGGTTACATTTTATTTTGGGGTTGAAATCATTTTTTAAAAGTCAATTAGGTGTGTAAAATATTTTTGAAATCAGTTAAGTGGGGTAAATTAGCAAATCTTTAAAATGGAGAGAATATAAGTTTTACAAGTGGTAAAAGTGCATATTGGGTTTTGCTAAAAGCAACAAAATACAACGAGACCTAATGAAAGTAAAAGCCCAAACATGTATTTCTCAACCCTAATGTTAGAAAGAAACAGAAAAGAAACCTCTGCAGCTTGGCAAACAAATGCTCCTTAAAGAGACTTGAGTCAAGACTCCTATAAATGCCCTGCTTCTCCTCATAAAACCACTGTGAGCCACAATATTAGAATAAACAACTGTGCCCATTCCCTCTGAATTTTGGGAATTCGTCAAGTGTAAAGATGGAACAAGCCATTTCGTTTATTTTTTCCTAGACAAGCATGTGTGCATTTTCTTCTTGGCCTCACATGCTTTTTGGAATTTTCAAAACCTGAGTTTTAGGAACATAAAATCTAAAACAGATTTTCATTTTCATTATTTAAACACTGAGCCATTTAGACAACAGAGCCATTCACTACTCTTAGCCTGGGTTATGGTTTTGAAAAACTTCTTTGTCTCTGTTAAGGCTCAGGAAATGTACCTTCTTTTTGAATTTATAGACACTCAAGTATTCTAATTGTTTTGGAATGACCTAAAACATTTTTTTCAAAGTCTCAGTATTCTGTTTCTTGGTTAGGTTTTCTGTTATTTGTAGACATTACCTAGTTTTCGTTCATCAAATTATTTAATTCTGCTTGGACCTTTTAAATACAGAAAGTTTCTAATCCCTTGCATCTGAAATGCATGATTTAGTCAGATAATATTTGCATTTTTACTATTGTAATAATGGCAATGAGAAACTCTGTTGAAATACATTAAGTGTATCACATATTTTCACTCATATGTGGGAGATTAAAAAAATGAACTTAAGGAGATAGAGAGTAGCATGATGGTTATCAGAGGCTGGGAAGAGAACTGGGGAGGGCGATGAAAGGAGGTTGGTTAAGGGGCACAAAAACACAGTAGACAGAAGGAAGAAAACCTAGTGTTTGGTAGCACAATAGGGCAGCTATAGGTAACAAAAATGTGTGGTGTATTTGAAAATAACTAAAAGAGTGGAATTGTAATGTCCCTACCACAAAGAAATGAAAAATGCTTGAGGTGATGGATATCCCAATTACCCTGCCACCATCATTACACATTGTATGCTGGTATGAAAATTTCACGTGTACCCCACAAAAATGTACACCTATTTTATATCCATAATAATTACAAATTTTTAAAATGTAAATAAATAAAATCCAGGTTCTTCCCAGTAAAAATATAGGTTAAAAATATTAAAGTAAATTGTGTTCATCACAAAAGAAGACAACATTAATTGGTTTGTATAAAAGTAAAAATGGAAGTCTCTCACCTTCTTCCTCATTGGCCCTTCATTGCCTCCACTCTTAATCCCTGGCTTTCCACAGACTCACGGTCAGCACTATCATCAGGTTTACATCTATGCTTTAAGAACATTTTAAAACTTAGATTATACAAAACCTGCTATATACTCCTTATAACTTGATTCATTCACTTTAATATTTATCAGGATAGCCTGTCTTAGCTGTATACACAGGCCATGAAGTTTCAGTGGCTTAGCGCCACATGTGTATTTCTCCACTCTCTCACCATTTGATGGGATTTAGCAAGGGTTCCTCCATATTTCTGTGATGGCTTCTGGAACATGTAGACTCTGAAGCCAGTGCAGAAGGGCATAAGAAACACCTAAGAGGTACACTGGCTCTTACCCACCCCTCTGCTCCCAAGGGACACAGGTCACTTCCAATGACACTTTACTGACTGGAACTCATTCTATCACTGAGGGCTTCCTACAAAGGAGGCAGAAACAACGAGGCAACCAGCTGGATACTTGGTGAGCATTCAGGAAGTCTGCCACTTGCACTGAACATGTTCTAGGTGGTTCCCTGTGTTAGCATACCTGGGCATACCAATAAAGATTTTTAATCAAATAAATTTTGTATCATATAAATGACATTTAAGCATTCTTTTTTGTCTATAACATCATAAAACATGACTCATGAGAGCATATGTTTACTACATAAAATGAAATATCTAAACAACTATCCAGATCATCTCAGCTCTCTAAAGATTACCACAAGAGAAGATCGTAGGGATTCAATACTCAATTCACATTAATGTAATTTAGGCATTACATTAATTAGTTTCATCTCAACAGCTGAAAGATATGCTTTTCCTAAAACTGCCGTGATTCCATAGAAATCTGGCACAGCACTGATTGAGAAGTAGATTTGAAGTGGTGTTTTCATCAGTGGCACCACACTGCTCCTGGGCGAAGTGTCAAAAAAGATGCCTACAGTAAGCACAGGTTATAGTTCTAGCAATCACTGTGAAGATATTTTGAGAAATGGGATGACCTTGGAATTGTTTTTGTATTCCCTTCTAAAAGCTCCCTCTGAAATTAACTGTTTGGTTCTGCTTAGTGTGGCTGACATTGGTCATTGCATATATTGGAATATTATTTTAGATTTCAGAAAATATCTAATACCACCATTGCCTGATCTAAGAAAGGGCCATTGTTTTCCTTTATATGATTATCAAATTCTTTGGCCCCCAGAGTGTTTAAATGAACTAGGAAAATACCTAGAATATGTATTTCTTGAATAAATAAAAAAAGGAAAATCACTTACATGTTATGATTTGAGCGTTAGTTCGCCTAACTATATCTCACTCAGAGGTCTTTGTAATACTTGTGATTCTCATAACTGAATGCTTTGAGTTAATGGAAAGTGGCACATACAGATGCTATCTCTTTGAAATAATGCACTGAAACTTCTCAGCCATTAACACATTAGTTTGAATTAGACAATCTATTTTTAGAATGCAGGAAGAATATGACTTAAGACCAGTTTGAATTAATAGGCAAAGTCCAAAACTTACAGTACTACAGAAAGAAATAAAGGTTAACAGAATTTTTGGCAAAACTAGCAAATTAGTGGGTTATATAATATGGATAAAGTGGCACAGATGGGAGCTGGAGAAACGTTGAGGAAAAATATGCTATTATATAATTTTATACAGTATTCTCATATTACATTTAATGTGATGTTTCCACTAGAGGTCTAAATGTGGGAATCTAACGAACTATATTTATCCAGGCAGAATGAGGCAGAATGACACTGGACAATCACTGTGGGAGGAGGAAGATGAGTTTAAAGTAAAGATCAAATTCTCCAGGTAGGAAAAAGAAAGCTGTATTCTAATTTTCTTTCTTAATTTAAATAATCAATGAATCAGTGCATTTTGTAATTGGTTTCTAAAGACTGGCAACAGAATTATCACAGAATGCTTCCAGCCATAACTTTCCATGGAAAAATAAAACTATTTTAGCAGAGACTGCCACTCCATACAAATCTAGATCTCCATATGGGTGATTCATGGCTAAAACTCATAAGCAAAGAGGGAAAAGCAGAGCCACTAGGCAGATGGAGTTGTAATAATTCTGTTGCTGGCCGGGTGCAGTGGCTCACACCTGTAATCCCAGTACTTTGGGAGGCCGAGGTGGGTGGATCACCTGAGTTCAGGAGTTCAAGACCAGCCTGATCAACATGGAGAAACCCCGTCTACTAAAAATACAAAAAAAATTAGCCGGGCGTGGTGGCACATGCCTGTAACCCCAGCTACTCAGGAGGCTGAGGCAGGAGAATTGCTTGAACCCGGGAGGCGGAGGTTGCACTGAGCTGAGATCACGCCATTGCATTCCAGCCTGGGCAACAAGAACGAAACTCCGTCTCAGAAAAAAAAAAAAATTCCATTGCTGAAGCTATGCATTGTACAAGGCAGAGAGTCGAGTGATACCTGCTGGCTTTGGCCCTCAAGTGAAAAACAAGCCAGAGACTTAATTTGGAAATGGAATAATTGTTGTGGGTTGTTAGTGTCGGACACAGATACCCTTTTGTGCCTGCCATACCTGCTGCTGGGAGTGTTGCTTGCTCCCAATGCACAGCAGCCTTTTCCCTAGATAATTGTCTTTTCTCCCCTTCCAAGTCCAATGACTGCTGAGCCAATGGCTGGCCCTGACTCCAACTTGTGCTGTGAAGCTTTCCCCGTGGGAAGAGGATGACATTTGTTTCCCCTCGAATCCACATCTTTATCTCTCCTGCCCTAATATGTTTCCCTTATAGTCTGTCCTGAAATGAATCACATGCTCAAGAACACATCTCCAACTCTGCTTCTGAGAAAACAGACCTGAGACAATGATCTTCACTGGTTATGTCTGCTTCCAAAATGTGGTTTCTATTGCTCTTACAGAAAGAACTAGTCATTATTGAGTACCAAATAAATGTCAGGTTTATTGTATATGTTATCTGTTTTATCCTCCAAGCAATTCTATTGGGTGGGTATTGCTACCTCATTCTACGAAGAGAATTCTTACTAAAGAAAGCTTAAAAGCCAGGTGCGGTGGCTCACGCCTGTAATCCCAGCACTTTGGGAGACCCAGGTGGGCGGATCATGAGGTCAGGAGATCGAGACCATCCTGGCTAACACGGTGAAACCCTGTCTCTACTAAAAATACAAAAAATTAGCTGGGCGTGGTGGCGGGCGCCTGTAGTCCCAGCTACTCGGGAGGCTGAGGCAGGAGAATGGCGTGAACCCAGGAAGTGGAGCTTGCAGTGAGCTGAGGTTGTGCCACTGCACTCCAGCCTGGGCGACAGAGCGAGACTCTGTCTCAAAAAGAAAAAATTAAATTAAATTCAAAAAAATAACATAAAAAAATAGAAAGCTTAAATAAATTTAACCAAGAAGCACATTTAGAAAGAAGATGGATCTGTCATTAGCCCCAGGTCTATCTCAGTTAAATGTTTATAAACATCAGAACTCCCAAAGAATGGGACTAACCATGATTTCCATGTGCTGTGCTATGCTATATTCTTACTTTATACAGAAGCTGGCATGAATAAGCAGGTCGATCAAGGAAATATTTTTCATCGATGTGGTTCCAACTGTATGCCATCAATAGAATAAATGATAATGATAATTAATGATTATGCACAGCAGTGGTTTTCAAACTTGAGTGTGGTATTTATTTTGTATTGCTGCCGTAATAGGCACCACAAACTTAACCGATTAACATACACATAAATGATTCATTACCTCATAGTTTCTGAGGGTGAGAAGTCTGGGTAGAGTGTGGCTCAGCTGGTTCCTCCGTTTCCAGTCTCACGAGCCTGAAATCAAGGTGTTGCCAGGGCTTCCTTCTTTTTGGAGGCTCTGGGGAAGAATCCACCTCTCAGCTCATCCAAATTGTTGGTGGAATTCAGTTCTGTGTTGTAGGAGTGAGGTCCCCATTTCCTTGCTGGCTGTCACCTGGGGACCTAGCCTTAACTATTCCAGGCCTCTCTCTAGTTCTTGCATGTGGCCCACTGCATCTTAGAACCAGTGAAGGAGTGCTTTGTATACTCTCCCACTTGGACTCTCTCTGCCTTCTCCTTTTGCAAGCCCCCTGCTTCCTCTTCTATTGCATCTCTCTGACTCCAGCCAGGGAAAGTTCTCCACCTTTAAGGGCTTCTGGGATTAGATTGGGCCCATCCAGATAATCCAGGTCCATACCCTTTAGTCACATATGCAAAGTCCCTTCCTTCATGTAATGTAACACAATTGCAGTTTCTAGAGATTCCAGTGTGAACGTTTATTTGGGTGGAAGGAAAATCAGTAAAGTCATCTGGATGCCTTGTTGGAACAGATTACTGAGCCCCACAATCAAGGTTTCTGGTTTAAAATTTCTTACAATGGGACCTAAGAATTTGAATTTGAACAAGTTTCCAGGTGCTACTGCTGCTGCTCTATAAACCACATTTTGAGAACCACTGAGGTAGAATTTCTCAAACTTATTATGTGAAAATTATTAGTGTGACAACCAGGGTAGATGATTTTATATTTTATAATATACATTGAGAAACACAGGGTAATTTTTCTTGCTGTTGTCATTGATCTTTTAACCTTGAGAATTGAGTTTTCAAATTAAATATTTGTGTGTCATATAACAGCTATTCTCTATTTAGTTTTTTTATGTGCATTTAAGGGAAAGCTGAATAATATGAGTTTTCAACAGAACTGCTTCAAATGCATATCTATTATGGGCTATGAAATTCTAATAGGGTGAGTTGAATTTTAGAAATTTCTGATGATCACAATGGAATAAAAAATGTCAGAATCAATCCATGGTTTTCTATTGTTCTTTGAGACACATTCTGGATCAGGGACCACCTAGAGGGCATTACTTTTAAAGTGAGGAAGCTGCCTTCCACAAGGTGGACCACAATAGCTCCACAGGAGGTGCTATCATCGGCCATGCCAATGATCCATACAATACAATTCTGTGGCGTATTGTGTCAGTGAGCCAAGGTGAGTGGATTATTCATATGTCTAAAGCCTTTGAAATCATATGTATTATCTTCTCACTTTTAAATCAAGGAGGAAGAGAAATTAATCATCAAAATGTGCATTATTATAAATTAAACTTCTCTAAAAATAAGTTTCATCATCAGAATTACTAACGTATTTGAAGAAGTAAAATATTGCCTGGTTAATTTATTTGAGAGATGATAGGTATAAGCAAAGTATGCTATGAGCATTCTTAGGTTTCTGAGTTTCATATCAAGGAGAGAGATTACAACATACTTTTATCTAATAGTCCCTCAGGGAATCGTGAAAAACTGCAGACACTGAGTTAGCTAGGTCACTGGTCTAACCCTCCTGGTATTCTCCAGCAACTTGAGAAATTGTTTTGTGAGTAGTACAGATATTGGTAGTCACCTTTATTTATAATTATGTGCCTCTAAATAATTTTAAAACTATGTTTGCATACATGATCCCTTGTAACATAGCAATCTTGTAAGAAGGCAGAGAATTTCACTCCCAAAGGAATTCTCACTTTGCTGAAATTCCAGAATTTGCTAATCTAAATGCTGTAAAACTAACCACCACTACTCCATGCAAAAATGAAGGACTTTGAGCCATTGTGGCCCTCAACACCTTCCATCCCTAGTAGAAATTCAATATCACCAAGGCAGTGAAGTACCACCCACACCAAGCTCAGACCTTCCTCCTTCAGAATATAGGAGGGCTTTTCTGACTCACCTCAGTTCCCATGATGGTTCTTTCCAGCATGGTAAATGATGCTCATAGAGTCAGTACGATGAGCCACAAGACCCAGCACCTTCTCCTGCTCCTTGTGCCTGCTGTCTCTTGGTCATTCATTTGAACACGCATTTTCTCATCAATAACAAGTTTGCTAACACTGATATTACATAATATAGTTAATGATGTTCATGTCAACATGGGTGGGCTTAAGGAGACATACAATTAATTCACTCCATCACCTGTTATGTGCCCAATGTCAAGATGATCTCCAGGGATAAGAGAAGGAAAAAATGGAATGGATGATTTCAAGGATCACATGGTCTAGCATGAAAAGTAAACATTGTTTATGAGATTATAACAATAATGGAAATGCATATTAAGGACAATGAAAGCATCTGAGGATGAGAATGTGTATTTGTTCTGCATGGGCTGGAATGAGGGTGGAAATTCAGAGAAAATGAAAGTGCATTCAGCCAGGCACGGTGGCTCACGCCTGTAATCCCAGCACTTTGGGAGGCAGGTGGATCACGAGGTCAGGAGATCGAGACCATCCTGGCTAACACGGTGAAACCCCGTCTGTACTAAAAATACAAAAAATTAGCCAGGTGTGGTGGTGGGTGCCTGTAGTCCCAGCTACTCGGGAGGCTTAGGCATGAGAATGGTGTGAACCCAGGAAGCGGAGCTTGCAGTGAGCAGAGATCAAGCCACTGCCCTCAAGTCCGGGCAACAGAGCGAGACTCTGACTGAAAAAAAAAAAAAAAAAAAAGAAAGTGAATATTCAATACAAATGTAAGGCATTTCACCACTGTCTTGTGCTATGGTTATTTTATAACCCTCATAATATAAATAATCTTATCAGTGTCTTGCGCTTATAACATATGAGTAGTATTGATTTCTGAAATGTATTTTAAATATCTTTTCAAAATCCAGTGTAGCATTTATGAGAATGCTTTGAAAATTTTCAAGTGCAATACAACCATAAGGTACATATATGTATACATACCAAAAATTTCCCCCAAATGTCAATTTTTAAAATATAACTAATATTTATTTCTTTAGCATCAAGTCTGGGACCAACATTGTCCCAAGTATTATTTCCCTTTCACAGATAAGAAAACTGAGTTTAGATATCCCAAGGAATTTGGTTAAGGTCATACCACTAAGCAGTTTTAGAGTTAATTTTGTTTTACAAAAGCAGTAATGGCCAGGCCCGGTGGCTCACGCCTGTAATCCCAGCACTTTGGGAGGCCGAGGCGGGCGGATCACGAGGTCAGGAAATCGAGACCATCCTGGCTAACACGGTGAAACCCCGTTTCTACTAAAAATACAAAAAAAATTAGCCAGGCATAGTGGCAGGCTCATGTAGTCCCAGCTACTCGGGAGGCTGAGGCAGGAGAATGGCGTGAACCCGTGAACCCGTCAGGTGGAGCTTGCAGGGAGCCAAGATGGCGCCGTTGCACTCCAGCCTGGGTGACAGAGCAAGACTCCGTCTCAAAAAAAAAACAAAAAAACAAAAAAAAACAAAAACCCAGTGATTACTACAGCTATAAAGTAAATATCGAAATCAGAAAGGGTAAGTCCTCTAATTTTGTTCTTTTTCAAGATTATTTTGACAAGTCAAGGTCTTTTGCATTTCCCTATATATTTTTAGAACCAGTTTGGCAATTCCTCCAAAAAATAAGACTACTGGGATAATGATTGAAAAAGCATTGAATTAGCAGATCAGCTTGAGAATAATGGACATATTAACAATATTGTATCCTCCAATCAGTAAACATGATATATTTCAGCATTTATTATTTCGTTTTTTTCTATAGGCAACATTTTGTAGTTTTCAGTGTAGATGACTTGCCTACTTTCTGTTTAATACAGTGCACACTTAAGTATTTTGAAATTTTAGGTAAGTTTTAACTGTTTTATAAATACAATTTTTTTTTTATTATACTTTTAAGTTTTAGGGTACATGTGCACATTTTAAGTTTCTTTTTTCTAATTGTGTGCTGCTAATATTTACATATACAATTTTTATATTAACATTTATATTACCAGTTCTTTGTAGATTTCTTGGTTTGTGGGTAAATAATCTTTTCATTAAATAGAGTAATCGTATAATTGTACTTACCTCTTTTTCAACTTTGTTATGCGTTTCTTTTTCTTTCTTTTTTTTTTGCTTGTCTTGCCATATTGAAATGGCTAGTATCTTGGGTATAATGTTTGAGAGCCAGTGGTTAAAGTAAACATTTTTGCCTTGTTCCCAAATGTGGGAAGAAACTGTTCAATATTAAACCTTTAACTGTAATGTTTTTTTTTCATAAATTCAACTTAACAGATTGAGGATATTTGCTTGGATTCCTTGTTCGCTGAGGATTTTTTCATAAATGAGTGTTAAAGTTTGTCAAGTGTATGTTCCATGTCTATTGGAAAAATACATAAATGTTCTTTTTACCTTGTTATTATGGTAAATTATGTTGATCATTATTCAAATGGTAGAGTAAATTTGAATTCCCAGGGTAACCTTACTTGGGCATGATATAATATCTTTTACATATACTACTGGATTTATGAATATTTTATTAAGGAATTTTACAGTATTTTTCATAATGAATATTAGGCTTCAATGTTATTAATTTATTGTTAAGTCTTTGTCATTCCAGCCCCAAAAAATAAGAGTGCTTTCCTGGTATTGCATTTTCAAAAAAAATTCAATATAATATTGGCTTTAATTCTTCACTAAGTATATTATATAACTGACCTCTGAAACAACCTGGGCCTGGACTTTTCTTTTTCAGAAGGAATTTGACAACAAAATCAATATTCTTGCTAGATATGGAGTTTTCAGATTTTCTGTTTCATCTTTATTAGTTTTGCTAAGTTATATTTTTCAAAGAGTGTTTCTGTTTCTTCTAAGCTGTCCAATTTGTTGGCATCAAGTTGCCTGTAATAGTGTCTTACTTATTTTATTTTCAATGTCTCTATGATCTGTACTGATAACTCCTCTTCTATTCATGACATTGGTTATTTCTTTCTTATTTTTTCTTCATCAGTTTAGGTAGTGGCTTATCAATTTTGTTATTCATTACAAACAATCAGCTTTTAGATTCATTGAACCTAAAATATTTATCTGTTCTCTGTTTTACTTATCTATGGTCTTATCGTTTTAAAAAAAATTTATTTATTTATTTTTTGAGACGGAGTGTTGCTCTGTCGCCCAGGCTAGAGTGCAGCGCAGTGGCGCAATCTCAGCTCACTGCAAGCTCCGCCTCCCAGGTTCACGCCATTCTCCTGCCTCAGCGCCTGAGTAGCTGGGACTACAGGCACCTGCCACCACGCCCGGCTAATTTTTTTGTATTTTTAGTAGAGACGAGGTTTCACTGTGTTAGCCAGCATGATCTCGACCTCCTGACCTCATGATCTGCCCACCTTGGCTTCCCAAAGTGCTGGGATTACAGGTGTGAGCCACCGCGCCCGGCCTAACCTAGCCTTTTTCTAATATTTACATGAAAGATCTTTTTCCATCCATTTATTTTCAGCTTCTCTGTGTCTGCATAATTTGAATATATCTCTTATAGTTTATGGTTGTGTCTGTTGAATTTTAACCATCCTGACAATTGTTGCCTTTTATTTTGATATTTTTGTACATTATATTAAATAAGTTAATTAATTAAACTTAATTAAAATGATATTCATACATTAAATAATGATGTGGTTGGATTTGTGTCTACCATTTTATTTGTTTTCTTGTTTCTTTTGTAGTTTTTGTCCTTCTGTTTCTCTTTTGCTGCCTTCTTTGGAATTAAATGAAGTCTTGTTTTAACATTCTATTTTAATCATTTACATTTTGACTATAATTATTTGCATTTCTTTTTTTTTTTGAGATGGGGTCTTGCTTTGTCATCCAGGCTGGAGTACAGTGGCGCCATCTTGGCTCACTCCAACCTCCACCTTCTGGGTTTAAGCGATTCTCCTGGTTCAGCCTCCTGAGTAGCTGGGACTATAGGCGCGTGCCACCACGCCCAGCTAATTTTTTGTATTTTTAGTAGAGATGGGGTTTCACCATGTTAGGGAGGATGGTCTGGATCTCTTGACCTTGTGATCCACCTGCATTAGCCTCCCAAAGTGCTGGTATTGCAGGCGTGAGCCACTGTGCCCAGCCAATTATTTGCTTTTCTTTTTCTTTTTTCTTTTCTTTCTCTTTTCTTTTTTTTTTTCTTTTCTTTTTTTGGAGACGGAATCCCCCTCTCTTGCCCAGGCTGGAGTGCAGAGGTGCGATCTCGGCTCACCACAACCTCTGCCTCTTGGGTTCAAGCCATTCTCCTGCCTCAGCCTCCCAATCCTGGGTTCAAGTGATTCTCCTGCCTCAGCCTCCTGAGTAGCTGGGACTTTAGGTGCGGCCACCACACCCAGCTAATTTTGTACGTTTAGTAGAGACAGGATTTCACTATGTTGACCAGGCTGGTTTTGAACACCTGACCTTATGGTCCGCCTGCCTCAGCCTCCCAAAGTGCTGAGATTACAGGTGTGAGCCACCCCTCCTGGCCTGTTTGCATTTCTCTTTTTTTTTTTTTTTTTTTGAGGCAGAGTTTTGCTCTGTCACCCAGGCTAGAGTGAAGTGGCATGATCTCAGCTCACTGCAACCTCCACCTCCCGGGTTCAAGCAATTCTCCTTCCTCAGCCTCCTGAGTAGCTGGGATTATAGGTGCCCACCACCGTGCCTGGCTAATTTTTGTATTTTTAGTAGAGACGGGGTTTCACCATCTTGGCCAGGCTGGTCTGGAGCGCCTGACCTCGTGATCCATCTGCCTTGGCCTCCCCAGGTGCTGGGATTACAGGCATGAACCACTGCGCCAGACCACCTATTTGCATTTCTTAATGGCTGTTCTATGATTAACAATAGATAACTTTTCACAGTCTCTGTAGTTAATATTGTACCACTTCATGCAAAATATAGAAACATTGTAAGCACTCACCACTTAATTTTCCATTCTTCAATCTATATTTGTCATGTATATTACAAGTAAGTATATTATAAACCCCACATTACAATATTATCATTTTTATTTAAATAGTTATATGTGTTTCTTTAAATAAGAGCTAATAATTATCACCTTATACATTTATTTGGATATTTACCATTTCTGATGCTCTTCATTTCTTCCTGAAGATTTGAGTTTCTACCTGGTGGTGTTTTTCCTCAAATGAAAGAACTTCTTTTCTTGAAAACAATTTCTTTGGTAACAAATTGTCTTGTTTTATTTTATCTAAATATATATTTATTTACCTTCATTCTTACAAGATATCTTTGTTGGAGGTAAAATTTATCATTGACAGGTTTTTTGTTTAATTTGTTTGGGCTTGTTTTTTAGTAATTTAAAATTGTTATCTTCCATCTTCCATGGTCCAAAGGAAATGCCAGCCAACACTTTAGTCACTAGTATCTTGCTTATAATGTGGCTACTTTAAAGATTTTCTCTCTGTTTTAAAGCAGGTTGACTGGGATGCACCAGTGCAAGGTTTTCTTCATATTTATCCTCTTTGGGATTCATTGTACTTATTAACTATGTAAATGTATCTTTTTCAGCAAATTTGAGATAGTTTCAACCTAATTTCTTCAAATATGTTAACTTCTTCTGGGACTCCAGTTACACACTTTAGACATTTTGATATCATCCCATGGGCCTTCAAAGCCCTGTTCTTTTTTTTTTTTTTTTTTTGACGGATTCTTGCTCTGTCATCCAGGCTGGAGTGCAGTGGTGCGATCTCGGCTCACTGCAACCTCTGCCTCTCGGGTTCAAGCAATTCTCCTGCCTCTGCGTCCTGAGTAGCTGGGACTATAGGCTCCCGTCACCACACCTGGCTAATTTTTTGTATTTTTAGTAAAGACGGGGTTTCATCATATTAGCCAGGATGGTCTCTATCTCCTGACCTTGTGATCCGCCTGCCTCAGCCTCCCAAAGTGCTGGGATTACAGGTGTGAGCCACCGCTCCTGGCCCCTGTTCATATTTTATTCCAATCTTTCTTTTTCTTTTTTTAAATTCATATTGTGTAATTTCTACTAGAATTTTCATGTTCTCTGACTTATTACTCTGTCATTTTTATTTTTTAACACTTTTAATTATGTGATCCTGTCTTCTATAGTTTCTAATTTGCAGTTAGGAGATACTAAGGTGATTCATTGTTTAAATTTTTCTTATTGTATTTTTCACTTCTGGAATTTCTATTTTGTTCTTTTTATAGTTTATTTCTTTGCTGATACATGCTGTTTTTGTAAGCCTATTTTACTTTATATCAATTAGCATGAATAGGATCCCTTTGTCCTATTTTTGTTTCTAAGGTCTGGTTCACCTTAGATTTGTTCTCACTGGTTGCCTTTTCTCTTAAATTGCAAAAACCTTAAGGTAGTTGATTTTGCTGGACTCAAGCAAATACTGTTTCTTTGGCAGCAGCTAAAATTATAACTCAGTGCTTTTATTTTTAACTAGGCTGTTTAGAGTTAGACACCCAGCATAGACTGCAGACTTCTCCCAGATTAAAAGTTGAAGAAGAGACAAAGAAGGAAGGAGAGGAAGGAAAGAGAAAGAAAGGGAAAGAGACAGAAAGAAGGAAAGAAGGATGAAAAGTAGGAAGGAGGGAAAGAAAGAGCAGAAGAAAGAATAGAAAGGAAGGAGAAAGAAGAAAAAGAAGGAAGGAAGGAAGGAAAGAGAGGAAAGAAGGAAGGAAAGAAAGAAAGAAGAAAAGTAGAAAGAGAAAGGAAAGGAAAAAAGAAAGAAAGAAAAGAAGGAAGGAAAAAAGGAGGGAGGGAAGGAGGGAGGGAAGGAAGGAAGGAAAGAAGGAAGCCCAGTGCGGTGGCTCACGCCTGTAATCCCAGCACTTTGGGAGGCTGAGACGGGCGGATCACCAGGTCAGGAGATAGAGACCATCCTGGCTTACATGGTGAAACCCCATCTCTACTAAAAATACAAAAAACTAGCCAGGTGTGGTGGTGGGTGCCTGTAGTCCTAGCTACTCAGGAGGCTGAGGCAGGAGAATGGCATGAACCCAGTAGGTGGAGCTTGCAATGAGCTGAGACCGCGCCGTTGCACTCCAGCCTGGACGACAGTGTGAGATTCTGCCTCAAAAGAAAAAAAAAAATGGAAAGAAAGAAAGAAAGGAAAAAGAAAGAAAGAGAGAAAGAAAGAAAGAGAAAGAAAAAGAGAAAAAGAAAGAGAAAGAAAAAAGAAAGAGAAAGAAAGAAAGGAAGGAAGGGAGGGAAAAAGGAGCAAAGGAAGGAAAGAGAGAAAGAAAGAAAGAAAAGAAGAAAGGTTACTGCCATTCTTTTCTTCTGTGTATCAACTTCTACCTAGAATCTGCTTGTTTTTCACTTTCTTCTCTTCAGGTTTCTTGTACTTATTCCAGAGTTTATTGTTGTTATTTTCTAGAAAGTTAGTCTAGTAGAAGATTGCATGAGTATAAATGAAGTAGAATTTTCATTTTCATGTACTTTCTTTTAGGAATCTTTTGATGTAATAAAGAAGTAAAATATATATCACAGGATGATAAGTGTTGTAGCTGAATAGACAGTATGAAAAGGGAATAGGAAGAGTCTACACGGTACAACTTCAGATAGGACAGTCAGCGAATTAAATATTTAAATTATGACCTGAAGAAAGTGAAGAAGTGAGCATAAGAATATCTGATGGAAATATGTTCCTTGCAAAGAGAGTAGCCAAAGCAAAGACATGAGGCATGAGCCTGACTTGTGTGTTAAACAAACCACAAAATTTTAAAAAATCCATAATGCAGTTGGAAGAAGCAAGGAGAGTGAGAATGTTAGGAAATAACATCAGAAATCACCTCTGCGTGGAGCCTTGGAGGTCATGTAAAAATAGCCTTTCACTCTGGGCTAGTAGGACAGCCAATAGATTGTTTTGAACAAACAAGTCCCAGGCTCTGTTCTGTTTTGATTCTACTGCCAACGCTATTGGAAATATACTGTGAAGAGGGAAGAAAATTGGATGAGGAGAAGTCACAAAAAGAAATTTTAGGAAGATATTATAATAATTCAAGCAAAAGTTATTCAAGCAAAAGCCTGGTGGCTTGGACCAGAATAATAACAGTAGATGAGTGACCAGTTTCTGGAGTGCACTTTTGCTCATCAAAAGAGCACAACAAAGCTTCCCATATACTGGCTGGTCACCTGTATCTTCCATCTCTATCGTGTCAAAGGTAGCAAAAAGCCGTCAAGTTATTAAGTATAGTAAAACATTAACCAAAATCAATTCTATGCATACCACAAAACTGAACATATTGAGTCTTCTTTGAATATGTTTAGTTAACATTTGTCACATTGTACTAGGGCTCAGAAAGTTCAAAAAATTGTCCATGTTTACAAGAACACAAAAAAAATAGAGAATATGGAGCCACATGTACCAATCACACATTCATCATTATCACTTTTTGATTATCCTTCTTTATTATCCTGCTTTATCACCACCTCACCCACTCCCCGACACACTGCCTATAGACACATATATGTGTGCGTGTGTGTTTTCTTTTCTTTGTTGAGATGGAATCTCCCTATGTCACCCAGACAGGAGTGCAGTGGCATGATCTTAGCTCACTGCAACCTCCGCCTCCCGGGTTCAAGCGATTCTCCTGCCTCAGCCTCCCAAGTAGCTGGGATTACAGGAGGCCCGCCACCGTGCCTGGCTAATTTTTTTTTTTTTTTTTGTATTTTTAGTAGAGACAGCATTTCACTATGTTGGCCAAGCTGGTCTTGAAATCCTGGCCTCAGGTGATCCACCCACCTCAGCCTCCCAAAGTGCTGGGATTACAGGCATGAGCCACCATGCCCATCCAATGTGTGTGTGTTCTTAATATTTCCAAATAATTTCAGACGTTCAGAAAAGTTGCAGTAATAGTCTAAACTTTGTTTCCTGAATCATCCAAGATCAGGCTGCAGACACATGCATTGATCCTTCAGTGCTCACAACCCACGAATAACACTTTCCTGTGTAGCCACATCACAACCAAAATCAGGAAGTAATCACTGTACTTCCATCCAATCTTAACTTCTCACATTTATTTTAGTTTCCTCACCATCTTTAATGGAGAAACATTCTAACTAAGAATCACTTGTTATACCTTGTGATCATGTGTTCCCAATCTCTTTCCATGTAGAATATTTCCTTAATTTTCTCTTCACTTTCAAACCCTTGAAACATTTTTTTAAAAAAGATGGAATCTCACTATGTTGTCCAGGGTGGTGTTGAACTCCTGGTCTCAAGCAATTCTTCTGCCTTGATCTCCCCAGTGGCTGAGATTACAGGCTCGAGCCACCATGCCTGGCTTCCTTGACACCTTCAAAGGTGTCAAGACACCTTGAAGTATGTTCCTTAATGTTTATCTTTCTGATGTTTCCTCATGAGCAGATTCAGGCTGTGCACTTTGGTGGGGGATATCACAGAAGTGATTTGATGTCTTCCCACTTGGCACACAAGTTAGCTTTGTCCCGTTACAGGTGATGTTAACTTCAATTGGTTGGTGAAGTGTTGACTCCTTGGTGTTCCCACTGCATATCTCCCATTTACTTCAATAGCATTTTATATGTACATACCTTAAAAACATGGGAACGTGTCTCTAGCATCTATTTCTACTATGCTTGTCAAATGGTAATCTTCCAAATTCACCGTTCACTTTACATTTATTAGTTGGTATTATACTCTAAGGAAAAGCTTTCTTCTCCTCACTTATTTATTCATCTATTTTATATCAGTATGAACTCACAGAATATCATTATATTCAACAGGTTATAACCTGTTGCTCTCATCATTTATTTTGATACCCAAATTGCCCCAGATTTGTCTAATAAAACAAAGCTCCTTCAAATTGGTTTCTATCTTCTTTTTGACATAACCTCAGCCCTCTGGGAGCACTTAAGATATCCAGGCTCATCTTGTACTTTCCTTGTCCAACCTTTGAATTATTCATTTCTCTAAGGAGCCCTTGTTCCTTTCAATGGATAGTAGTATTCAGAAACCAAAATTGAGTTGGAAATATATCTACACACCCACCACCAACATTAATATTTTGCTTGACTTTCTGTCTATACTTACATGTTGAAAACCATGGGCCGGGCGCGTTGGCTCACGCCTGTAATCCCAGTACTTTGGGAGGCTGAGGCAGGCAGATCACAGAGGTCAGGAGATCAAGACCATCCTGGCCAACATGGTGAAACCCCGTCTCTATTAAAAAGATAAAAATTAGCTGGGCGTGGTGGCACGTGCCTGTAGTCCCAGCTACTTGGGAGGCTGAGTCAGGATAATCGCTTCAACCTGGGAGGCAGAGGTTGCAGTGAGCTGACATTGCGCCACTGCACTCCAGCCTGGTGACAGAGTGAGACTGTCTCAAAAACAAACAAACAGAAAGAAAACCGTGAGTTCACATCCCCAATTCCAATTCAACACTGCAGGCTTCATTCTAGTTGTTTTTCCTTTTCCATATTTGTAATTTTCTTCTCCTGTAGTGCAAAACTTGTCTTTCATTATCTTCGGTATGCTTGCTATTTGCTCAGTTCCCCTAATTGTAATTGTTTCCGTTCCTCAGTGGGTCACTGATCTAGACTGTCTGCCTCCTGTGGACTCTCCTCTCTCCTAAGCCACTTCCATCCACTCAGTCACTTTCCTCCCCTGGGTGGCACCCTCCAGCCAGGCTGTTCCTGTCTCACTTTACCACTTTCCTCTCAAGGTTCTGATTCCAGCCCTCCCACACTTCCTCTAATTCTTTCTCACTCAGGATTTTGGGCTGAATGTTCAAAGAAGAAGGAAAGAAAAAAGGAAGGAAGACTTGTTTTCAAATCTGATTCTTTGGACCCCTTTAGAGTGTTACACTGTGCTATGATATTCCATAAAATATATTATTATGGGATAAGTATTCCACCAGGCAGTTCAATTAAGAAGTTCTGCTCTCAATTCTTGTAAAAAGATTTTTAAAAAATCATGGATGGAGAAGTTACACTGATGTCTGTGAATGAATACAGTAGGGATGCTATTCATTGCCTTTCCCTCAAGAAAGCACAATGGTCTGGGAGTGCACCCCAGTTAATAATCCACATAGGCACAGACTGGTAGGGGTCATTTGTAAATGTGTTTCTGTGGCATCCACCACAATCCTGCAGACATCTGTTTTTAACTATAATTACACGAAAATACTAACATATTGATGGCTATTCGATGTGACCATACATATCCATTATACTATTTAATAACCTTTTAGTGATCAGATGAGAGTCCTTGTAGCACTAACAGAAAGAATATTTCTATAGTAATATAAATTGCCTCATCGTTAGATATTGAAGAATCTGAAATTCTGTCCAGAATAGTGCTTTGTATTTATTTAAATTAAGCCTAAATTTGTTTTTAGTGAATGTATTTTATTTTGTTAGTAGATATATGAAATAATTTTACATATCTATGGGGTACAGAGTGATACTATAATATATATAAAAAATGTAATGATCAAATCAGAGTAATTAGCATATCCATCATCTCAAACATTTATCATTTCTATATGTTATGAGCATTCAAAATCCTCTCTTCTGGCTTTTTGAAAATATGCAATAAACGATTGTTAACCCATATTCCCCCTACAGTGCTAAAAAACACCAGAGCTTATTCCTCCTAGTTAGCTGTAACTATGTATCTTTAACCAACCTCTCCCTCTCCTCTACCCACCTCTCCTTCCCAACCTCTAAGAATTACAATTCTACTCTCTACGTCTTCAAGCGCAATCTTTTAAGCCCTTACATATAAATGAGAACATGTGATATTTACAGTTCTACACCTGACTTATTTCACTACAGATAATGTTCTCCAAACTCATCCATGTTGCCACAAATGACAGAATTTAATTCTTTTTTATGCCTGAATAGTATTTTATTGTGTATAAATAGCACATTTTCTTTACTCTTTCATTTGTTGTTGGACAAAAATGCATTTTTTTTGTGGCTTGCAGTAGTCTGTTGATTATGTGTATCTCTTCCTTTGAGGACCATTTTATTATTTATTTATTTATTTATTTACATATTTTTGAGATGGAGTCTCACTCTGTCACCCAGACTGGAGTGCAGCAGTGTCATCTCAGCTCACTGCAACTTCTGTCTCCTGGGTTCAAGCAATACTCGTGCCTCAGCCCCCTCAAGTAGTGGGTGCATGCCACCACGCCTGGCTAATTTTTGTAGTTTTGGGTAGAGATGAGATTTCACCATGTTGCCCAGACTGGTCGTTTAACAGACTTCATCTGAAGTCTTTTAACTCATTTAACAGACTTCATCTGAAGTCTTTTAACTGATTTAACAGACTTCATCTGAAGTCTTTTGTTGTTGTTTTTTGAGATGGAGTCTTGCTGTTGTCACCCGGGCTAGAGGACAATGGTCCAGTCTTGGCTCATTGCAATCTCCGCCTCCCGGGTTCTAGCAATTCTCCTCCCTCAGCCTCCCAAGTAGCTGAGATTACAGGCGTCTGCCACCATGCCCGGCTAATTTTTGTATTTTTGGTAGAGACAGGGTTTCATCATGTTGGCCAGGCTGATCTCAAACTCCTGACCTCGCCACCCGCCTCAGCCTCCCAAAGTGCTGGAATTACAGGCATGAGCCACTGCGCCTGGCCTCATCTGAAGTCTTGCTGGGCATATTTAACAGGATATGAATCAGTGGAAGACCAAAACCATGTCTAATTTATCTTCTATGTCTTTACCATGAATCAGATCTCACACATAGTAAATATTTGATAACTGCATCATGAACACTCATCCTCTTTGCCTCAAGAAGTTAATAAACTTCTAGTAGTACTTACCATACTGAGCAAGAAGCACTAGCTATGATGGCATAATTATTAACGTCTCCCACTCCATAGAGTCCACATTTAATCCATGAACAGATCCACCATTGCCTATCTTCATGGCTCCAGTCATAGTGCCCCTCTTGTCTGACCTGATCCATTGCAATAATTTATCATCGATTCTCTCTCCCTCTGGTCCTGACTCACTCCACAAAAGTCTCTGGAACTGCTGCCATAGTTTGTCTTCCATAAAGAATATCTCTTAGTCCAAACCCATAGAAAGTACGCCACCAATGCTAAGCCCCAACGTAGACCATAGACTTTGGGTAACTATGATGTGTTGATTTAGGTTGAGCAATTGTGGAAAATGTACCACTTTGGTGGGGAACGTTGATAATGGGGGAGGCTGTGTATGTGGGGAAAGGTGTGGGGTGTGGAGGTATATAGGGAATCTCTATACCTTCCTCTCCACTTTGCTGTGAACCTAAAACTGCTCTAAAAAAGTTTAAAATTAAATTAATGGAAGATTAAAATAGATGAATTTTTGAATGGGAAAAATACTTATAAGAAAGTGGAAGAAAACTTAGGAAAATATTTATGTTATTGGGAGTTAGAAGTATAAGAAATTTTCATTTCTATGCTCTGAGTTTAGAATAAAGTTGTCACATATGGCCTCATAAGTTGTGCACTGCACAACTCCAGGAGGCCCCATTAGTTCTTCTTCATACCTCCAGCTTGTACAGCCTCCTTTACTGCCCACGGCTTCTAAAAGGCATGTATATCACTCTTGTGTAATTAAACAAATAAATGCAGTTTTAAAATATGTTCCTTAAAAATTAGGATCATCCTATTGTCTCTTTTAAAATCTTTCAATGATTTTTCTTTCTCAAAAGGGCAAAGTCTAAATTCCTATCCTTACAGAATCGAGACCAATTTTAATTTGGCCTCTGAACCTCTGGCCTGTTCTCTCTGTACTCTTTCTGCTTTCTAACCTGCCCTGCCAAAACAGCTGTCTTTTCACAGCTGAGACACATAGCCCAATATCTCTGTCCTTGCTGTTTCCCCTGTCCATATGCTTTTACTACCTCCTCATCTTTTGAGACTTGGCTAGGATGTTTTCTAGTGATGAATTCTTTTTGGCCTCACTCCCTGCTCTGTCAGTAGGATTGAGTGAGTGCTCCCTTCTTAGGGGCCTCCTATATATTCTACCACAGGACATAAATACTCTTCTCACTTACTTTTCATAGGTCTGTACCCTAATAAGAGATGGTGGGCCAGACGTGGTGGCTGATGCCTGTATTCCCAGCCCTTTGGGAGGCCGAGGCAGGCGAATCACGAGGTCAAGAGACTGAGATCATCCTGGCCAACATGGTGAAACCCGATCTTTACAAAAAATACAAAAAATTAGCTGGGCTTTGTGGCACACGCCTGCAGTCCCAGCTACTTGGAGGCTGAGGCAGGAGAATCACTTGAACCTGGGAGGCAGAGGTTGCAGTGAACCGAGATCGTGCCACTGCACTCCAGCCTGGTGACAGAGAGAGACTCCATCTCAAATAAATAAATAAATAAATAAGGCCGGCCGTGGTGGCTCATGCCTGTAATCTCAGCACTTTGGGAGGCCGAGGCAGGTGGATCACGAGGTCAGGAGATGGAGACCATCCTGGCTAACACAGTGAAACCCCGTCTCTACTAAAAAATACAAAAAATTAGCCGGGCGTGGTGGCGGGCGCCTGTGGTCCCAGCTACTCGGGAGGCTGAGGCAGGAGAATGGCGTGAACCTGGGAGGCGGAGCTTGCAGTGAGCCGAGATTGCGCCACTGCACTCCAGCCTGGGTGACAGAGCGAGATTCTGTCTCAAAATAAATAAATAAATAAGTAAATAAATAAACAAATAAATAAATAAAAAGAGATGGTGCCTTCCTTGAGGTTAAATATAATCTCCTTTTGTTCTTTTTAAAAATTAATACATCGATTCTATCCCAGTGTCATACATTTGTCTTAGATAGTGCTCAATGAATATATGTCAAAAGAATTAAAAAATAAATGAGGAAACAGAAGAAGAAAGAAAAAAAGAAGATGGTCTGCTTCTATAGCTCACATTTAACACTGTATTTCACTAAGAAACCCAACATAGAGAAGACGTGTGATGCGTCATGTAGGCTAACTGGTGTATTTTGATTCAATATACCCTCAAAATAAGTTCATAAGTGAGCTTCATGAATGAGATATAGACCTCTGAAGACCTGATACTTTACCAACATTAACTGAATTTTTATGCAGTGGTGATGATACCAAGGCAAGGCACCCTGAGTACCTATGTGTGGATCTCAGAGATTAACGGTATAGACCCTGGTCGGTCCCCCTAAGTTTAAACCATAGCTCCATTATTAACCATCTAAATAAACCTAGCCCAGCTAAGAAATTTTCTCATTTGTTAATTAAAATGAAATGAGTGTCTACCCTCAAAGGTAATGTTAAAGATTTAATTAAACTATGCAATGCCCTTGTCTATTGATATCAATGGAAATTTAATTAAAACATGCAATTGTTGTTATAAATGGATTGAAATAAAATGATTATTTCCCACATCCATTTTTTTAAAATGGAAAAACACTTTTACTTAAGTTGTTCATTTCTAGGCAGTAAAAACATGGGAATTTGTTATATTTACTCACAAGATACAGATATCAATCTTCCACATTTTTCTTTCCTACAAAAGATATCGTGGCTTATGTTTATTGTTTATCTCATTCCCACATTTTAACTTTAACATATTTTGAAGAATAAATATTTTAAGAAAATAATTATGGTAAGAAAATAATTATGGTAACAAAATATTTAACTAAATTAATTCAGCATCTATAAAGAAATTCATTCTCCAACAAAGAAGGAGATCTTTCCTAGAAAAATTCCACAAATTTACCAATAAAATTAAGTTTTAAAATTAATGATAATTCCTATCTCTTTAGTAGACAAAAATACCTTTTGTCTGTGATTTGAACTTCAGATGATACAGCTTCATTCATACTGAAGTTAGTGTTTTTTTTCAATAGGAAGAATTCCATGATTTCAGAATTTTTACTTAACAATTATTATTCCATTCCTAATTCAACTTTGGGAGAAGTGTTTAAAATGACAGCACCCTGAGGAGCAGACATATGTATGTCTAGAAATCTAGATTCCTGCGTAACATTGCTATGCAATAAACGTGACGTGAGATTAACTAAGGTTTGTTTCCTCTTTAATATTATGGCTATGGAATAAAATTCTTATCGAAAGCAACCCTTAATTTCATTGAGCACTAATTAGCTTATAAATTCTGATTTACACTGTAAAACCTTACACAATACCCAGGAAAGGCTTGCTGTTTATTAGTCTGTTCTCACACTGCTAGAAAGAACTGCCCAAGACCAGGTAATTTGTAAAGAAAAGAGGTTTAATTGTCTCATAGTTCCACATGGCTGGGGAGGCCTCAGGAAACTTTCAATCATGGCAGAAGGTGAAGCAGGCACATCTTACATGGCAGCAGGCAAGAGAGCATGTCAAGAAAGTGAAGGGGAAAAAAACCCTTATAAAACCATCAGATCTTGTGAGCACTCACTCACTATCATTAGAACAGCATAGGGGAAACAGCCCCCATGATCCAGTTACCTCCCACCAGGTCTCTCCTTCAACACCTGGGGATTACAATTCTAGATGATATTTGGGTGGGGACAAAGAGCCTAACCATAGCACTGTTGTTTAAGTAGACACGTTCAATGATTAGTTGTCTTTCCTGTATATGGTCCATTTATAGCTTCATCAGATGGGTTCTTCCTTTGGCTGATTTCTTTCTATTATGCAGTTTGCTAAACCACACTTTGGCTCACTTAGACATCCAGAAGCATGTCCTTCTTGCTAATGGACCTTTTTTGCTGCAACTGTTGAAGAAATATTCCAGCCAAATGGGAAGAAGCCCAGAGCACCTCCCCTTAGGCTAACTCCTGCCTCTGCTTTTCCTGCTTGGGTCAGTCAGCCACAGCTTGAAATTCCTGAGGTTTTGCAAAATGTCCCTTTTAGTCCTTGAAGAGCTATTATTTTGTGAAACAGTTCCCAATTTAGCTTAGGCAGAACAGTGGTCTAGAGATGTGCACCACAGAGTGATTTTATATATAAGGATGTGTGGGGGAAACTGTCTTAAACTACATCTTACTTGACACATACATGGAAATTTACATGTACTTTGCTATATTATAGATTCTGAGAAGTTCTGCAGTAAAGAAACAGGTTTAACTTTGTGAAGTTTTCCAAATTATTTCACTAGTTACTTTTGTAGCATCTGTTATTATGCATACACTCTGAGAAGTAGAGGCTCTAGAACATGTGGGAAGCCTGCATTTTTATATTTCATCCCAATTGGATACACCGCAAATCCCTGGCTAAAGAGAAGGCATTATTTAAATGCAGAAGCTTATGTATCCAAAAGCAATAATTCAAAGAGGAAGTCAATGAGTGCTTTTTCTGAAAAAATGGGCACTTGTAAAATGACACAGCCCCATTTTAGAGTTAATTTTTCTGCATATATAATCACTCTGAATGAATTGAAGGGAGCAGAGAAAGTGTACCAGTGTGTTAAAAATATCTTTGTAACTCTAAAAGATGTGATCACAGATATGTTTTATCAAATCATTCAAGAAAAGAAAGGAAAAGAAGGACTTTTATTGAATAAATGAAAAAGGACATGAGTGTGTAAGCAAATGCAAATGGAAGCAATCAGATAAACCCAAGTGCCCCTGCTTGTAAAGACAAAAGAAAAAAACGTAAGTTAAATAATTAGGTGGACTTACCTTGAAAGCATATTTCAATGCTCCATTTCTGACAACTTACCATAAACCAAAGGTGAAAGGATAATATTGCCTTTCTAATTTTAATTCCGTGTTTGAATGAGGCAGAACTGGAGATTTGCCAACAATTGCTGCAAATCTTTTTCCATTCATAGTGTTTCCCTTGGTCATTTATAAGGGCAAAACATATAGAAATAGGCAACAGGAAGCAGATATCAGAAAATGCAGGAAGTAATTATTGAGCAGGAAAGATTGAAGGAAATAAATTGTTTTTGTTTAGTTTTCTTTGTCTTCCATGGTGTTCCTCTAGGTTTGAGGCATCAGCAGTCATGAAGGAAATAAATTTGTAATTGCAGAAGAGTTATTGTTTACATAGTGTCGGCATTACATTTCATTTACAACACATTTATTTTTAAAAACAGAGATAATCATTTTCCTGAATTGAATACAGTTTGCAAAAAATGTGTCTTACAGGACCTACAGATTTTATTGATTTTTTTTTGGAAATTAACATAAGGAAGAAAAATTCTACCTGAAAAGATGGTAAGACTTTTATGCCCTGGGTTGTATAGCCTGGGTTTTAACAAAAGACAGTCACAGAAGAAATGAAAAGTATTTAACTATGACAATATTTTGAATATAAAATCTCTGTCACCTGAACAAGATAAACTCAGGTGATGAAAGGTATTTTCATCATTAGTGAAATGATTTTCAGATTAGAAGAAGAATGAATTTGTTATGATATTTAGAATTACATTTTTACTTTTGTCATTTAATATTTGAATATTCTTCTTTGTTCATTATCCCCAATGTTTATATAACCAATCATCAGGATAGTATGTGATCCATTTCACTCATCTCAAATAGAGTTGGAATTTTTAAAAACATGATGTTTTTGGCCGGGCACGGTGGCTCACGCTTGTAATCCCAGCACTTTGGGAGGCGGAGGCGGGCGGATCACCTGAGGTCGGGAGTTCGCGACCAACCTGACCAACATGGAGAAACCCCATCTCTACTAAAAATACAAAATTAGCCAGGTGTGGCGGCATGTGCCTGTAATCCCAGCTACTCGGGAGGCTGAGGCAGGAGAATCGCTTGAACCCGAGAGGTGGAAGTTGTGGTGAGCTGAGATCGAGCCATTGCACTCCAGCCTGAGCAACAAGAGCGAAACTCCATCTCCAAAAAAAAAAAAAAAAAAATTAGCCGGGCATGGTGGCATGTGCCCGTAGCCCCAGCCACTGCACTCCAGCCTGGGCAACAGAGCCAGACTCTGTTTAAAAAACAAAAACAAAAACAAAAACAAACAAAAAAAACGGTGTTTTTACCTCCACATAACCATTTTAAAGCTGTGAAATTGACTAGACACCTGATTTGGTGTCTAGCCCCCATAAGGCACAAATTGTCAAGTTGGATAGTAAAGAGCTGAAAAGAGTTCTGCACTGGAGTCCAGGGTGTCCAGTCCTAACAATAGGAGCTTGGACATAACTTCCTGTGCCTCAATGTCATGCTCTGTCAGGTCCTGCAGCACAAGGGAATGAACCCTGGCTTGGAGTCAGGTAGCCTTGAGTTTGCATTCTAGCTCTGCACCTACCGACCATGTGACTTTGGACAACTTAAAAATTTATCAAGCAGGTTTTGGACTTCTCATCTGTGAAATGGGGACAACAGTGTCTATCTCAAAGAGTTGTAGTAGAAATTAAGTGAGATAATGGAAAAAGCAGTTTGCATAATGTTTGGTACATTGCTAGTATATCTTTACTTGTATTGGCTTCAAAACTAGGACATTTCGTGCCTTAGTCTATTTGTGCTGATACAACTAAATACCACAAAATGGATCATTTGTAATGAGTAGAAATGTATTTTCTCATAACTCTGGAGATTGGGAAGTCCAAGATCAAGGTGCTGGCAGGTTCTATGTCTGTTGAAGGCAGCTCTATCTCCTTCCAAGATGATGCCTTGTTGCTGCCTTCTCCAGAGAGGATGAATGCTGGGCTTTCATACTGCAGAAGGCAGAAGGGCAAAAAGAGCCCAGTTAGTTCCCTCTAGCCCTTTGATAAAGTGGCTGATCCCATTCATGAGAGTTCTGCCCTCTTGACTTCATCACCTTCCAAAGGCTTTACCTCTTAATACTATCACATTGGGCTTTAAGTCCCAATGTCAATTTTGGAAAGAACATGAACATTTAAACCACAGCATTTGGCAAATGATATCTATGTTCTTTTCTAGTAATAGTATGTTTCCCAAACCTTAAGAATTATAATATAAACAATTCTCTCACAATTTATTTCCTTGGTCACATTTCTATATTTGCAAACGTGGCCAGAAGAACTTGCAAACTATTAGCCAGTGACTAGAAATTCTCTCCTCAAATTTAGCCCTATATGAGAAATTGAACCAGACTCACTGAGTCTTGCTTTGAAGAGTATAAAATTATATCCAGTTTCACATATGCCTCACCCTTGGGATTAGGGCTTTGTCTCTCCAGAATTCTCCAGTTGGAATGCAATTGTTCTCATGGAATTAACATTAATCCATTATGAGATACTGGCTTATTACATGTTTTTCAGATTTCTTTTCATCATGATATATAATTAAAATTACAATGAGACTCAGAACAATAAAGTCTGATGGAGGCAGGAAAACTCCAAAGGGAAAACGCATTAACAAAATAATGTAAGCCAAATGTAGTTAGGGCAGCCAAGGGGGAATGACCCATAAGAGGCAGAAGAACTAAAAAGAGGGAATTGAGGTGCCAAAGAAAAATAATCTTACTTTCATTTGGCCTAGAGCGAGCTCTGAAATAAATATAACTGTTAGGAATGAACAGCTGAGTTGAGAGAGAGAGAGAGAATAGAGGATGGGGAGTGAGAGAAAGAGAAGTTTTTCTACTTACCTCACTCCCTAAGATACGCTTTTATCATCAGAAAACTGTATAGAATTAGGCTTAAAATTTTTCATATTTGCTTTGTCTCACCTTGTCTCTCCTGGGATTATATTATGAATCACCATGAGAATTAAAAAAATTAATCTCAAGGCTAGACATGTAGACTTGTACATCTGAAGGTGACTTTGTGCTATTAAAGCTAGAATTGAATCTAGATCCTATGCTGTTACTTGGTGGGTTACTTTTAAGGTTTAAATAAAGAGTGGGTCTTGAACAACTCATATCTTTCAATGAAAGCAGTTGTAGCCTCTAATTTTAAAAAAAATAAAAAAGTTTTAGGCCAATATGTTTTGTGTTACACAGAATCATATTTTGTTCCCTAAATTATTCTAGAAGGCAAACCAGCTTGCACCCTGAGAGTGACATGGTGAAATATTTATGTTGTCACTGGATTTGATTATTAAAGTCTTCCTTTTTTTTCTCTCTTCCTGCAGGCAGGTTGTTCGTTTGTGAATAATTCTGTGTAAGTGGCAGACCTGTGGCTTGTTTCTAGCAAGGTCGCAGCTGAAGACTGCAGTGGCATGATGTCGATTCTATTTTCTGGATTGTGCTTTGAATAGATTTTGTTCTATGGAGGAATTATTAGGTAGACAAGAGTTTTTTTGGCGATCTGCTCCCATGGCTCAAACTCTTGCCTCTAGCTATCTTTTAAAGATTCTATAAATCTTTTGCCTCTGGGTTCTTCATGTTTGTGACTTTCAGAAAGTTTTACTGCAGATAATTTGTTTTCTCTGAAAATCGATAATAGTAGATTATTAGATAATGGCACCAACTGAAAAAGCTCTTGTTAAGGTTAAAGCTACATCAAATAAGCAACACAAAGCTAATTATTGTGCCTTTAAAATATTTCTTCTCTCATACATGACTACATGTGGCTTATCAGCTTTGTATTTCAGCTGTTTTTCTGCATCAAAATTAAGTTTCTTACTGATACTTAAATGTAATGAAAAAGCAGCAGCTTAATTCTAGAGATTCTTTAAAATCAAATTTCCCCTTTGTCTCTCTCCTCTTTTTTGAGGACTCACATTGGTTTTTGTTTGTTTCTCGGACTTCTTTCTTCAGTTTCATGTTACCTCTCCCTTTTCCTTGGCCTTTTCTTTGAATATGAACCTTAGCTTCCCCTGATTTTCTATCCTCTCTATTGGTGTTTTATACTTCTTTTCTTTCCTCATGTATTTATTTTATTTATTTATTTATTTTTGAGACAGAGTCTTGCTCTGTCGCCCAGGCTGGAGGGCAGTGGTGCGAACTCCCTTCACTGCAAGCTCCACCTCCCGGGTTCACGCCATTCTCCTGCCTCAGCCTCCCAAATAGCTGGGACTACAGGCGCCCGCCACCACGCCCAGCTAATTTTTTATATTTTTAGTAGAGACGGGTTTTCACCGCTTTAGCCAGGATGGTCTGGATCTCCTGATCTCGTGATCCGCCCGCCTCGGCCTCCCAAAGTGCTAAGATTACAGGCGCAAGCCACCGCGCTTGGCCTCCTCATGTACTTTTAAAATGTCATTTACAGCGAATGTTATTTAAATTGATAAATTCTAACTATAAACTATTCAGTGTTTTATCATTTCCATTTTATAGTTGCCTATTTTAGGTCGTTTCTTTCAGTCAATATTTTATCTATTAATATACGTTATCCTGCAGTTTGCATATATTCGCACAGAAGTTTTATACTAACATTGAAATCATCTGAAAAAAATTTCAACATGGCTTTGATAAATAAAGATTGCCAGTTTTATTACTTCCAATACAACTGATAACACAAACAACTTTATAAGGAGATTATCAGGAAAGTGGTATTATTTTTCACTAGAAATCCTTAAGGGTATTGATGAATGAAATAAGATCATGTTCATTAGAGAAATGCAAATCAAAACCAAATGAGATACCATTTCACACCAGTCAGAATGGCGATTACTGAAACAACAGATTGGTGAGGTTGTGGAGAAAAAGGAACACTTTTGGCTGGGTATGGTGGCTCATGCCTGTAATCCCAACACCTTGGGAGGCCGAGGTGCGTGGATCACCTGAGGTCAGGAGTTTGATACCAGCCTGACCAACATGGTGAAACCTCGTCTCTACTAAAAACACAAAAGTTAGCTGGACATGCTGGCGGGCACCTGTAATCTCAGCTACTCGGGAGGCTGAGGCATGAAAATTGCTTGAATCCAGGAGGCAGGGGTTGCAGTGAGCCAAGATGGTGCCACTGCACTCCAGCCTGGGTGACAGTGTGAGACTTTGTCTCAAAAAGAAAAAAAAAAAAAAAGGAACACTTTCACACTATTGGCGGGAGTGTAAATTATTTCAACCATTGTGGAAGACAGTGTGGTGATGCCTCAAAGATCTAAAGGCAGAAATACCATTTGACCCACAATCTTTTTACTGGCTATATATGCAAAGGAATATAAATCATGTTATTATAAAGATACATGCACGTGGATGGGCATGATGGCTCAAGCCTGTAATCCCAGCACTTTGGGAGGCCGAGGAGGGAGGATCACGAGGTCAGCAGACTGAGACCATCCTGGCTAACATGGTGAAACCCCATCTCTACCAAAAATACAAAAAATTAGCCAGGTGTGGCAGCAGGTGCCTGTAGTCCCAGCTACGCAGGAGGCTGAGGCAGGAAAATGGCGTGATCCCGGGAGGCAGAGCTTGCAGTGAGCCGAGATTGCGCCACTGCACTCCAGCCTGGGCAACAGATCAAGACTCTGTCTCAAAAAAAAAAAAAAAAAAAGATTAATGCACGCATATGTTCACTGCAGCACTACTCACAATAGCAAAGACATGGAATCAACCCAAATGCCCATCAATGATAGACTGGATAAAGAAAATGTGGTACAGATACACCACGGAATACTATGCAGCCATAAAAAGGAATGATATCATGATCGTTGCAGGGACACAGATGGAGCTGGAAGCCATTATCCTCAGCGAACTAATAATGGAATAACAGAAAGCTAGGCACTGCATGTTTTTACTCACAAGTGGGAGCTGAAGGATGAGAGCACATAGACACATGGGGGGACCAACACACACTGGGACCTGTCAGTAGTGGGGTATGTGGGAGGAGGGAGAGCATCAGGAAGAATAGCTAATGGATGCTGGGCTTAATACCTAGGTGATGAGATGATCTGTGCAGCAAACCACCATGGCACACATTTACCTATGTAACAAACCTGCACATCCTGCACATGAATCCTGGAACTTAATATAAAAATTGAAGGAGAAAAAAAGAAACAAAGAAAAGATAATTTGCATTTATGTACATTTATGTGCAAAATTGATAATTCACTATATGTAGATCACACATCTGTTTTAATTAACTTATTTTTGTAAATAGTAATTTGCTTCTACATGTTCTTTTAAACTTTTAAATAAGATACTTTTTCATTATTAGAATTCACATCGATGTAGTTTTTCTTTTCTTGAATGTCTGTAGACTGGGTAAAACTCTTCCATTGATAAAGTTCTCACATGTCTGCAGTGTTTCAGCATCTGTAGCAGAGACTTCCAGATAATTCAATTGGCTTCCTCTTTCCTGGGTCACACTGCTAGACTATAGTTCCCAGTAAGTGAGCTTGTGTCCTAAATGTGAGCAGAAAGTATGTAAGTCATATCCAAGCTTCTCCCTCTCACCCCAAGAGTGGGGCTTCCCTTCTGGTATCAGGAACGGAGACAACCCCCAAACAGAAATTGCAAGCCATGTTTTCAAAATGAACTTACAATGTAGAAGAGGTCTTTGTTTCTTCTCCTGAGTGGAGACCTACCCAAACATGAACATTCGTATGATTTATGCATGCAAAAGAAAGCTTTATTGTGTTGGGCTATTGATATTATAGGGTTTGTCTGTTACAGCAGCTAAAGTTACATTAAATAAAACAAAATCCCTTAAATAGCATTGCTGGGACAAAATAAATAAATACAGAATGGCTTGTTAAATGTGAATGTTAAATAAGCAACAAGCAATGAGTAATTGGCATTTTTTAAGTGTAAGTATATCTTATACAATATTTAGAATATACTTATACCAAATCAATTCTTAGTTTATCTAAAATACAAATTATGGTATATTTTTCTTCACTAAATCTGACACCTGCACCTCCAAAAGAGACTATTTAATAATAATATTAGAACTTGGAGAATATAGACTATGTTTCTGCTTCTTTTACCCCACTTGTTTTTTTAGTGCTGTTTTAGACACGTAAGAAACACTCAATGCTCTTCTATTTCAATGCCATAGTTTAGTACAGGAAGGAGATAACATTATGGTAAAATTTTCACAGATACTATTTTTCAAACTTCATTCAGCATCAACAACTTTCAGATATTCTTTGTCAAAACAGAAGTTCCTTAGAGTGTGTGCTAAAAAATATTGTCTAATAAAAAATTACCATTTCTACTTTCTCATTCTTGATTGCTAAAAATATTTTGATGACTTCTTCCTTTTCATATATGTAATCTCATTGCATTTTGTTCTAAATTCATTACATTTATTGTATAGTTGATCTCTCACTTACCTGTCAATTTACTTACAACATGTTTCATTTTTGATAATAGTATCCCATTGGAAGCCTGGATTCAAACCCTGCTTGTCTTCTGTGACAGCCTAGAATACTGCGATCCTTCCTATTGATAAATGTTAGCTATATTGAGCAAATTCTTAGAATCCTATGAGTGACTCATCTTTAGTGCTTATGCACCCTACCCATGCCAGGTGAAAATTTATGTGTGTGTGTGTGCGTGTGTGTAAATAACTTGTCCTATGAGCAGGCACAGAAGATTCGTAACATTATTACCACCAGTTTAGAGGTAAGAAATTGAGGCATATAGGCCAGGTAACGTGGCTCACTCCTGTAATCCCAGCACTTTCGGAAGCTGAGGCAAGTGGATCACTTGAGGTTAGGAGTTTGAGACCGGCCTGGCCCACATAGTGAAACCTTGTCTCTACTAAAAGTACAAAAGTTAGCTAGGCATGGTGCTATGTGCCTGTAATTCCAGCTATTCAGGAAGCTGAGGCACACGAATTGCTTGAACCTGGGAGATAAAGGTTGCAGTAAGCCAAGATCGCACCACTGCACTCCAGCCTTGGCAACAGAATGACAGACTTCATCTCAAAAAAAAAAAAAAAGTTGAAAGTTAAGTAACTAGTCTGGGTGTGGTGGCTCACGCCTGTAATCCCAGCACTTTGGGAGGGCGAGGCGGGTGGATCACTAGGTCAGGAGTTCGTGACCAGCCTGGCCAATATGGTGAAACTCCATCTGTACTAAAAATACAAAAATTAGCTGGGCATGGTGGCATGCGCCTGTAGTCCCAGTTGCTCAGGAGCCTGAAGCAGGAGAATTGCTTAAACCTGGGAGGGGTTGGTTGCAGTGAGTCGAGATTGCACCACTGCACTCCAGCCGGGGCAACAGAGCAAGACTCCATCTCAAAAAAAAAAAAAAAAGAAGGTAAGTAACTAGTGGAGGTCACCATCGGCATCAAGATGACTGTGTGTTAAATAAGTAGATTCTAAGCAGTTACAAGGTAACGGAAGCAAAATGTCAGCATTTAATTTATTTTGCATAAATTATGGAGGGAGCAGCCAGGATCCCTGTGCAGTACAAAACACCCTCCTCCGATCAACGATGTCATGGTGCTGCTCTGCCGTAAGTGCAGATGGTGAAGGGTGTACCAGGACGGGCGGAGAGAGCGCCAGCCTCTCTCAGAGGACACGTTTCAGCTACAACTTCCATTTGGTGGGTTGTGTGATGAGAGTATATCTCAATGTCTCTGACTCTCAGTTTCCTTTTCTCTTGAAGCAAGAGAATATTCAATTATGCAAATATTTTTTCTACTCTTAAACGATTTCCATCCGTCTTGTTCAGATTTCTTTGAGGAAATCTGCAGAAATCTGCAACCTTCTAATAAAGTGCTTTTTCCAGTGGAACATTTTACATTTTCTTCACACACCAATGTGTGAAAATACCACTGCAGAGCACACTCATAGCTATCATCACGACAAAACCACATTTTAGACATAGAAAGTGTTAATGTCTGGTGAAAGAGTAAAAGAATCTTGGACTATTAAGAAAAGCTACAAGTATTCATGACATAAATTAGAAATATGTTCACCAAAAAAATTAACATAACATTGACACCTAAAACGGAAACTTTTAGTTCACTGTGAAACTTACTTAAAGGTCCTTTGACCCTAGATAGTGCCAAATGTTATACCCTCCAAAAAAGCCATTAAGTTGCTTATGTCTTACTTTTGATGTGTTCATTTTTGGCTACAGTTTTTTCAATATGTCAATTTTTGGCTACAGTTTCTCACCTAAAATGTCATAATTCAAAAGAATTACTTTTTAAAAAACCGTATCCCTGCTTTAATATGTTTTCCATTTGCCCAGTACTTTCCTAGGCTGTAGTAACTAAATGATGAGCGTCCACATTTGGTCAACCTATTGGTTGATTTCTTTTTTTGGGGGATGTACATATTTCTAGTTTGGAGACATTATAGATATTACTTTTATTTACTTTTAACTCATGTGCTCCAAATACTTTGGGTAGACAGGGATTTATTACCAGGCAGGATGTGAAGTTCTTGAAAGGGCTAAAGGAGCAGACCTTATGCTTGCTTTACAAGAACTGCTCTCAGGCCAGGACTCACACTGCCTCTGTGACCAGGAAAGCAGCTGCTGCCACTGGAGGAAACCTCCACAGATCCACAGTGACTCTGCCATGGCTGTTTTCTCATATGGCTGCTTTAGGACCTTCCTCCTCCTCTCTGCCTAACTTCGTTCTGAATTCAGTTCTGTCACACAGTGTGTCTCAGTCTGTTTGTACTGCTATAACAGAATTCTATAGACTGGGCAATTTATAAAGATCAGAAACTTATTTTTTCACAGGTCTGGCTTCTGGGAAGTCTAAGATCAAGGCAGCAGCAGCTTCCGCATCCAGGGAGGGTTGGGTCTCTGTGTCCACGATGGTGTCTTGAACTCTGCATCCTCTGGAAGGGAGTAACACTGTGTCTTCCCACAACAGAAGGCAGGGGAAGTAAACAGGAATGGTCTCCCTGTGTCAAGTCTCCTTATAAGGGCACCTAAACCTACTCATGAAGGAGGAAACTTCATGACCTAATGCCCTCTTAAAGGCCCCACCTCTTAATACTATCACATAGGCAACACCTAGATTTTGGAGAGGACATATTCACACCATAGCAAAATCTAAGTCATAATCAAGCCCTAACTGAAAGGAAGTCTAAGAAACAAGAAAAACTTTCTAAGCTCTGGAGGGCAATATACAGTAGGCCAGGGTTTCACACCCTCAGTACTATAGATATTTGGGGCCAGGTAATGATTTGTTGTGGAGAGCTGTACCTTTTAAGATGACTGACCCACTACACATCAGTATCCCCTGACTGTGACGCTAAAAATGTCTCCAGACGTTGCCAAATATTCCCTGAGGGACAAATCATCCCAACTGAGTACCACTGCATTAAACAGTGCTTTGCATTTTACAGATCACACCGCATTAGATAGTTATAAGATCAATCTTTTAAAAATATATAAAATAGAATAGAATGAGAAGAATATTATAGTGTATACGTTATACCATAAAACACATGACTCCACACATAATAGATAAGTACAGTTTCATAATATTTTTAATTCTGTCAATGTGTATGTATGTTTTTACAGGGCTTAATGACCAATATATTTCCTATTGTGAATATCAATGTATTTCATACTGTTTATGATAGTCAAAAAGTTTGCAAATAACTTGGTTAGAGCAAGACTGGAATGAAAGAAGAAGAAACCAGTTTACAGTATACCTAACAATACTTTTTACTCTAACCGTGAACAAAACACTCAATATTTTCTCCACCGATTGCTCTGTGTCATCTATATAGCATTCAGTGGTCTTGAACTTGCCCGTCTAATCTTTCTCTATACCACCATATTACATATAACCTCTCTTGCGTGGGATGGATGACAGATCTATTAACCCACAATTTTTATAAACTCAAGTATTTTCTTCACTAAATATTGACAAGATTATATGAAATGAAAAGATCATAAAAAAATAAATTGCAAAGCTTCATCTTACCTTATCCTTCTGGCTAAAACAGAAACCGTATTGTTAAAGGGTCTTTGTGGTGTTTTTGACTCACAAGCAAAAAAGCAAACATTCTCACACAAATTAAATCAGATTCTTTGGACTTTTCAGCAAATAATCTTTTAAAAAAGGCCTTAAAAAAGAACAATGAAGTTAGCTTTTATGCATAAGACAAATGTGCATATTGATGAATGTGCACCTAGGAACACATCTGGAAATACCTGAGGATAAGCCACAATGCAGACAATCTGTGCACATAATATAAACATAGCAATAATTAGAGGCCAGGCTATCCTGCAGGATAAGCTATGGCTATTGTACAAAAACAGAATAATGTTCAGAGGAGAATATAAATCAGGTTTCTTGGATAGAATCTTGCAAACACTAAATATTTTTTGAAACAAAGCATTTACATTGAATACATCAATTAATACTTGTTCATGACTAAAATGTTTTAATCTCTTAAAGGGTTTTGAAATTTCACACATCTCACAGGAGTCCACTGTTAAACAAAATTTGTATATTATGACACTTTTATTGAAGACAAAATGTTTTACTTATGCTAATGCATGATTAAACTTTATATTACAAAAATAAAACAATTATGTTGCAAATTCACCTAATGATTCTTCCCCAAGGAAGTTGATAGCCTCTACATAGTTTACTTTAAGGGTCAACAAAAATATCCTAATAATACTAAAGTGGTAAAGTTCAATTTATAGTGTGTACCAATGAAAACTTCTATAATATGGTAGTCACATCAGTTATACATTTAACACAGTATATGCATCAAGATAATCATTCTGAAAAGAATATTTTGTTATGAACAAGCTCTAATTTTTGATCATCAGAGGTTTTACATCATTCTTTTGTTTTATTCTTCTTGAACTTGTATTACCATCCTACTACTCCCACAGAATTTTATCCTAATTTATTATTTTTATTGATTCAAAGCATTTTAGTGATTACTCTATGTGATGGTTAATATTGAGTGTCAACTTGATTGGATTGAAGGATGCAAAGTATTGTTCCTGGGTGTGTCTGTGAGGGTGCTGCCAAAGGAGATTAACATTTGAGTCATTGGACTGGGAAAGGCAGACCCACCCTCAATCTCAGTGGGCACCATCTAATCAGTTGCCAGAGAAGCTAGGATAAAACGGGCAGAAGAATGTGGAAGGACTAGACTGACTGAGCCTTCTGGCCATATCTTTCTCCTGTGTGGGATGCTTTCTGCCCTTGAACATCAGACTCCAAGTTCTTCAGCTTTTGGACTCTTGGACTTACACCAGTGGTTTGCCAGGAGCTCTGGGGCCTTTGGCCAGACTGAAAGCTGTACTGTTGACTTCCCTACTTTTGAGGTTTGGGGACTCGAACTGACCCACTACTGGCTTCCTTGCTCCTCAACTTGCAGAGGACCTATCGTGGGACTTTACCTTGTGATCCTGTGAGTCAACTCTCCTGAATAAACTCCCTTTCATACATACATCTATCTTATTAGTTCTGTCCCTCTAGAGAACCCTGGCTAATACACTGTATTCTAGCCTCTGGAAAGAATGTGTATAAATTTTATCCAGTGATCATATGGCTCTGTAGTAATAAAAGAAATAAAAAAGCAAAACAAAACAAAATAAGCTTCTTTTGGGTTGAGTTAGTATTACAACTATTTTTGGAATTCAGTTAATTTAAAAAACAAATGTATTACAAATTTTGATGAGTAGTTTATGAAAGACATTTCTCAAAGTCTTGATTCTACATGACTTGCTTGTTCAAAGTCAACCTTCGCTTCCTATTAGCTGTGCTAAACTATTCTAAAAGGTTTAATGACCTTTTCTTCCCAACACAACAACTCCTCACTTGTATGGTCTTGCATGGAATAAATGTGTCTGTGTTGCATAGCCCCCACATTGAAACCACCTTGACAGAATTCACTGAATGCCAGAATTTCTCGATGACTGCATTTGTCACCAGGTCCTAAAGCCTCACACTTTGCAAGTTCATGTGTTAGGCCTCAAGGGATTCCAGAGTGAAACCCTTCCATTCTAGGGCTTGCTTTATGGCCATATCATCAAGTCTTGGCATGAATTTTTATCAATGGAAGCATTTTTCCTCGGTGTTTGCCTCTCTCTCCCTACCATGTGTTCCTTTAACACATTCTCCTCACTTAAGAGAAGAAACTTTCTGCAATCATAGGAAAAGATTTGCTGTCAGTTGACTGAGGCAGGACTGTAAATATCACCCCATAATTTCAAGTGAGAAAGATGAAATTAGAGCCATTTTCCACTCTCTCTTCCCTCTTGGGGCTAGTTTTAAGCAATATTGTGAAATAAATTTTCATCAGCTCCCAGGATTCCACTTCTGACTCTTGCTCTGTGGTCATAAACACAGCAACTTCTTAAGTTTTATTTTATAACTCTTCAAGCAAGTCAGTGTTTTGGAACAGAATGCCTAACTTAACACACATTGCCAATGCATTCAAGGAGTGCTGTGGCATGAATCTAGACGTAGAGATTGAATAATTGATGCTGTCTTGTTCTTTGCTACTTTAGATCTTCTGGTGGCGTAATTGATGCTGTGTTTATTGCTGGCTGCTTTGGTCGGATTTCTGGTGCCCATTTTATCCCACAGAAATGAGGTTGTAGCAGATGATTGCTAGTTTTGTAGGGAATGCTTTAGTTCTTGCCCGCCAAAATTTTGTCATAGCCGGGATCACTACTTGATGATGCCAAATTCGGGAAATTAACAAAAAGTATGATTGATAGACCAAATGAATATTGTAATTCCTGTCACCATTTTGGCTGGATGCTTTGAAGTTGTGTGCTATTAAAGTTGTAATTAAACTTCATCTTCTCAGACCATTTGACTGTTCTACTATGTCAGTAACTCTCATTCCTGGAATAGAGATGTGAGTAGCTGTGCCAAGACCCAAGGAGTTTAAATTTCTGGGTAGTTAAAAGAATGAGTCACTTTATCAGAGCCTGATTTTTCTGAATCCTGAAGGGCTTATCTTATCAAGAAAGAAAATCTCTTATGTGTAACATCTCCACCCTGGAAGAGGTCGGGGTGGGAAATCTCACCATCTAGCAAATAATTTTTTACATGATTAGAGAACCAACGTCTGGTAGTGTGTCTTCACTTATGTTAAATCATCTACTTAATATAGCTTAATTAACAAAAGTTTTTAAATGCCAGGCAAACTTCTAGACACGGTGAAGATAGAGAATATTAAAAATGTAGAAAAATGTAGAGTGTCTAGGGCCTTTGAGGTACTTGCAATTTATTTAGGAGACAGGTCATAAAATATGGAAAATTTGAATAGCGCACAAGCTATTAGGTTGGTGCAATTACTTTTGCACCAGCCTAATAATTATAACATGACTCAACAGTAGGAGGAATACAACTAGTGAGTATAGGCATTCACTAGTTAATTGCCAAATGGAAGATGCTGTCAGTTACTGCTTTGCTTTGACTCAACTTTGAACTAACAGAAAAACAGGCTGAATTAACCATCATATCTATCCAGCCCTTTTTGATGGCTAGAACACAGGCACAGTAGACAAAAGTACATGTTAAAGAATGATGTTATGTGCACTTGTCTATTCTGGTACTCCGTAAATGATGCTGTTTTTAGGCTGATAACCCTAACTTCTCAACCCAGCTCTGGAGTCCCTATAACAACAAGATCCCACTGGTTGCATTAAAAAAAAATCTCCTTAGAATCCAAGTCCAAATTTTAGGGAGGTCACGTCATGATTCTTTTGATGAATGAATACCAGCTGTTAGATATCAGATCTGAACAGAAGAAATGCTTATTAACACATTTTTCATTTGGGCTTTACTTTCCAATATTGAAGTACATACACTTTAATGAAGGATCAAGGTATAATGCAGCAAAAACCCTATGAGTTTCTATTTCTTCTTTAAGTGAAATTATCAAACCCTGGTCAAAAATTAGGAAATGTTATAAATCTCAGGAAGATTTTCACAATTTAAAAGACAAAGCATTTAAGGTCATGTCTGTGTGACACCAAATCATTGGGTGGAAATTTCAAATGATAATTTGGACACACACACACACACATACACACACACACACCACACACTTTATATATATATGTTAATAAAACACAGACACTAATGAAAAATCTGTCAGAGTGATGTTTCTGGTGTGAAAACTAGACTTTTGTACCTTTTTGATAGTTAATCTACTCCATTAGGAACAATATTCTGCAAAAACAGAAGGTAAAATTTACATATGGTATATTTATACAGGCACTATTAAAGTAAAGATAACTGAGACAGGTAACAGATAATATTGTCAACAATCGCATTAATAAAAATTAAAATTTCTTAAGACCGGTCTCTAAAAAAACCTCTTATCATATATATTAATTTCTTGGGGGAAAGGAAGAAGGAGCCAGTCAAACCTTCTGAAAATACAATATATAATATGACAAAAAGTTACATGTGGGCTTCAGATGGCAGAGGATTAGGGCACCACATGTTTCTCCATGCGCTTCCTTATCTTATTGTTGATTTCAGATGGTTGCACTACAGAATGCCCAGAGTCCTGATTAATTCTGAGTCTTGGGCTTCTCCTGTTTCTGCGTGAAGACATGTCTATGGCCTAAACACGCCTATGGCCTCTCTGTAATTCCTCCAGGATTTCTCTTCCATCATCAGCAGCACTAAGAAGGGAGGGCACCCTTACTCTGTACAGATGCAGCCCCTTGTCGCCAGAGGACACCATCAGTAATAAGCAGGGTTTACTATGAGGATATACACAGGAGACATCTAATCTGGCCTGGTTGAACTGATCTTCTCAAAAGAGTCTCTAGACCACCCTTAACCAAAGCAAAAAATTCCTGTAGAGGTAGCTGGGACCAAGCTGCAAGCAGGCTGCTCTAGGATGCCATGTATTTGTGTTTTGGAGGGTATGTGTTGTATCGTCTTTGTAAATGAAACAGAGATGTTCTTCCCCCGACATACAGCTCCTGCTTTAGTTCTTCTGTCTTCACCTCCTCTTGGGTTTCTTTCTTTCCCTTTCCTATTGCTTCTTTTTTTTTTTTTTTTCAGAAATTTACTTTTGGTAGTGCCCAGAAGAAAAGAGAAGGGCGAAGAGATCCTTCCAATTTCATTTTTGCTTCTGAAAAAGACATCCTTTTTTATGCTGTGATTTTATGATGTTGTGTCTATGTTTAATTTTTTTGGAAGTTGACTAGCGTAATATAATATTTCTTTTAAAAAATCACTCATGTCATGTGGAATCAAGAGAAAAGGAAATGGAAAATATTGGAAAGGAGAGGGATGGAAACTGTTTCTTGCCGTAGGCATCTTTTAGCTTGTTATTCAATTTCTGTTCATTGAGTAACTAAGAAAAATAAACACTTTTATGTTTCACTTGGCCTTATAGGTGGTCTCTTATAATACAGAAGTGCCATTGCTGGTGCATTTTCTGCTTCTTATTTCATAAAAAAGTTACATGTGGGCTTTAGATTGCAGAGGATTTGGGCACCACTTTTCTTCATGCACTTCATTTTCTTATTGTTGATTTCAGATGGTTGCACTGTAGAACTCCCAGAGTCCTAATTAATTCCGAGTCTTGGACTTCTCCTGTTTCTCCATGAAGATACTTTTAAATTCCTGTTTTACTGCTGTAAAAAGTACAGTGGCAAAATGCTCACCCCATTCTAATGAGACACTCTAAAGCACCTTCACACCTTTTCTCTAACACGCATCCAAAGCTGAGAAGCTCTCCTCTAAACACTGCATCATTTTGACCCAGTTAATTTCTAGATTTTTCTTAAGGAAAGCATTCATGCAGCAAAGGGGAATTAGAAAATGACCCAGATGACTCAGAGAGCAACACCAGTAGAATCGGTAGCCAGGTATTTGCAATTCTACATTATAAAAAATCTTCCACATTCCATGACTTTCTATTTCTATTGGTTCCTCCTTAGTTTAGGCAAATTCCTAAATTTGAGCTTTACTTCTCAAAGTTGAAATATGATACTCTGATAAAGATATAGTGCAGCAAAACATTATGTATTTGTATTTCATCTTTAAATGAAGTTTGCAAATGACTAATCATCATTAATAATCACAGTGAGTGTCTCCTTAGTATGGGATGAACATATTGCCAGTGTACTTTTTGCAGCAACAAAACAGGAAAGTTAAAAGTGTTCTCATGCAGAAACAAGAAAAGGCCAAGACTCAGAATTAGTTATTTTCTCTTTATTAGAGTAGCTGTACTTCAGTTTTAGGAAATAAAGCCCAAATGTAAGAATTTGCCCAATTCCTAATTCAGATTCCTGCAAAAAACTGCTCTGACTGCCATTTTCACATCCAATCCATCTCCCTCACTTGAAGACGGTGTGATTTTTTATATTGAAAATATAATTACGTTACCTTCAAGAAAGGAAAGCAATGTCTTCTCATTGTTCTTAGTTTTACAAAGTTGATATTTGTAATACATCTGCCCTCTGTCTGTTCTTCAGCCTCACATTTGGCAAACTTCTTTCAAGTCTACCTAATTCTTTTTGGACTACAACTGTTTAGCCTCTGAATGTTCACCCTCTGCCTACACTGCTCCCCTTCTGCAGGCTGACGGTCCTCTTCTCAATGTCTCCATAGCATCCTCTTCCATCCCCATTACAGCCCTCATCACATTTTACTGTAATTACTGCAGGACTCCTGTCTCCACTGGTAGGAAGCTCCATGAAAGCAGGGGCATTGTCTGCCTGACCTCTTCTGGTTTTACAGCATCTCACAAAGGGAGTGGCACAGAAAAGAAGTTGGATAACTATTTTCCAATTAATGGATAAGTAAATGCTAGATATCCATATCATGACTTACTGGCAGAACACAACATCAGCTACAAGGGAGTCAAATTGCCAACTACCTAGAATGAAGAAGAAATTGAAAAACAAACACGTTTTTGCTGAGATCTAAATTCAGGCTGGAACTGAAGGAAAACAGCTTCCTTCCTTAAGCCAATCCCTAAGGAGAAATGGATTGGCCCAGGGAGAGCCAGCCTTGCTTATCTGTTAGACATCAGGGTGGATTTTTCGGCTAAGCTTATAGCAGCTAAGCTTAAACTGCTTCCCAATTTATGTTTTTACCCCCAAACTCCTAACACTAAATCACAATTGTCTTCTTAGGTACAACTGGCTAAGAGTGTGTTAAAGATGGATATGATTCATGACTGAGAAACGTCATGAGGAGACAAAGAGACCATGCAAGTGTTCTGAAACCATTGTGCGAAGAAGAGAAAAGCTTCCATCCACTGGGCAGTGGCACCAGAGTTTGCAAATAATTGCACACAAAGGGACTTCTGTTAAGGATTACTCTCTGGAATTTTGCACTAAATTCCCAAAGCATTTTCCTTCTAACATTTTGTGATTTGGTTGAACAAGTGGTCACCTTACCCACAACCTTCATGATATCAGAGATCTCATTCATGTCTGCTGTCATTACTTCCAGCCTAAAGAATCCTAATCTTTTCAGTCTTTCCTGAATACAGTAGTTGCTCAAAACCTTTAATCATTTTGGTTGTCCTAAATACTCCCAATACTGTTAAGGGCAACAAAACACCTTGTTTTACCTTTCATTTCTTGACAATTTAGGACCTAACATTTTGATTTGTAAGAAGCCAAGATATTTTCATAATTCATTTTTTCTTATGTAATCTATGTCTACATATTAGAATAGCTTCACCAAGGTGGGTAAATTGAAGAAATCTGTACCACAAATATAGGAATATAGTATGTTTTCTTAACCTCAATTATTGCTTCCTTGCATTAATTAATTAATCCATGCATGTAGGCACTAGTAAAATTAGTTAAAAATAAATTTAAATTTATTATAATTCATCACTTTTTTATTTTTTTTCACAGAGTCTCGTTCTGTCACCCAGGCTGGAGTGCAGTGGTGTGATCTCGGCTCACTGCAAGCTCCGCCTCCTGGGTTCACGCCATTCTCCTGCCTCAGCCTCCCAAGTAAATGGGACTACACGTGCCTGCCACCACGCCCGGCTAATTTTTTGTATTTTTAGTACAGACAGCGTTTTACCATGTTAGCCAGGATGGTCTCTATCTCCTGACCTCGTGATCCACCCGCCTCAGCCTCCCAAAGTGCTGGGATTACAGGCGTGAGCCACCACGCCCGGCCTTATCACTTGGTTTTAACACTAACAGGACTTTCGGTTTTTTGGAGAATACATCAGAGCAAGAATATAGTCAATTTTATTTACACTCATAATATAAACTGTTCCCTATATTTTAGAATTTCAAGGTACTGGCAAAAAAAATCATTTGGTTCAAAACTATTAAGCCAAGATTCCTAGATTAATCACTTACCATTTGAGATACTATATTAAAAAGCTCTGCGAAATGCTTACTTAGAAATTAATATAAAAACATATTAAGTATTCCTAACCACCCACATATGTTTCTCAGCTTTTTTGCTCCTAGAGGCATAATTGTTAAATCCATGTAGTTTAATGAAGAAATCCATATCATGAGATTGTCCATAGAAACAAACCTAAGGGAAAAGACATCCCACCAATTAACTTTGAGGTTGAAATGAGAGTGTTGATTATCTGCTGAAGTAGAGTCCTACAGTGAAGAAGAAGTATTTCAAAGAGGTACAAGGAAAACATAACCTATTGTAGATATAACTTGGGACCAAACAAGCCAGCAGCCTAAAGCTCTAGTTTTCTTGGCTACATAATCCCAAAGATAAATGTACCCTATGGGAAGTTGTTGAACACTGGTCAACATATTTCAGCTTAATATGATCAGTAAATATAGTTTTGATCTCTCTTTACTTATCAAAAACCTAATAATAACATCTACTACTTAGTTCTTAATACTCTCTGAGCACAGTTTCATTATCTTCCTTTATCCTTACGATGCAAAGATGTAGGTACAGTATCATCCCGGTTTTACAGATAAGAAAATGGAGAGTCACAGAGGTTGATAAATTTCTCTTTTTCACACAACTAATCTCAAGAACCCAAGTGTGTTTACTTGCAGCGATTGAGCTCTTAAGCACAATGCTGTACTGTGGCCTCATGAATTCATTCTTGCAATAAGTGTGTATTGTGCATCTATTTCCAGTCAGACACTGATTTCAAAATATGTAATTTTTACAAAGAATTATGCTAGTATTTATCATGTGGAACATTTTAATACTTTATTGATGGATTATTTTTATATAAAAATGATTTCAGTATTAAAATATTGGCCACCCTGCCTCTGATCACACTGCATACATTTTTTGCTAGTTCATTTCAGGTAATTGTTATTGCTGCAAGTTCACTCACAGTTCCTGAGCATCTGCTTTGTGTTCTGGAATGCTATGTCTGTGGCTACAGCAAACAAGTCTCTACCCTCACAGAACCTACTGTGGAAGATGAAGACATGAAACACGGTGCCACCTTAGGGTGCCAAATGTGACAGGAGAGGGGAAGAACTACAGCACATTCGGAATTTCCACAGGAGAGGCCTCAGCCAATCAGGGAAGGTTTACAGAAAACAGGAGGCCTAGGCCAGGGGCAGTGGCTCACACTTGTAATCCCAGCACTTTGGGAGGCTGAGATGGGTGGATCACCTGAGGTCAGGAGTTGGAGGCCAGCCTGGGCAACATGGTGAAAACCCCGTCTCTACTAAAAATACAAAAATTAGCGGGGCCTGGTGGTGGGCACCTGTAATCCCAGCTACTCGGGAAACTGAGGCGGGAGAATCGCTTGAAGGGAGGTGGAGGTTGCAGTGAGCCGAGATCATGCCACTGCATTCCAGCCTCAGTGACAGAGTGAGACTCCGTGTCTAAATAAATAAATAAAAACAGGAAGCCTAAGAAGTCAGCTGGGTAAAGAGGGTTGAGTAGAGAAGAGAAAGTGAGAGGCCTGGGGTGAGTGAAAGCAGGCACATCCGGAAAAGGAAAGAGTTAGAGAAGACAAGACTGCAGGGTGATGGGGTGCAGAGACAGACACACAGGAGGCAGCCATTGAGAGCCAGGCTTCGGCACTGTGCATCAAGCTGAGACTAGACCAGTGGTCTTGAAATGTCTTCATTCATTCACTCTCTAAAGGAATTTTGGAAAACTCTACACTCATTGTACAGTTTTAAAATTACAAATTTAAAGAGTTATACCTTGTTCCCTTGCTTTATTATTTTTTAAAAAATAATAACTGGCCAGGCGCAGTGGCTCATGTCTGTAATCCCAGCACTCTGGGAGGCCGAGGCAGGTTGATTGCTTGAGGCCAGGATTTGAGGCCAGCCTGGCCAACATGGCGAAACGCTGTCTTTACTAAACATACAAAATTTAACCGGGCATGGTGGTGACACCTGTAATCCCAGCTACTCAGGAGGCGGAGGCACGAGAAATGCCTGAATCCAGGAGTTGGAGGTTGCAGTGAGCCGAGATCGCATCACTGCACTCCAGCCTGTGTGACAGGGTGAGACTCTGTCTCAAAAAAATAAATAAATAAAAAATAATAACTGATCACTTGACTTGAAAGATGTGGAGTTTAGTTAACTTATGCTTCACATTCTATAATGCTTTGTAAGTCTGTGTGTGTGGGTGTGGGTGTGTACAGGCATGTGCTTGTGCTTTCCTTTTTCTTTTGCTTATACCTGTTTCTTTGTTTGTTGTGTTTGTAATTATAACTAATACTTTTGAATGTCTATTTATGATCCACCAAATTCCTAAGCCATCCTTGAATGCCTGTTTATAAGCTGAGGGTGTCAGCACCATACATTTGTTATATCCCAAATTTCTCTAAGCTCCACTTTTCATGAGGATAATAATATCTACATTTAACAATCACAACCAAGGTCCCTGTGCTTTGCCTGTGAGCTAAAAATTGAACATGAAGAATGTCACACTGTCATGATTGCATAGACATTGGTCCATGCTGGTCTAAACACTGTGCTAAGACTAAGTTGCCTTTTCACGGGGTCCAGTGTAGACTTGAATCATGTAAAAAGAGTGCATTTGCCTTTCATAGACGCCTCCAGGTGTTTACAACCATGTTGCTGCTACTTTGCTTAATATTTCAGCCATGTAGTTGCTAAACAATTATTTGTTTCTCCTCGAGTTTCTAGTTCTTTTTTCTCCATTATTTACCCCATTTATTTTTTCTCAAAACAATAATTAAACCTTCCTACTGCTAAGCAGCTGTCACCGTGTGACTTCTCTTCAACACTCCCCTGTTAAAATTGAGGAACCAGGCTGAGCTTGCTAGAATAGTAGAACATCCAGCAGGAATTTAGAATATGCTAGGGTGGGCTTCATGATCAAGATGATATCTGAAGTGAAATATTTGCAGGTTATTGAATGTAGAAACTTATCAGAATTGTGGAAACAATTATGATATTAATATTGTCTATGTATGAACTGAATATCAATTGAGTTGTTTCTTCATGGTTCAATAACATTGGGCTTATATCAGAAGGTACTGAATGCAAATAATTTAGTCTAGAAAACAATGTTAATCACTTATATTTTAAATTTTAAATATTCTTTATTTATAAAATACATTAATCGGCTTTTATAAAACAAGTGTTTATTTGGTTTCCATTATGAAATGCTGCAGTTTTAAATGTTGATTTTTGGTCAGGCACGGTGGCTCACGCCTGTAATCCCAGCACTTTGGGAGGCCAAGGTGGAAAGATCACAAGGTCAGGAGATGGAGACCATCCTGACTAACGTGGTGAAACCCTGTCTCTACTAAAAATACAAAAAAAAATTAGCCAGGCTTGGTGGCAGGCGCCTGTAGTCCCAGCTATTTGGGAGGCTGAGGCAGGAGAATGGCATGAACCCAGGAGGCGGAGCTTGCAGTGAGCTGAGATTGCGCCACTGCACTCCAGCCTGGGCAATAGAGTGAGACTCCATCTCAAAAACAAAAAAAAGTTGATTTTTTCAAGTGTATATTTACGTAGTATACATTATTTAATAATTTTTCTTCCTATTTACACTGCGTATCTCTCTCTTTCTCTCTCTCTCTCTCTCTCTATATATATATTTATATTTATACATATAGAAAAAAATGGAATAAAATTAATTCCCTTCCAGACTACAATATTCATAATGTCACCTAGGCTCTCTCTGAATAGGCATCCATGAACACACATCTCTTAGCTCACCTTTGCCTAATCTGAAATAATATGTAATAAATGCATTTCATATATATACAGTACAATTATTTACGGTTTTAGTTGTAAGTTCACTTAGGCTGCTAACAGGCCAACTTCATAACTGCTTCAGATGAAGAGTACTTCTAAGAATTTGTATTTTATCACAAAGTCAAGGGTCTTTTCTACATTTCTTGTATATAGAAAATATTTTAATATTATCTGGATCTTTCATATAAAATTTAAGGTTAAAATTTTCTTTTGTTTTACAGTGAGCAGGAAAAGAAAACTCAAATGACAAGACTAAGAATATAAGACAACAATCTCCTCTGTAAATAGTGGAAGCAGCAACATTGCATGTATTTCCAAACTCATTAGAAACTATTCTAGAGGTCATAGACAAGAAGTAAATTATAAACTACGATAGAATGCAATAAGTCTATGGACCTGTAATTATATAGCATATAAAAGGTATATGTCTTTATACTCATTTTAGAAGGCACTTAAATACATAGAGAAGCTCCAAATTAATTTCAGTAAGTATTACTATTTCTCAATATTAATTGAAAGTGATCTGGAGGTGAATCTTAAAGAAGTTACTTGAGTTCAAATTGTAATTAAAATGTTTCTGTCAGGCTTAGCAAATCTTACCATGAATGAGTAGCAAGAGAAAAAGTATTTAATAATATGCAATATTGAAACTGAGCTGACAGGTTCCTGACAAGCAGTTTCCAGGTAGTTCTAATTTCATGTATTTAAAACCCACAGTTTTTTTTCCATGGCTAATCAGATGTAAAACCATACGCAAATATGATGAGGCAATTAATGCTATCTCTATCTTTGTTGACAATTTTGAAGCAAGATATAAAGAACAAATTATTCCAAGCCTGCCTTTCACTTTGCATTTAGAAAAGAACTAGGTTACTGAAGTGAACATCTTTTCATGATGCCAAATTTAGCACAAAAATTGGGAGTTTATTTGGTATAGAGCAGGCGTAATTATTCCACCAGTTTTCATTATATTACTGTTGTTTGCATTTTTTATAAATGAGAAGACGATTTGGTTGTAATTACATCAACTTTATCAAAACTTCTAGCACGTAATTAAGAGAAGTGAACATTCTTTAGACATTGAAGAACATTATATTTTTTAAATAAATTGGAAGGTATTAATTACCATTTATATAATAGAGTATACCAATCAAGTTTGTTTGTTTGTTTTTTGAGACGGAGTCTCGCTCTGTAGCCCAGGCTGGAGTGCAGCGGCGCGATCTCGGCTCACCGCAAGCTCCGTCTCCCGGGTTCACGCCATTCTCCTGCCTCAACCTCCTGAGTAGCTGGGACTACAGGTGCCCGCCACCATGCCTGGCTAATTTTTTGTATTTTTAGTAGAGACGGGGTTTCACTGTGTTAGCCAGGATGATCTCGATCTTCTGACCTCGTGATCTGCCCACCTCGGCCTCCCAAAGTGTTGGGATTACAGGCGTAAGCCACCGTGCCGGGCCAATATATTAATCACTTTAAAATTTCCAGTGTTCTGGCTAAATACATAGTTTTGTTTTGGGATATGTATGAGAGACACCACAGTCCCCATAATCTATCTGTACCATGGATAAGTCTAATGGCCTTTCAATTGTGTAGGCAACTGTTCATTTCTTAAATTCATGTTTTAATTGGCTTTACTACAAAACACTATGATATAAATTCAAGTAACCTACCATGAAGTTCTCTGAAATTGAAAAATATGTCTCATGAAGACATGTTTTAAATTCACATGTATAAAAAATGAATTGTACTTTTAATTTATTTATTCAGTGATAAGAATTAAGTACATGTCCCTTAGCAGGTTCTCATTCAGGTAGTTTGCATATGTAAGTAAACCAAGTAATCAACAATCTTTCTTTTATAATGCTCACATTCTAGAGGTCATAGACAAGAAGTGAATTAAAAGCTATGAGAGAATGCAGTAAGTCTATGGAAAGAAATGAAGAGTAGATCAGCGTACTGGGTTTGGATGTGCAAAATGGGGCAGATTGCAGTGCTAGCTGGGGTACCAAGCCCGAAATGATGCCATAAGAACAAAGGCTCTAAGGAAGGGAGGGAGTTGAGCAGGACAAAAGAGGGTTTGTGGGCAGAGAAAAGAATAAGCCTTCAGGTGAGAGAATGGCTGGTGTGTTCAAAGAATCTCAGGAAATCAGTGTGTCTGGAGCCAAATGAGCTTGGAGAGGAGTATTAAGGGATGAGGTCATAGATAGATAACTGTGGCCCAGATCCAGAGGATCTTGTAGATCATCCTAGGGACTTTGGCTGTTATTTGGTGTAAAATGAGCAGCCATCATAGAGTTTTACAGAGAAGAGTGTCATGATTTCATTAATGTCTTAGAAGAATCATTCCGGCTGCATTATTGAGAAAGATTGCAGTGCAGCTGTGATGGAGCTGAGAGAACAATGAGGAGGTAATTATATTGCTGCTGGTAGCTTTAGGTTAGAGCAGTAGTAGGGGAGGTGAGAGCAACATGGAGAGGCTGGAAAAACTTTGAAGGCAGAGCCAGCAAGAGTTCCTGTAGGATTGCCTGGCTGTGTGGGAGAGAGGAGTCGGAAATGAGTCCACAGATTTTGGCTTGAGAAATTAGAAGGATGAATCCCATCTCTTCAATCGAGAAGGAGCGGTTTGTAGGTAAAGGAGTTTGGGGTGGATTTATCGATAACCCAGTCTGGACATGTTAAGTTTGAGAATTTTATTTTACATTCAATTGATGATGCAAGTGGATGTAGGAGTCTGGGTTTCTTAAAGACATCTGGGTTGGAGATGTAAACAATGAGGATATCTTGGCATATGGATGACATTTAAAACTAATACGACTATCCAGGGCCTTATGGGGTGTCTAAAGAAAAAAGAAAAAAATTAAAATAAATAGATGAATAAAACTTACTGACCAAATTTAATGACCAAGGATAAGGGCCAAGGATGAAGTGCTGGGACACTTCTCTATAAAAGGCAGAAGGTAGAGGAGGACCCAAAAAATGAGGCTGAGGGAGGGCATTAATGTGACTGAAAGAAAATCATGGATGTGTAGGGCCCTGGAGGCCTGATGAAGAGACATCAAGGAAAAGGGAGTGAACAATTTGGCCAATGCTCTTCATAGGTCAAGAAAGATGAAAATGGAGACGCGACTATAGACTTAATGATGGAGAGGTCACTGTTGATCTTGATAGGCACAGTTTTTGGAAAATGATGGAGGTGAAAGTCAAATTAAAATAAAATTCTACAAAATTTTTATTTTCCTTTAAGATTTAATGACTGTGTTCATCTTATACCATTGGGGATTAAATCCTTCCTCTTTTCCATAGAACACAGAACAATTTAATAAAATTGAAGAAATTGCTGACCTTACAGTTATTGTTATTTTATGAACAATGGTAATTGCTCATTCATCTGTTTTTTTTTGGAGACAGAGTTTCGCTCTTGTTGCCCAAGCTGGAGTGCAATGGCGTGATCTCGGCTCACTGCAACCTCCACCTCCCGGGTTCAGGTGATTCTCCCGCCTCAGCCTCCCGAGTAGCTGGGATTACAGGCATGTACCACCATGCCAGGCTAATTTTCTATTTTTAGTAGAGATGGGGTTTCTCCATGTTGGTCAGGCTCGTTTTGAACTCCTGACCTCAGGTGATCCACCTGCCTCAACCTCCCAAAGTGCTGGGATTATAGGTGTGAGCCACCAAGCCCAGGCTTCATTTATCTTTTTTACTTTATATACATACAGAACTCCACTCCTGCAAGTAGATATGCTGTTATAAGATCTCTCAAGAAGTGTGGTCCCTCTGTGAGGTCCAGTGTTACTTGAATTTGGGCTGGTGTTTTTGTTTTGTTTTGTTTTCTGATGTATTCCCAAAAGTTTTAGAACGAACCGTAGCTGCCCTACCAGACTATGCTCTTACTAAATGATAAGCTTGGACTCTATTCTAAAATGAAATTCTTATAAACAGAAAGTATAACATCTTGTGTAAAATGATGCATAGTGAGAGTCATGTTCAAAAATAAAATGAGTAGCTAACTTCTGAAGACATAGAAGACTGAGCTGATATTTTCTCTCTCTCTCTCTCTCTCTGTATAGAGAGAGCTAAAAGCTGAAATAGGTAGAGGAAGTCAAAGCCTGCAAGGCACAGAGCATAAGAGCATATGGATCATATAAAAGGGGTAGAAGCGCCAACCTTGTCTTTTTTTTTTTTTCAGACTGTCTCACTCTGTCACCCAGGCTGGAGTGCAGTGGCATGATCTCAGCTCACTGCGACCTCTACCTCCTGGGTTCTAGCGATTCTCCTGCCTCAGTCTCCTAAGTAGCTGACACTACTGGTGCACACCACCATGTCTGGGTAATTTTTGTATATTTAGTAGAGACGGGTTTTCCCCATGTTGGCCAGACTGGTCTTGAACTCCTGACCTCAAGTGATTCGACTGCCTTGGCCTCAAAAAGTGCTGGGATCATAGGTGTGAGCAACCATGCCCAGGCTCTGACCTTGTCTTCTAATGCTCCTGTAGGAACAGAGGACATGGCCCTCTGTAAAAGGAGGGAGCTAGGACTCAGCCTCCCCGCCAATACAGCAGGGACTTCCAAATGTTACTTTCACGTAAAAGCTAGGAAACAATGCCCAGTCATCTGAAGAAGCAGCTGGAAATCTTGCTGTCTATGTGGGATTTGAAGATGGGAAATGCCTCATACCCCTAGGCTCAAGTGATCCTGCCTCAGCCTCCCAAGTAGCTGGGACTATAAGCATGCACCACCATGCTCAGTTATTTTGTTTGTTTGTTTGTTTGTTTCTGTTTTTGTGTTTTATTTTTGTGGAGATGGCATCTCACTATGTTGCCCAGGGTGGTCTCAACCTCCTGGCTTCTAGTAATCCTTCCTTGGCCTCCCAAAGCACTAGGATAACAGGTGTGAGCCACTACGCCTAGTGAGAAATGCAATTATTTTCTATGTGGATTTTACCAAGGTTCTTTTTTGTGTGTGTGTAATTTTTTTCTTTTTTGGTGACTAATTCAAAACTCGCTCTGTCGCCCAGGCTGGAGTGCAGTGGCATGATCTCGGCTCACTGCAACCTCCGCCTCTCTGGTTCAAGTGATTCTCCTGCCTCAGCCTCCCAAGTAGCTGGAACTACAGGCGTGCACCACCATGCCCGGCTAATTTTTTTGTATTTTTAGTAGAGACGGGGTTTTACCATGTTGGCCAGGATGGTCTCCTCTCTTGACCTCGTGATCCACTCACCTTGGCATCCCAAGGTGCTGGGATTACAGACCTGAGCCACCGCATCTGGCCAAGATTCTTAACATTAAAATTTATACGACATTTTGTTAGTTAGAAAGAAGCTTGCAGCTCTAAGAATCTCAAATTCTCAGTGGTGTTTAATAATAGAGTACATTCAGCCGGGTGCAGTGGCTTACGCCTGTAATCCCAGCACTTTGGGAGGCCGAGGTGAGCGGATCATGAGGTCAGGAGATCGAGATCATCCTGGCTAACACGGTGAAACCCCATCTCTATTAAAAAATACAAAAATTAGCCAGGCGTAGTGGCGGGCGCCTGTAGTCCCAGCTACTGGGAGGCTGCCGCAGGAGGATGGCATGAACCCAGGAGGCGGAGCTTGCAGTGAGCGGAGATTGCACCACTGCACTCCAGCCTGGGCGACAGAGTGAGACTCTGTCTCAAAAAGTAATAATAAAATAAAATAAAATAAAATAATAGAGTTCATTCTTGCTCACGTCACACCCCTGTGAACTGGTGGAGCTCCAGCATGGGCAGTCACCCTAGGATCCAGGCTTCTCCCCTTCAGAGGCTCCTCTATTCATAAGGGGCCTGGAATCCACATCCAGATTTTCTGTATTCAGCTCTCAAAGTAAGGAAGAAAGGAGAATGTGAAGGATGTGTACACATGCATCAGGGTCTGTATGTCACTTTGCGCCACATTCCACTGGCCAACACTGAGCCACAAGGTGATGTCTGCAAAGGACATGAGAAATGTAATGCAAATTATGCCCCAAAGGAAGAAGGGCCAATATGTGAACATTTACCTAGTCTCTGCCACACTTTATTTGATTTATTTTATTTTATTTATTTTGAGGTGGAGTTTCCCTGTTGTCGCCCAGACTGGAGTGCAATGGTGCAGTCTCAGCTCACTGCAACCTCCACCTCCCAGGTTCAAGCGATTCTCCTGCCTCAGCCTCCCGAGTAGCTGGGATTACAGGCATGCGCCATTATGCCTGGCTAATTTTTGCATATTTAGTAGAGACGGGGTTTAACCATGTTGGCCAGGGTAGTCTCGAATTTCTGGCCTCATATCATCCTCCTGCCTAGGCCTCACAAAGTGCTGGGATTACAGGTGTGAGCCACCACGCCCGGCTCTGCCACTCTTTTAATTCTGAGGGAAATTGGTTTTCATCCTAGAATGCTATGCCAAGCCATACTATAAATTTAAGCTGATAATAACTAATTCATAGAAGCTTATAAGGCCTTTAAAATTTTACTCTTGGAAGACATGTTTCATGAATGAAGAAGTAGAGCAAAATAGAATAATTCCTGTATGTAATACATCCACTACATACAGAATACGAAAAGCAAGGGGAATAGCTGAATGATGGTGAAGGAAAATTTATGATGACTCTGGTGTAGCAGGTTTAGAGAACAATCAATAAAAATTGGGGCAGGAGAATGGAAGGTGCCTGCAAGAGGTATTCCTTTTTTTTGAGATGGAGTCTCGCTCTGTCGCCCAGATTGCCCAGGCTGGAGTGCAGTGGTGTGATCTCGGCTCACTGCAAGCTCTGCCTCCCGGGTTCATGCCATTCTCCGGCCTCAGCCTCCTGAGTAGCTGGAACTACAGTTGCGTGCTGCCACGCCCGGCTAATTTTTTGTATTTTTAGTAGAGACAGGGTTTCACCGTGTTAGCCAGGATGGTCTCGATCTCCTGACCCTGTGATCTGCCCGCCTCAGCCTACCAAAGTGCTGGGATTACAGGCGTGAGCCACCGCGCCTGGCCAAGAGGTATTTCTTATTTAAAATACACACACACATATATATATATATAATTATATATAGTCACTGAGTTCTCTCCCTATGTGTTTAAATTTTACAGTTTTTGCAACGTGATAAGTGAAAGAGTAAGATTAAAAATAGCTAAGCAAACTAATTAAGAAATTTGTAAGCATGGAAAAGTGCATAGATATACAAGAAAGGAAATGTGATCATGGTGTAATATACGGCTTAGCTGTGAACAGTATTTTCATAGTCATAAGAATGTGAGCCACTGAACATAACCATTGACCAAAATGTTGTCAATAGCAATATTGAGAAACTAGAGAAAAGTGTGTGTGTGTGTGTGGGGGGGGGGGTGTGTTTGGGGAAAGATCTCATTGTGAAATGCTGAATCCCCATATATATACGTTAATTGAAAGGCACAGGTAATTATTTCTGTTCTTTACCTTCTTTGGTGACTAAGTCACAACTGATTACAGCCTTGGATGAAACCCAATTAATACCTAATCAGAGCTACTTCATAACTGGCACCTATGGCACTTACTTAGACATTCTTATAAGAAGAAAATGCTGAGAGCAGAAGAAATTTACACAATCACCATCAGTCATTACAAAGAACTGTTGATTTTGCGATGTAATCGCTTTGTAAAATGTAATATTGATTCCATCTGTTGTTTTAGTGCTTTGTCCTTGAGCCAAATACTGATAAACGTGTTCGTGTTAACAGGCCAGTTTGGGAACTCAGGATCCCAGTTGATCCTAAATGCTGCTACCAGGAAAGAGACTCCAAGAGGGACAAATTGAGTAATGATTGGTTTGTTTTTAATAACCTCAGATGGTAGGAGTATACCCCAACTGTGTAAAACTCTGGCCAAAATCAGACTTGAAGTGGATTCTTTCTTTAATCTTTGAGTGTGTGCGTGTTTTGAGAGAGGGGTCATAACAATTATGGAAAAAGACTCAAGCTTAACTGTGAGTCAAGCTCATTTTGATAGTAATTTGAGGAAAACTCAGTTGGATTGGATTACCCTCCTCCTTAAAAATCTTCAAATTAAATTTGCAAGATAAAAAGTCAAAGACATTTGTAACATTATTCTATGATGTTTTATAAAAATATTTTAAAATATCAATCTTGACATAAAAACATACTTCTGAAACTTCTTTCACAGATTAAGCAAAAGAATAATTTATTGGATTTTGATTTGAATCCTAGATAAATATACTGGGTAATTTCATCCAGGACAAAAAAAAAAAAAAAAGACTAAAGTCGCCTTCGATACATTTTGCTAAGAAAAAAAATTGATCTCAATTAATTCATATTACTATTTAACTGATCTTAAAATGACAAAGCATTTTGTTTTACTTTCCTCAAGGGGAAAAACTGCATGTTTTACTGAATAGAACTTTTGACGAATTTGATGTAGTTCTATGTCACTATGAATCTTTGTAAAGGCTTATATCACTGTCCTTTGCAGTGTTTACATCTACTGCTAAACTAATAGTCTGCCTATAATATTAGCTTTATTTTGAATATAATATTTATATTCAGTAGCTCTTAACTGAATCATATTGACAATTATACTTAATCATTCACTCTTGAATTCTAATTCTTATAAAAACATATTTCTTTTTCTAAAATAATAAACACAAATATAACTTGCTTATAGAACTGTGAATATGAGACCTAATTATTCAATTTACAAAAAACAAACATTATCCATAGTCACTGATATTCTAAGATAATAATTTTAATATTTGATAAATAATAAATATATAAAAATTTAAATTTCTACACCTGTAATCCCAGCATTTTGGGAGGCCAAGGCAGGCGGATCACCTGAGGTCAGGAGTTCGAGACCAGCCTGACTAACACAGAGAAAACCTGTCTCTACCAAAAATACAAAAATTAACTGGGCGTGGTGGCACATGCCTGTAATCCCACCTACTCGGGAGGCTGAGGCAGGAGAATCGCTTGAACCCGGGAGGTGGAGGTTGCGATGAGCCGAGATCATGCCATTGCCCTCCAGCCTGGGCAACAAGAGCAAAACTTCATCTCAAAAAAAAAATTTTAATTTCTGTCTTAGCACAACCCAATCATATTCTCACTGAAAATCTGAAATCGTACTAATGCTTTAAAAACTCAATTTAATCCCAAATCAAAGGATTTATAAACTATGACTGGTATGTTATATTAATAAAAATCAGTGGATATGTGTTATAGCTACTAAAATAAGACTTCTTAAGCAGTTATCATCTTAAAAACTATACGTATTAAAATTCTGGGTAAAAAATATCTAGTGTGTGTAAAAGAGTTTGAGAATTAAAAAATAACTGAGAACATCCTAAGTGTCCTAAAATAAACTGGAAGCCTGAGGATTCTTTTCTTAAAAAGTCAAAGGAAATGATAGAGGAAGGAAAAAACAAGAAAGAAACAAAGTTACTTCTTTTGGAGAATAACTGATTTGAAGGATTAGAATAGTGTTACATAGTATGTGCTTATGTTTAACAAATATTTGCTGATTCCGGGAGCGGTGGCTCATGCTTATAATCCCAACACTGAGAGGCTGAGGCGGGTGGACTGCTTGAGCCCAGGAGTTCAAGACCAGCCTGGGCAACATAGCAAGGCCCTGTCTCCACAAAAAAATTAATTAATTAATTAAAAATACAAATAAAATTTGTTGCATAATGAAAGAAGGTAATACTACAGTGATGATTTATCTGAACTAAGCAGAAAATCAACTAAAAGAAAAATGGACTTTTATATATTATTAGATTCATAGAATGTTTCTCTACTAAGTAAGCTCTCACAGCTCATTATTTTACCTCTACAATAAATTCTGATCTGTTTGTTATAAAACCCCACTTGTAATTAATACCGTGGCTTGTTACCCACATGTTTTGCTCTGATTAATAAATTCCAATGTTAGTAGGTTCTCTTTGCCTACAATTTTCTGTAATAGTAAAATGCCTTAGGATTATGAGCAACATTAAGGCAGGTTGCCCCAAAATAAATCTCGCAGGAAAATTTGTCACCAACTTGCATTGACACACAAAACATAAATAAGCTCTTAAGACAAGGTAAACAGATTTTAAACTTAAAAACTATCTTGATAAACCAAGATTTTTACATTTTTCAGATAAGTTAGTTTAATTCTGCTCATTACACGTACATCAAAAAACATGTATTGAGTGCCTCTACTATGTAAGACTACGCTTGTTTCTAAGGATTAAAGGGTGATGGAGTTAGAGTCTGTGCATTTAAAGAACTCAATCTGTGTGACAAAGGCAGAGAAACAAGTGAATGAAGTAGAGCATGAGGAAGTTCTGAGTTAGACAGACATGCCCTAGACACACAAGGAAGGGTATAATTCATTCTGTTTGAAAGAAACCAAGAAAATCTCAGTGCAGATTTTTATCTGAGATTAATGTTAAAGAATAAGTAAAAAGTTGCCAGGTAGACAAGGTGGATACGGGAATTCAGGCAAAAAGAACATGAGTGGTGGCTTAGAATTGTGATTATGAAGTTAAAGATGAGTGGTTTTGTGTTGGGGGAATATGGTAGACTGATGACAGTACATGTTATATACTCAGCAAGAGAAAAGAAAATAAAAACAGAAAAGGCTTTATGTACTATAAAGAAATTTTCACTGCTAATTATACTTAGAAAACAGAATCAAAGACAACTTTTAAGGAAAGGAGTCACATAATTAAATCTCTAGATTGAAACATAGTGCTTTGGAGATGGGATTGGAAGAGGAAGAGAATGAGACCAGGAAACTCAGGCAAGAGACGATGGAGCCCAGAATTAGAAGAGCATCAGGGGATTGCAAAGAGGGATTGCATTTTGAAGACATTTTAATTAAAATACAGAAGATCTGGTGAATGACTTATAAGGACCAAAGAGAAGAAAGTACAGAGTGGTTTCATGTTTCCAGAAGGGCACTGTAGCAGTTAGCTTTTTCTGAGTAACAAAACACCTCAAAGCTTAATGGCTTAAATGACAATTTTTCATTGCTCATGAATATGCTGGTCAACAAGGCATTTCTGTTGAACTGGGCCTGGCTTGGCTGATGTTGACTGTGATCGTTTATGAATCTGCTATCAGTTGCTGGTCAGCTGACACCTGGTTTATCTTGGCAGCCTGAGTTAGACGGCTCACCTCTGCTCCATGTGGCCTCAGCCTTCAGCAGGCTAGTCCAGGCTTTTCCACATGGAGGCTGGGCAGGGGTTTGAGACAACTAAGAGAGTCATGCAAAGATAATAAATCTTAGGCTCAGAAACAGGATGTCATCATTTCCTCCACATCCTATTAGTGAGCACAAGTCACAAAGCCAGTCTGTTTACAAAGGGTGGGAAAATAGACTACACTTCTTCATGGGAAGAGCTGCAAAGCCACATTGCCAAGGGTTGCTGATTTAGGGAAGAGAAAAATTGCAGTCATTTTTGTAAACAATCTACTGCTGATGATAATGTTTTAATAGGAAAATAATGTACAGAAGCTGGGTTGGATTTGAAGGGAAATATAAAATATTTGAATATATTGAGTTTCAGGCTCTACTTGAGCATCTAGAAATACTCAGTGAGAAATAAATTCAGGAAAAGTAAAGTGACTTGCACAGGTTATGTAATTACTTTGAGATACATTGCACCTAGACCAAGGACTCAATTTGCAGTCCAACATTCTTTCAGCTAATCTGTTTTTACTTAATTGAAAAGATAATTCAGAAAGATCAAATGATCAATTCTCATTCATTCACTTGATTCATTATTTCTTTATTTTCTCTCTTCTTTCTTCTTTCCTTTCTCCTCGCTTCCTGCCTCCTTCCCTTCTCTCTTTCTTTCTTTCTTTCTTTCTCTTCAATGTTTAGTGAGTTCCTAATACATGCTAGATGCTACAGGCATGGATAAAAGAGTTAGATTTTATTTCAAATTGGTTACTGAAAACTAGACTACAATGTAATTAGTAAAGACACTGGACACCACCCTCACTTAGGAAGATATTTATCTGTTTTGAGCTTCAAGTTGGTGATGATCTAGTCAGCCAGCTTTATTTACCTTTTGGCAAATAATAGCATAAAGAAGCAAAGTGGGCCGAGCACGGTGGCTCATGCCTGTAATCCCAGCACTTTGGGAGGCCGAGGAGGGTGGATCACGAGGTCAGGAGATCGAGACCATCCTGGCTAACACGGTGAAACCCCGTCTGTATCAAAAACACAAAAAATTAGCCGGGCGTGGTGGCAGGCGCCTGTAGTCACAGCTGCTCGGGAGGCTGAGGCAGGAGAATGGCGTGAACCTGGGAGGCGTAGCTTGCAGTCAGCAGAGATCCCGCCACTGCCCTCCAGCCTGGGCAACAGAGCGAGACTCCGTCTCAAAAAAAAAAAAAAAAAAAAAAGAAGAAGAGTGAAAATTACTAATTGCAAAGTGCCTTTTGTGACTTAATTAAACATTCTACTCCAGAAACAGAAATTAGAATCTTTTGTGTGGTTGCTAATGAGTATGTGAAGCCTCTGTTGTAGTTGGTTAATCATAAGAAGCTGAGCGGGAGAGTGCTGCTGTTTACCACAATCATAATAGCTTTAAGATAAGCATGTTTAATATCTCAACTAAAACAGTTTTGAGAAGTGTGATGTTTCATTGGCTGAGGTATGATCTCTGTTTTAAAAAACAAAGATCAACCAGGCGCGGTAGATTACACCTGTAATCCCAGCACTTTGGGAGACCTAGGCAGGCAGATCACGAGGTCAGGAGATCAAGACCATCCTGGTTAACACGGTGAAACCCTGTCTCTACTAAAAATACAAAAAATTAGCCGTGTGTGGTGGCGGGCATCTGTAATCCCAGCTACTCCGGAGGGTGAGGCAGGAGAATTGCTTGAACCCAGGAGGCGGAGCTTGCGCCATTGCACTCCAGCCTGGGCAACAGAGCGAGGCTCCGTCTCAAAAAAAAAAAATCATCTTTTCCAATAGAAGCCAATTTAAAACGAGCTAATTATACTTGAAAATGTATTTTCAAATACGTGTAATGTGTATTTAAGAGAAAAATCCCACAACTCACCCCTGAGAAATTAATTCATTTACTTGTAGGCATACAGTAAGGTCTCAGTTTTTAGTGAATGATTGACGGAGCTGGAATTCCAGATTTTCTTATGTCTAATATGATTATTTTAAAAAGAATATCTAAAAAGAGAAGGTAATCTTGGCTGTTTTACTAGTATTTAAAAGTTATACCCTCAGCCGTACATGGTGGCTCATGCCTGTGATCTGAGCACTTTGGGAGGCCAAGGCAGGTGGATCGCTTGAGCTCAGGAGTTCAAGACCAGCCTGGGCAACACATTGAGAACCCGTCTCTACAAAAAATACAAAAGTTAGCCAGGCATGGTGGCGCATGCCTGTAATCCCAGCTATGTGGGAAGCTGAGGTGGGAAGATTGGCTGCAGTGAGGAGAGATTGCACCAATGCACACCAGCCTGGGTGACAAAGTGATATCCTGTCTCAAAAAAATAAAAATAAAAATAAGCTGTACCCTCCAAGTCAGCTGAAGTTATTGCACAGTTTACATACTTATCCTGTATATATGCAAGTTCTTTCCAGATTCCTCTGTCGTTGGTGATCCTGTTACTTACATATATCTCTTCAAAATATGTTTTAAATATTTCAATTAAGTGTTAAAATTTAAATGTTTTTCATTTAAATATTCATACTTACATTTTTAAATATTTGGGTATTTAAAATTAAAGGAGGTCTTGTGCAATATTTATTTGTCAATTATATATTTTAAATTAAATTAGATTAAATTAAAGGAGAAATACAAAAGACTCCAAGTAATAATGTCACTTTCATTCTTTAGTTCAGGGTAAATATAAAACATAGGACAAAAAAAGAAAGACAATGAAAGAAAAAAAAGAAAGGAGAAGAAGAGGAGCACTCTTTTTAAAATATAAATTGCAACTTCTACATGGTATTTATATTTTTATACTCCTTAGCCTAGCACATCTAATAGAGAAATCACTGTATCTATGTAAGAGGCAGAGAAGCACATATTCCTACAAATATGTTTTGGTCTTCCCTGTCATTTTAACTAACCTGTCTGATCATGTTAATATAGATCTAGAATTCATTGTGCCCAGAATATATATTTTTGACTTCTTTTTCAATTTATTCTTTTAATAAACTAACCAGCCAGGTGTGGTGGCTCATACCTGTAATCCCAGCACTTTGGGAGGCCGAGGCATGGGGATCACAAGGTCAGGAGATTGAGACCATCCTGGCCAACATGATGAAACCCTGTCTCTACTAAAAATATTGAAAAAAAAAAAAAAAGCTGGGTGTGGTGGCACACGCCCGTAATCCCAACTACTCGGGAGGCTGAGGCAGGAGAATCACATGAACCTGGGAGGTGGAGATTGCAATGAGCTGAGATCATGCCACTGCACTCCAGCCTGGGCGACAGAGTGAGACTCTGTCTCAAAAAATAAAATAAAAACATAAACTAAGCATATTTTGGCATGTCTTACTTTCTTGATGTACATTTTATCCTCAGCTAGCGTTGCATAAGTTTGAACCTGTCAAAAATAGAATGAACAGACTCTCAATAACACTTACCTAATGCTAGAGGGCAGGAACCATAATTAAAGCAGTGTTCTGCAGTCAATATTTCAGCTGCTTCTCAATTCATGGGAAAAACTTTAATTAGTTTAGTACCTGGTGAGTTTCTACTCACTATTATTCACATAAAGTAAGATATATTACAGTTGGATAAAAGATTAATGGGTAAATGATTTGCAAGTATATAACCCAAAATTTCCAAATCAGGATTAACCAGAAGGAAGGAAAGGAAGGAAAAGAAAGTGGAGAAGGAAAATGAGAAGAAAGAGGAGGAGAGGATGCTGGAAAGAAAGAGGAGGAGGAGAGCAGACAGAAGAGAAATATTATGATATCTCGGGAGCTGCTCATTATACTTCTAGCCCCTGGCTATACAACTCCTGTGATGGGAAAAAGCTGCAAAGGAGAATCCTGGGAGGTACAAGAAAGCTACAAGAACCTGCGAAAACTCCTGTAGTAAGCTTTGCATGATAAAAGGAAATATCCACATTTTTACTTTATGATTTATTCATTTTGACATCTTAACCTAAAAAAGTGTAATTGTTACATCATTTGAGATTATTGAATTCTTTTATAGAACACAGAGATACAAATTAAGGGCATAAAGCTGACTACAGAATAGTCAGTAGCTTGTGAGAATCATTAGACTCAGAAAAGTAAGTTCAGCCTAAGTGTGTTGAACATGGATAGGAAGGGAGAAAAGGCCTAAGGAAGCATTAAGTAGTTATGGGGCACTAGATCTTCCTCAATTTTTGGTTACCTCCATTCTGGCCCCATATGTCTCCTACCTAGGATATGCAGACAAATCCCAGAGCATCTCAGCAGTTTCCAGTGAGCCCCAGCTGCTGGCCAGGAGTCCCTGAACATGTGCCTCTCTGTGGGAGGAAGTGAGTGCTAGCTTCAGGGCACTTACTAAGCCCCTTGCTCACCCTGCGCTCTGGACCTTGAAACCACACCACCGCAGGGCAGGGTTATGTGTCAGAGAAACAGGATATGTGAAGGTTGTGTAACACCGGATTCAGGTGTCATGGTCTTCTCATTTTGCTAGCTCCCTTTCCTAAGTTTGTGAACCTACTTCCTCTCTTTCTCCTTGCATCTTGCTGTATGATTTAGCAAGCCATGTGACTTGAGCATCTTACTTGGGTCTGGGCACCATTCTGTCCCATGACCTCAGAGATAATCGGCTTAGAGCAAGCACACTTGGAGGCCACTGGGACTTTGAGAACCTATCCCGTCACAACAGATATAATTGAGTCCACATGGTGATGTTTCTGGATCAAGGAAAACATACTAAGTTGTCTTTCATACTCACATTAGATTTTTTAGCAACAAGAAGTTCAATCACACCCCAGCGAGCAGTTGCTGGTCAATGATACAAGTTGTTTCTATTTTCTTTGTGCCAGCTATCACCAAAACATCTGAATTATATTCTTAGCTCTGTGAATGTTAAAATTTTTACCCTCTTCAGACATTTGCCTCAGCAAATGTCTCATTAAAATTTCATAACTTTAAAGCAGTTTCTCTTGCTTTTAGCATTTAATGCTTTCTCAGACACTCTACTGTTTCGAAGAGGACAATAGTCTCACATGCAGCGTAATAACTTATGAGGCTCCCAGTGCTGTAGGCTAAATGCTTGCATCCCCAGAGAGAAAAATGGAAATTAACATTTTCCTCCATACCTCTCCATCTGCACGCCTCCCGCCTCAGTATATGGGCTCACAGATGTACGTGAAATTTTTTCCATTGCATGTAAAGTTTGCCCAGTAGTTTTAACATGTTATAAACGAGAATTGCTGGAACACTAAGTCGCATATGAATAGAGAAAAGCCAAGTTTCCAGCTAAATCAGACAATTCCATTACTAAGTCATTCGCAGGGAGTAAAATGTGTGTTTAGAAGGCTAAAGTAATGGAGGTCTGTTGCTCTAGACTACTGAAAATTACAGACACACACACACACACACACACACACACACACAAATATTTTAGATCCTCAGTTGGTGTGTTTGAATAGGTGATTAGGCAGAAATAAATTCAACCATCAAGTAGACAGATTTTATTTTTGACTATAGTCTTCATGAGGAAACTGGTGCTTGGAATAGAAAAATCAAGATTCAGTCTTGGACCCTTGACATTCTCTGGTTTCTCATAAATAAACCTTGAGAATTTGATTAATGATGTTAAGCAGGGACTTAAGACATAAATGTCCTTGACCACAAAACAGTTCTTCTCTGCCTATTGAAGGTTATTATTTTTCCTTAAGTGCTTGTTAAGAAAGAAGGACCTAAAAATGTGAAGAATGAAGGGGATCCCCACCACGGCCAAGCAGAACAGTGAAATCTGCATCTGACCCCATTGAGGGAGCAGTTACGGCTATGTTTCCCTTAGGTTCAAAATATACAGTAAATTAATGTATTGGGTGTACATGTTACTAAATGTTTCTGGGTATAGCAAACCTCTCATAGATCTTAACATGAGATGACAACGTTGTCACCATTTATATGGTTCCCCATGTCACAACAGACTATTTTTTTTTGAGACAGAGTCTCGCTGTGTCGCCCAGGCTGGAATGCCATGGTGTGATCTTGGCTCACTGCAACCTCCACCCCCCTGGGGTTCAAGTAATTATCCTGCCTCAGCCTCCCGGGTAGCTGGGACTACAGGTGTGCACCACCACGTCTGGCTAATTTTTGTATTTTTAGTAGAGACAGGGTTTCACCATGTTGGTCAGGTTGGTCTCGAACTCCTGACCTCATGATCCACCTGCCTTGACCTCCCAAAGTGCTGGGATTATAGGTGTGAGCCACCACACCTGGCCTTTTTTGTTTGTTTGTTTGAGACAGAGTCTCACTCTGTTGCCCAGGCTGGAGTGCAATGGCATGATCTTGGCTCACTGCAACCTCTGCCTCCCGGGTTCAAGTGATTCTCATCCTTCAGCCTCCCAAGTGGCTGGGATTACAGGTGTGAGCCACTATGGCTGGCTAATTTTTGTATTTTTAGCAGAGACTGGGTTTTGCCATGTTAGCCAGGTTGGTCTCGAACTCCCGACCTCAGATGATCCACTGGCCTTGGCCTCCCAAAGTGCTAGGATTACAGGCATGAGCCACCACGCCTGGCCCATGATAGACTTTATATGTACATCATAATCAGTGGCATAAAAATAAAATCCTTATATATACAATTTTTTACTTTTTACTAGCTAAACATGAGTAATTTTTTTTTTTTTTTTTTTTGAGATGGAGTCTCTCTCTGTTGCCCAGGCTGGAGTGCAGCGGCACGATCTCAGCTCACTGCAAGCTCCACCTCCCGGGTTCACGCCATTCTCCCACCTCAGTCTCCCGAGTAGCTGGGACTACAGGCGCCTGCCACCACGCCTGGCTATTTTTGTTTTGTATTTTTAGTAGAGATGGGGTTTCACCGTGCTAGCCAGGATAGTCTCCATCTCCTGACCTCGTGATCCGCCTGCCTCGGCCTCCCAAAGTGCTGGGATTACAGGTATTGAGCCACTGTGCCTGGCCAAACATGAGTAATTTTTATATTCCATTTTGTTCCACGTTTTGACACCATGTAGGGATAATTTTAGCATTACTAATTAGCAAATTATTTAAAATGTGAAACATTATCAAATGAGACCAATTTCTGCCAATGAACATACAATTTTTTCAAAAGAACTTTCACTTCCCATTCCTTGAAAAAAGGAAAAAGAAAACAAATTTTTAAAAAACCTACTGGGTGTCTAGTCTGTAGCAGGCCCTGTGTGAACCATTTTCACGTATTACACCATTTTAGTTAATTTTTCTGCATCTCATAATGTCTTCTTTCTTCCCCTGTGCTCTGGTGGTTTATTGCCAATGTACACTGTACTAGAACATTACAAACTGTATATTTCTACAACAGGCATTTTTAGTCACCATTCTCATGCTCTGGAAAAGCTTAGCTGACACTTTATGAGGGCCTTGATTAAGTGACTAATGACTTGGTAATGATGACATCATACCTAGGCACACCAAACAGGATTTTTCTTTTTTGGAAAACTACACAAAGCCAACAGCTCTAACATAAATTGTTACTGGCAATTGGGTTGATAAAATGAGAATTACATCATTTACAATTTAATGCCCTAGTTACATGTTTAAATTTAATATAAATTTAGAAGAAAAAATGCTACATTCATAAAAATAAAATAAATTACTAATTATGAAATAAATCATAATATGAGATTTGTTGGTTATATATTTTTCTTCCACTGATAGGTGATAAAATAACACCTCATTTTTTAAAATGGAGATTTGCTTGATGATTAGATTAAACATTTAACAGCTATTGACTACCTATAATATGTATTATTCATTTAAAATCACTCAATTTTCTGAAGCTCCCATAAGCTTCCCATTTGTTATGTGAATAAGTAGTATGATTTCTAAAGACATTTTTGACCCCATTTATCTAATGGCTCATGTATACCTAACAATTCTTTAAAAAAAACTATAAAAGACACTATTTACAGATTCATTTTCCTGTTATTACATATATGCATGACTGTAATGGAAACAGAAAAATCCAATAGTACATAAAGCAAATACACTATTCATTTCTATCCAGAACTGTGGTGATTTTGGATACTGTAAAAATCTAAGTAATCTAAGCCTTTATTAGTCAGTAGAACTTACTAGTACTTTACCAGCCGATTTGTGCATTGTAATTACTAATTGTTAATGAACCAAGGTTTCCAACTCATTTCTGAAATATCTTGTTAAAAGTAAATATCTTTGCAAATGAATTGAACTATGAACATGGGGCACATAAGTTTATACATGGTCACTCTGAATACTTTAGTCATCTTAGAGAAGACTATTCCACAAATTGTTCATTCAGTGGTTCTTCACTGCTTACAGAATAAAACTTAAAATTCTTTAAGACCGTCACAATTTGGATTATGTATAACTTTCTAAACGTATTTTTCACTGTTTCCTTTAGGCAACTTGTGCTAGAGCAAAACTTAAATAGCAAACATTTTTAAGAAGTTCTCCAACTTGGCTGGGCACAGTGGCTCATGCCTACAATCCCAACACTTTTTTGAACCCAGGAGTTGCAGCCCAGCCAGGGTAACAAAGCGAGACCCAGTCTCTACAAAAAATACAAAATTTAGCTGAACATGGTGGTACTTGCCTGTAGTCTTGGCTACTTGGGAGGCTAAGGCCGGAGAATTGCTTGAGCCCAGAAGGTCGAGGCTACAGTGAGCTGTGATCATGCCGTGGGTGACAAAGCAAGACCCTGTGAAAAAAGAAAAAGGTAGTTCTCCAACTTTATTTTTATTTTTTTAGAGCAGTTTTAGATTCATAGCAAAACTGAGCAGAAGATACAGATTTCTCATTTACTTCATGTGCCACATACACACAGCTTTTTTTACTATCAAAATCCCACACCAGGGTGCTGCATTTGTTACAGCTGATAAACTTACACTGACATACCATTATCACCCCAATAACATATCACCATTTACATTAGGGTTTACTCTCGGTGTTAATACATTCAATGGATTTTGACAAATGTATAATGACTTCGTTCTCCTTCAATATTGTTGTGGCTATTTTAGGTCTTTTGTTTTTCCATATAAATTTTAGAATCAATTTGTCAACATATTGAAAGTATCTTTCTAGAATTTTGTTTGAGATTGCATTGGACCTGTAAATCAAGTTGGGAAGAACTTGGTAATATTGTCTTCGTTTCCATGAACATGAAATATCTTTCAATTGTTTTAGTTTACCTTTGGTTTTATTCATCAGAGTTTTGTAGTTTTCCTCATTTTGTACATAATTTATCAATTTTTAACATAGTTATTATAGCTATATTTAAGTAATTTGTTTGAGTGCTAAAGTAATAACGTGTTTTAAAAGTTAAATTATATTTATTACTAGTATAAAGAAATACTATACTTATTAGTTCAAGGAGCTTTTTTGTCAGAACTGTTGGATCTTCTTGAGAGATAATTATGTAATCTGTGAATAAAGTCAGTTTTATTTCTTCCTTTCCAGTCAGTAATCCCTTTATTTCATTTTCTTGTCTTATTGCATTAGCTAGGACTTCTAGTACAATGTTGAAAAGGAGAGGTAACAGGAAATATCTTTGCAGAAGATATTTAACTTTCTCACCATTAAGTATGATGTTAGCTGCAGGGTTTTGGTAGTTGTCTTCATTAAGTTAGGAAAAGGTCTTTCTACTCCTAGTTTGCTGAGTGTTTTTAGAAGGTAAAATGGGTGTTGAATTTTATTAAATTTATTTTTTTTGTTTAGTGATGTGATCATGTGAGTTTTCTTCTTTAGTCTGTTTTGATTACATTACATACAAGTGATTTATTACATTAACTGACTTTTGAATGTTGAGCCAGCCTTGCATACCTGGGGCAAATCCCACTTGGTCAGGCTGTATAATTATTTTTATACACTATTGGATTGATTTGCAAATATTTTATTAAATATTTTTGTCTCTGTTTTCATAAGAGATAGTGGTCTATAGTTACCTTTTTTATAACATCTTTGTCTAGTTTTGGTATTAGGGCAATGCTGATGATTTCGAATGAGTTAGGAAGTATCCCTTCTGCTTCTTTCTGCTGGAAGAAAACATAGATAATTGGTATAATTTATTCCTCAAATGTTTGGTATAATTTATCAAGGAATCCATCTAGGCATGGTGGTTTCTGGTTCAAAAAGTTATTTATTGTTGACCAAATTTCTTTAATACCCTTTGGCTATTTCTTTTTGTGTGTTTTGGCAAATTGTGTCTTTCAAGGAATTGGCCTATTACACTTACGTTATTAACTTGTGGGCAAAAAGCTATTCACAATATTCCTTTATTATCTTTTTAATGTTTACAGGATCAGTAGTGATGTCCCTTCCTTCGTGTCTGATATTAATAATTTGTGCCCTCTTTCTTTTTTCTTAGTTAGCCTGCCTACAGAATTATTGATTTTTATTTATCTTTTCAAATTACCAGCTTTTGGCTCCAATTATTTTCTCTATTGATTTCATATTTTCAGTGTTACTGATTTCTGCTCTAATTTTTTATGTTTCTTCTGTATACTTTGGATTTAATTTACTCTTCTTTTACTAGTTTCCTAAGATGTGGGCATAGATGATTGATTTCTTTTTTCTATGATATGGATTCAAACTTGTAAATTTCCCTCTGAACACTACTTTTGCTGAACGCCATAATTTTAGTAGATTGTGTTTTCATTTTTACTTACTTCAAAATATTTTTATATTTCTCTCAATATTGCTTTTTAAAGTCATGTGTCATTTAGAAATATGTTGTTTAATCTCTAAGTATTTGGGGTTTTTCCAGTCATATTTCTGTGATTAATCTCCAGTTTAATTCTGTGGTAGTCAGAACAGACATTGTGTGATTTTTATTTTCTTAAACTTAAGGTTTTAGGTTCCAAATGCGGTCTATCTTGGTCAATGTTTCCTAAGAGCTTGAAAATATTTACTCTACTGTTGTTGGATGAAGTAGTCAATACATGTTCGTTATATCCAACTGATTGGTGGTGTTACTGAGCTTTACACACACACACACACACACACACACACACACACATATATATATATATATATATATATTTTTTTTTTTTCAGATGGAGTCTCACTCTGTCTCCCAGGCTGGAGTGCAGTGGCTCGATCTTGTCTCATTGCAACCTCCATCCCCCAGGTTCAAGCAATTCTCCTGCCTCAGCTTCCCGTGTAGCTGGGATTACAGGCGTCTGCCACTGTGCCTGGCTAATTTTTGTATTTTTAGTAGAGATGGGGTTTCACCATATTGGCCAGGCTGGTCTCGAACTCCTGACCTCAGGTGATCCACCTGCCTTGGCCTCCCAAAGTGCTGGGATTACAGGCATGAGCCACCGCACCCAGCCCCAAGCTCATTCTTATTAATAATATACCTACCAATTCATGTGCAGTGCAAGTAACTTATAATAACAAAGTAATTTGAACTCCTCTCTCCTTTGTTTCATTGCTACCATTTATTTCATTTATATGTAAACATACATAAGTATGTGTGTGTGTCTCTGTGTGTGTATGAGCATGAATACTGGCATATGTTGTTGCTACTATTATTTTGAACAAGTTGTCATACAGTAGATCAATTGAGAATAAGTAGACTCCAGTTGCACACCTCACAGAGTTGATGTTTCTCCACCCGAAGACAGGGTATTTACCTCTCTCTACTTGCAGATTTTCTCCAACTATGCTTTGGGCAGACCTTACCCTCTTTTGAGCTTAGAGCAATAAGCTAGAGAATGCCTGCTTCCTGAAATAAGAACTTTAGATTTCTCAAAATACTTTTTGTGCACTTTTTCTAGATTATTGTGAACCCACACATTAGGTCTCTTACTCTCCTTGAGTTAACCATCCATTGGTATCTCATCATACACTATATATACTCGTTGGATGGCAATGATATACAACTACTTGTTATACTTTTGTGCTAATTATATTAAGAAATAGACTGAGCACGGTGGCTCATGCCTGTAATCCCAGCACTTTGGGAGGCCGAGGCAGGTGGATCACCTGAGGTCAGGAGTTTGAGACCAGCCTGGCCAACATGGTGAAACCTCGTCTCTACTAATAATACAAAAATTAACCGGGTGCGGTAGTGGGTCCCTGTAGTCCCAACTACTTGGGAGGCTGAGGCAGGAGAATCTCTTGAACCCAGGAGGTGGAGGTTGCAGTGAGCAGAGATTGCAACACTGCACTCTAGCCTGGGCGACAGAGTGAGATTCCATCTCAAAAAAAAAAAAAAAAAAGAAAAAGAAAAGAAAAAAGAAAAAGAAATAACAAAAATTTCCTCAAAAATTTATAGCATTGGTGTTACATTATGAAAAGATTTGAAAATACATCAATTTCATCAAAGTTTCACCGATGAAAACTGTCAAAAAGGTAGAATTAAGACACTATTGCTCCATATTTAATTTCACATGACAGATATACAGGGTTGATGTAGCCGAGCCATTTGATTTAAAATAAATGTACTGATAATTATTTAAAATGGGCAGGTCCTGTTTTTAAAGTTTATAATAAAATTTAATCAAGGAGAGTATCAAGGAGGCTATGACTATGAGATAAAGGGTAAATATTTTACCCTTTAAGTAGGAAACATAATTAGAAGTCATCATTCCAATCACATCTAATTTGCAGAATGGCTTACTGCTCTATGAAAAAAATAAAAAATAAAAAAACATGAAATGCCTTAGAATGCTATGCTGTATTGACATACCTCAACTCTCAGTAGACAAAAATTAAATCAGTTAACTATGTCTTTTTAAAACTCCATAAGATTTAATGTGACCATGATATTTTTGCTTCTTCCTCTATTAGGTGTGAACTCTACTATGAGTTTATAAAGGTGTTTTGGGAGAAACAGAATGCAGTCTTTGCCAAACATGACTGAGTAAGGATTTATAGAGGAGGATTTGTATAACTTAAGTCAATAAAGTCCCCAAAAGGAGTAATTGGAACATCTGGAGTCAATAATCTCATAGGACTAGTTCCCCCTGCTCAACTTCTCTTTTCTTTTGCTTCCTGGCAGGTTGTACAGCCAATAACTCTAGGAAGTTATATTTGGTTTGAGAATTAAAATATATGTGGAGATGCAGCTGCAAATATCAGCTTAGGGTCAGAATGAGATCAACTATACAGAGAATTTCAGAGATGGATGTTGGAAATCAAATCATTTTATGTGTATTTTTTCCACAAAATAAATAGAACCATTGTTAGAAACAATAACATTTTAAAAAACAATATTTAAATAAAACAAGCACAGATCTTCTATAAAAAAGATCTGGACTTGTGAAGTCAGGATCACGTATTAATCTGATTCATCTCAATGCAGATCCAATTGTTGAAATACAAAGGAGCATTTTACCTAATCTTGCCAAGTACATTAAAATTGAGTTGAGGAACCAAAATCAGAAATTTTGAAAAAGAATGAGCTCTTCACTTCCTTCCCTTTAGAATATTGTATCATTTTCTAACCAGTTGCTCAAGCCAGAAACCCAATAGTTATCCTTGACTTGTTTCCTTATCATTGGTTTTTCTAAATATGAAACATAAAAATGAAGACTTGGGATTCTTTTTGCATTTTCTTTTAATATAATTTTGCTTGTTGGATTTAGTAGAATGAGGTCAAGAAGTGTAGAGATTTTTGCTTTTTTTGTTTCCAATCTGCACAGCGCCTGAAATGATAACCAGTATGTTGGAGGTGCAAAAAAATATTTGTTGAAATGTTCATAGGTGACATCCCTGAGCAGTAAAAGATGCAATGAAATCAGTCTATATTTACCATGATATGAAAAAAATAGACAAAAGTTTTTCACTTCGGGTAAGTTACTTAACTTTTTCAAATCAAAGTTTTTACAAAGTAGAGGTTAATAAGAGTACCAATAACATATGATGAAGATACACATCATTGGTGCTCAAATCCTCTCCTCACTCCTCTTTCTCCTAATGTATCCTCATTGGGCAATAGAAGGCATGAATGCTGGCACAACCAAAAGAAAATAGCAGTTTTCATGGCGGCATGACTGAGGTAAAATGGAAGCACTGGCTCACTGGGAGTAACCAGAGACAGAGTGAGCGGGGTTGGGGTGAATGAAAGGCTCAGAATAGTGTGAGTGTCAGACAACAGAGTTCAGCCGGGAATCATTTTCTGAAAATAGCTATTGCAGGCAGTAGACCCTCCAGGGTATTATCTTATCCAAACATATTTGCCATTCCCTAGTAAGGGGGCTAAGATATGGCGGGGTTGGCGGGGGGGAATTCACATGCCTTGATTTATCTTTGTCATTTTTTGATCTGAAGTTCCATCAAAGATTGATTAGTTGAAATTGTCAGACACTGAACCACAAAGTGGCTACTAACTTAGCAACTTAAATAGACAAAGTTTGAGAACAGTATCAACTCTGCAGCCTGCAGTGACTGCCACCAAAACATATAATATGATTAAAACTCCATTACTAAGATACAGGACTATCAGCTCAATATGATCACCACCTGCTGGGAACTGGGATCTCTAGGGATATGATACACAGAAAAGAAGGAAAGAATGAGAGAGAACAAAGAAAGAACAACACATATACCTGTAAAATCATAAAATATCATTCTCTCAGAATTTCAACCCTGGAATCACATTATCAAATGCACATAAAATCAGATGTTTTCATTCTAATCATGTCTGTTATTATTTGTGACCAAATATCCATTCCAAGAGCAGAAGAGATCATTTATTTATTAGCTGCTTTGGAATATTTACTTATTAAGAGGTCTTTTAAAAGTTCCATTCCTGGCGGGCCCCAGCGGACTCCCGGGCTCCGGTGCTCGGGGCTCGGGGCTTGGGCGTCGCCGGCGAGCGCATGCCCTTCCCTGAAGCGCGGCCTCTTGGCCTGGAGCTGGGACCAGTTAGGTAACGGCCCCAGGGGCCCGCAGTGGAGAGTGAGCGGGGCTTTCCCTGCTGGGCCAGCCCGGCGCGCACGCCCCTGGCTGGGCAGGTTACTCACTATAAACAATATCCACCCAACACAAGCAAAGTTTATTCCTACTTTGAATGCCGTGAAAAGAAGACAGAAAACTCCAAATTAAGGAAGGTGAAATATGAGGAAACAGTATTTTATGGGTTGCAGTACATTCTTAATAAGTACTTAAAAGGTAAAGTAGTAACCAAAGAGAAAATCCAGGAAGCCAAAGATGTCTACAAAGAACATTTCCAAGATGATGTCGTTAATGAAAAAGGATGGAACTACATTCTTGAGAAATATGATGGGCATCTTCCAATAGAAATAAAAGCTGTTCCTGAAGGCTTTGTCATTCCCAGAGGAAATGTTCTCTTCACGGTGGAAAACACAGATCCAGAGTGTTACTGGCTTACAAATTGGATTGAGACTATTCTTGTTCAGTCCTGGTATCCAATCACAGTGGCCACAAATTCTAGAGAGCAGAAGAAAATATTGGCCAAATATTTGTTAGAAACTTCTGGTAACTTAGATGGTCTGGAATACAAGTTACATGATTTTGGCTACAGAGGAGTCTCTTCCCAAGAGACTGCTGGCATAGGAGCATCTGCTCATTTGGTTAACTTCAAAGGAACAGATACAGTAGCAGGACTTGCTCTAAATAAAAAATATTATGGAACGAAAGATCCTGTTCCAGGCTATTCTGTTCCAGCAGCAGAACACAGTACCATAACAGCTTGGGGGAAAGACCATGAAAAAGATGCTTTTGAACATATTGTAACACAGTTTTCATCAGTGCCTGTATCTGTGGTCAGCAATAGCTATGACATTTATAATGCGTGTGAGAAAATATGGGGTGAAGATCTAAGACATTTAATAGTATCGAGAAGTACACAGGCACCACTAATAATCAGACCTGATTCTGGAAACCCTCTTGACACTGTGTTAAAGGTTTTGGAGATTTTAGGTAAGAAGTTTCCTGTTACTGAGAACTCAAAGGGTTACAAGTTGCTGCCACCTTATCTTAGAGTTATTCAAGGGGATGGAGTAGATATTAATACCTTACAAGAGATTGTAGAAGGCATGAAACAAAAAATGTGGAGTATTGAAAATATTGCCTTCGGTTCTGGTGGAGGTTTGCTACAGAAGTTAACAAGAGATCTCTTGAATTGTTCCTTCAAGTGTAGCTATGTTGTAACTAATGGCCTTGGGATTAACGTCTTCAAGGACCCGGTTGCTGATCCCAACAAAAGGTCCAAAAAGGGCCGATTATCTTTACATAGGACGCCAGCAGGGAATTTTGTTACACTGGAAGAAGGAAAAGGAGACCTTGAGGAATATGGTCAGGATCTTCTCCATACTGTCTTCAAGAATGGCAAGGTGACAAAAAGCTATTCATTTGATGAAATAAGAAAAAATGCACAGCTGAATATTGAACTGGAAGCAGCACATCATTAGGCTTTATGACTGGGTGTGTGTTGTGTGTGTGTGTGTGCATGCACACACACACACACCTTTGTGTATGTAATACATAATGTTTATTGTACAGATGTGTGGGGTTTGTGTTTTATGACACATTACAGCCAAATTATTTGTTGGTTTATGGACATACTGCCCTTTCATTTTTTTTCTTTTCCAGTGTTTAGGTGATCTCAAATTAGGAAATGCATTTAACTATGTAAAAGATTAGTGCTAAAGTAAGCTTTTTAGGGCCCTTTGCCAATAGGTAGTCATTCAATCTGGTATTGATCTTTTCACAAATAACAGAACTGAGAAACTTTTATATATAACTGATGATCACATAAAACAGATTTGCATAAAATTACCATGATTGCTTTATGTTTATATTTAACTTGTATTTTTGTACAAACAAGATTGTGTAAGATATATTTGAAGTTTCAGTGATTTAACAGTCTTTCCAACTTTTCATGATTTTTATGAGCACAGACTTTCAAGAAAATACTTGAAAATAAATTACATTGCCTTTTGTCCATTAATCAGCAAATAAAACATGGCCTTAACAAAGTTGTTTGTGTTATTGCACAATTTGAAAATTATGTCGGGACATACCCTATAGAATTACTAACCTTACTGCCCCTTGTAGAATATGTATTAATCATTCTACATTAAAGAAAATAATGGTTCTTACTGGAATGTCTAGGCACTGTACAGTTATTATATGTCTTGGTTGTTGTATTGTACCAGTGAAATGCCAAATTTGAAAGGCCTGTACTGCAATTTTATATGTCAGAGATTGCCTGTGGCTCTAATATGCACCTCAAGATTTTAAGGAGATAATGTTTTTAGAGAGAATTTCTGCTTCCACTATAGAATATATACATAAATGTAAAATACTTACAAAAGTGGAAGTAGTGTATTTTAAAGTAATTACACTTCTGAATTTATTTTTCATATTCTATAGTTGGCATGACTTAAATGAATTACTGGAGTGGGTAGTGAGTGTACTTATCTTAAATGTTTCAATTCTGTTATATTTTTTATTAAGTTTTTTAAAAATTAAATTGATATTAAATTGTAAAAAAAAAAAAAAAAGTTCCATTCCAACAAAGTTTTTCTGCACGAGGTTATCAGGACATAAATATTCCAAAGTTTTTATTCACTTCAGCAGTTCAGGTTAGTTCTTCTAACTTGAATTAATTCTGTTAGTTCAAATAATAGACCATAAACTCTGATTAATGAATGAATATCAATGTTGTTTTATTAAAAGTATTATTAATTCTTATCAAAGTGTGTACTGTGTTCACACTTAAAATCCATAGAACCTTGTGGTCACCTATTATTTATTTCATGGAAGGTACTTGTGAGGATGCATTACATTGAATTGGCTTTTATTTCTACTCACAGTCCAGAGACTGGAATGGGAATACCAAGAGTACAGTCTTTAATAAATTTAGAATATGGTCTGGTTTGGGGGGCAAATGATGTGCCAATGCTGTAACTTTGAAACAAACTTTACTCTTTCTGTTTGATTATGGTTCAATAGCTTACAAAATATGTTCTTTTGGATTTTCATCAAATTCTTACATAGTAGAAGCTTAAAATATATTGTTATATTAAGTAGGTATACCTTGACTTATTTTTAGTAACTTATATCTTTTAGAACAGTTTTACTTCATAACAGTTTACAGAATTATGTCAAACAGTATAAGGAGATTTTGCACAAATACCCACACTCCTTTTTCTCTATTATTATTGTTATTACTATTATTACTGTTTTTTTGAGACAGAGTCTCGCTCTGTTGCCAGGCTGGAGTGCAGTGGTATGATCTTGGTACACTGCAACCTCCGCCTACTGGGTTCAAGCGATACTCCTGCTTCAGCCTCCCAAGTAGCTGGGATCACAGGCACATGTCACCATGCCCAGCTAATTTTTGTATTTTTAGTAGAGATGGGGTTTCACCATGTTGGCCAGGATAGGCTCGATCTCTTGACCTTGTGGTCTGCCCACCTTGGCCTCCCAAAGTGTTGGGATTACAGGTGTGAGTCACTGTGCCTGGCTTCAGTTTTCTCTATTATTATTATTATTTGAGACAGAGTCTCGCTCTGTCACCCAGGCTGGAGTGCAGTGGTGCACTGCACTCCACTGCACTCAATAGCTTTGGCCATTGAGAGACCTTTCAGTTGGATCCTGTATCTGTTTGACACATTCCCATCATTGCAGTGGAATTGCAGTGGAATCCCAGAATTCCACTGCAGTGCTCACTGCAAGTTCTGCCTCCTAGGTTCATGCCATTTTCCTGCCTCAGCCTCCTGAGTAGCTGGGACTACAGGTGCCCGCCACCACACCCGGCTAATTTTTTGTATTTTTAGTAGAGATGGGGTATCACCGTGTTAGCCAGGATGGTCTCGATCTCCTGCCGTGATCCACCCGCTGTGGCCTCCTGAAGTGCTGGGATTACAGGCACGAGCCACTGCGCCCGGTCAATTTTCTCTATTATTAACAGCTCACATTAGAATGGTACATTTGTCATGATTAATGGACCAATATTGACACATCATTATTAACTCAAGTCCATGCTTTATTCAGATTCACTCAGTTTTTCCCTAATGTCTGTTTTCAGTTGTGGGATTCCATTCAGAATGCCACATGACACTTGCCATGTCTCCTTAGGTGTCTTGACTGTGACAGTTTCTCAGACTTTTCCTATTTTTGATGACCTTGACATTTCTGAAGATTACTAATGAATTATTTTGCAGCATATCCTCAGTTTGCATTTTAAATATCCCCTTCGTGATTAGACTGAAGTTATGGGTTTGGGGAAATAAGACCATAGAGGTAAAGTGCCATTCTTCTCACATTAAGAGTACATACTACAAACATGATTTATCACTGTGCATGTCAACCTTAATCCCCTGGTCTGAAGTACTGCTCGCGAGGTTTCTCCACTCTAAAATTAGTCTTTTCTTTTCTCTTTTAGTATTGTCATCTTTGGGAAAAAGTCATTGTGCACAATCCACAAATGAGGAGTAGAAAGTTCTGTTTCACCTCCTTAAAGGCAGGGGATCTGCAAAAATTATTTATCACTATTCTGCACTGAAGATTCATTTATTTCCCATGATTTTAAAATGTATTCAATAATTTATTTATATCAATAAAGATTCAGGGATATTTATTTTATTCTTTGGGTTATAATCCCATACTACTATATCAGTTAAGTTGTTTTAGCTTTGGCCATTGAGAGACCTTTCAGTTGGATCCTGTATCTGTTTGACACATTCCCATCACTGTGATATTTTCCTTCTTTTGAGCACTTTCCATTTTCTAGCACCACAAGTTGCTCTAGGCTTAGCTTTTGCATTACCTGACCCAATCCCAGGAGAAGCCAGTTATCCAAGGATACCTGGTTACTTTTTTTGAGAATGGCATTAGAAAACAAGATCCAGGTGCTAGATGTACTCTTTGCTACTGCAATGTCATTGATTCTGGGCCCTCTTATTGACATAGCAAAGAGTTAGAAGTGTGTGTACTAACCTGCATATATACACATATCTTACATTATATCTGCATATAACCATCTATGTCTACATTAACCTAAACACGAGTTCATACTGATATCTCCACTCTAATTCATTACCCATGGAGCATTCTAGCTTCCTGCCATTGCTCATCTATAACTTTCAACTACAACACTTGAGAAACATGGTTTTTTTAATCATCAACAATTCATTTGTTTAATTTTAAAATTTCAGTATGTATGTGTATTAGGTGCTCTAGAGAAACAAAACCAATAGGATATATATGTAGATACATAACATGGAATGTTTTAATAAACATTGACTTAGACTTATGGTGGCTAAGAAATTCTACAATATGCTGTCTGCAGGCTGGGGAACCAGGAATGCTGGTGGTATAATTTTAGTCTGTATTTGTAGGACTGAGAACTAAGGGAGCCAACAGTGTAACTCCAAGTCCAAGACCAAAGGCCTGAGAACCACAAAGGTGGGTGGGGAGGTCGGAGGGAATTCTTGTAAGTCCTGGAGTCCAAAGGCCCAAGAACCTGGAACTCTCATGCCCATGGGCAGGAGAAGATGGATATTCCAACTCCAGAAGAAGAGAAAACAAATTCACTCTTCTTCTGCTTTTTTGTTCTATGTGGACCCTCCACAGGTTGAATAATACCTGCCCAAGCTGGTAAAGGCAAATGTTTTCTCAGTCTACTAATTCAAGTGATAATCTCTTCCAGAAACACTTTCACAGACATACCCAGAAATAATGTTTTACCAGCTATCTAGGTATCCCTTAGCACAGTCGACTTGACACCTAAAGTTAATCATTACAGCATGTGTAACAGTTCAGAATTATTAACACAAAACCGTGTGGAGAACAACTTCATCAATTAGATTACAGTGCTTATGTACAGTTCCTTTTGGCCTTAGTTTCAGATAATTCACTCTTTTTTCCAGAATTATTTAGGTCAGGACAGTATTCCCATACTGCTTTCTGTGAGGTAGTTTCTGATATTTGTAATCAATTTAGATTATTCTGCCACATTCTACATTCTATTCATTGTATGGATACACCACAGTTTATTGATCTGTTTGTTCCTTTAAAATATATCGTGGCTGCTTTCAGTTGCTATAAATATGTGTGCATAGGTTAATGTGTGGACGTAAGTTTTCATCTCATTTTGGTAAATATCTAGGAATGTGATTTCTGAAACATGTGGTAAGACTACGTTTAGCATTGCGAGAAACTGCCAAACTGTCTTCCACATTGGTAGTGCCATTTACCATTCTCATGGGAGTTCCTGTTGCTCCACATACTAGACAGAAATTGGCATTGTCAGGTTTTTATTTTTTGATGTTTTGTTTTAGTTTGATGTGGTTCTTAGCCATTTAAATCATTATGCAGTGTTTTCTCATTGATGTTTTTTTTTTGCAACTTTTCATTGCATTTCATTTCAATTTTCTAATAAAAAGTGATGTTAAGCATCTTTTCATTTTGAAGTTGAAACCAGAAGTAACCTAGTAAGATTCTAACTTGTAAAATTCTCCTTAGTCCCTTATTAGAATGCAGGACATTACTAAATATGAAAAAGCTAACCAGGCGCGGTGGCTCACGCCTGTAATCCCAGCACTTTTGGGAGGCTAAGGCAGGTGGATCACAAGGTCAGGAGATCAAGACCATCCTGGCTAACACGGTGAAACCCCGTCTCTACTAAATATACAAAAAATTAGCTGGGCTTAGTGGTGGGCGCCTGTGGTCCCAGCTACTTGGGAGGCTGAGGCAGGAGAATGGCTTGAACCTGGGAGGCGGAGCTTGCAGTGAGCCGAGATTGCACCACTGCACTCCAGCCTGGGCAACAGAGCGAGACTCCATCTCAAAAAAAAAGAAAGAAAGAGTCGAGAGGCATCATTGTCTTTTTCTGTTGTTTGCCATTAGTCAGGAATCTACCCAGTAGTTCACCTCCAAGGGTCATGGGACTTCTAGGTATTAAATTGCCTCTAAGAATTATTGATTACTTAGTTAAGAGAATACACAAATGCACTCCTAGAGGGCACAAATAAGGTTTTTTTGTTTTTTTTTTTCCCTTCTGGTAATTCTATATAAAATCTATGAAATTGAAGTAGGAAGTTTATCAAAAAAGGCATTGGAGGTTAAAAAGCACTAAACATATAAATATTTCTGAAGTTACTGGTAAATATAATATAATGAAAAAGCTATTTTGAAGACCCTGCAATCCTTTTTTTCAAATTACACAAGTATTTTATGTATGTATGTATGTATGTATTTATTTATTTATTTATTTATTTATTTATTTTTTGAGATGGCATCTCGCTCTTGTCACCCAGGCCGGACTGCAGTTGTGCGATCTTGGCTCACTGCAACCTCCGTCTCCCAGGTTCAAGCACTTCTCCTGCCTCAGCCTCCCAAGTAGCTGGGATTACAGGTGCCCACTGCCATGCCTGGCTAATTTTTGTATTTTTAGTAGAGATGGGGTTTCACCATGTTGCCCAGGCTGGTCTCAAACTCCTGACCTCAGGTGATCCACCCACCTCAGCCTCCCAAAGTGCTGGGATTACAGGCATGAGCCACCATGCCCAGACAGTATTTTTATTTTTTAAAGAAGATATAATTTTGATGAAATTTTAGATTGGTAAAAGATAACTTTGCCAACCCATTGAACTGTCATTACACAAAAGTAAAACTGTCCCAGAGCTGACAAACACAACATGGATTTGAACTGCACTGGTCCACTTACATGTGGATTTTCTTCTGCCTCTGCCATTCTTGAAACAGCAAGACCAGCCCTTCCTCTTCCTCCTTCTCCTCAGCCTACTCAACCTGAAGATAATGAAGATAAAGACCTTTATGATGATGATTCACTTCCATTTTATGAATAGTAAATATATTTTCTCTTCCTTATGATTTCCTTAATAACATTTTCTTTTCTCTAGCTTATTTTATTGCAAGAATACAGTCTATATATAAAATCAAAGTATGTGTTAATGAACTTTTTATTGGTAAGACTCCTGGTCAACAGTAAGCTATTAGTAGTCAAGTTTTGGGGGACTCAAAATTTATATGTGGATTTTTGTCTGTATGGGGGGGTTGCTGGCTCTAATCTCCATGCTGTTTAAGGATCAACTATATATCATATTAAATGGTGTCATTTTAAATGAACTGAAGTGTTTGTTAATTGTTTTCTGGGTGACTCTGATAAACCCCAATTAATTAATTATCTTAATAATAGTTCGGTTATGTGTCACTTTAAGAAAGAACTGTGAATTTTCTTTTTAAGGAAGGTTTCCTTCTATCTTTGCAGCCATGTTATAATATATTAGTATGTGAACAAGCATTATAATATAATTCACAAAATTTAAAATAGATTTATTTTAGGATATGGCAAATCTTTTTCCCCCTTAAATTATTATCTAACAGTGACATCAAATATAAAAGATGCCTAATTTTTATTGACAGACATTAGGAATAAGCCAAAAAAAATCCCAAAAAGAGACATTACAATAACTTGAAATGTTTTTACAGCTGCTGATATCATACCATTCCTTCACAAGATCCCTTTTACTTATACGCTAGGCAGTAACCTCAGAAACAATTAGGGAAGTATGTTTCTTTGAGCTGGATAATTAAATGCCAAGAAAACTCACCACTCAATATGTAATTCACTCAACATCTTGTTGTTTGAAGGAGCCAGTGTTCATACATAGGATGGATTGAATTCCTAACAACATCTGGCATGAGCAGTGGACTTGGCCCTCACCATAATAGCATTACATTCATGGTCAGACTGACAGCTAAATGGATGTTTGGAGCTTGTCTGCAACGGGCCAGATTCATGACTAGAGCATAATGAATCAGAACGTTATAACCTCTGGTCACATACATGCTGGCCTGTTGCTCCTTACAGGCTCTATCAGGGGATATGGAGTAAATTTCTGTTGTCAGATCTAATGGTAAAGGATTCTGGCTTCTAAGTTACTGGGAAAGCAAAGTAGAGTTTCCATTCCAATAATCTGGATCAAAACATTTCCTGATTGCTGTGGTCAATTTATTCTGTCACTTAATTAAGCCCAAAGCATTGCAAATCATGTCAGTAAGCAAAAGAGAGACTGCCTCCTCAACCTTGAAACCAGTCCTTGAGACAAATATCTTATAAAGTTAGTTAAGTTCTAGGATATGAATTAAAGGAGGTTTTCTCTAGGGCTTTTTTTTTTAAATTGGTTAAACAGGATTAAAGCAAATGGCAAACAAAGAATTAAGAGTTACAAGAGAAATCAAAATGCAAGCTCACATTCATACAAAGGAATGAGAAGCAGAATTCTCACCACAGAAGTTCCCCCACACAATGGAATAAAAATCTGAAATCCGGGAAAAGGATTAACAAAGTAATTCATATCATTTGAACTTTTTCTTCAGCTTTGAAAGTTAGTTGTAAAGTTTTCTGGTTAAGGGCTCTTGGATAGTGAAAAGAACTAATATTCATTGATTTTTGTTTGTTTTTCCATTTTTTAGTATATTCCTTTCCTTTACTTCAATATATGCAAGCTTTAGCAAAGCCCAAAGTGACTGAAAAGAGAGTTATAATAATGTGGCCTTTGTTGATAGCTATGCATCACACTTCTGTGTATCCAAAGTTAACATTTGCTCGCGATATTAAATTATCCTTGTCACTCACTATGTTTTATAAAGTTCCGCAGGGAGAATTATAACTAAGCTCGTGTTTGCAAGCATTTGTAGGTGTCTGCTGTTAATGTGCATGGAGTAAATAGTTTCACTGCCCTGCACTCTTCATTCTTTCCTCGGAGTTTTGAAGACACGATGATATGCCTCAAGAGAGTGGCTGTTTCCTGATGACATGTATTTATTAAGGAAATGTACATAAACTTCACGGCGAGGCAGGTAGCACTTTTTTAAGGAGGTGAACAGATTAGAACACATTGCATAATGACTTCCGGAGCAGAGAGCTCTGTATTTTAGAACACTGAAACTATCATTTGAGTATTTGTTAGGTCAATTTGCAGCAGTTTCACTAGGAAGAGACCATTCAAGAGGCATTACAAAATATAGCTACACAGTTGAAAAGTGAACATGAGGGTTTTAGTGTCCTGCAAGTTGCTCTGTAACACACATTCTGGAAAAATGCTGTAGCTAAGCAGAGAGAGAGAGAGAGAGAGAGAGAGAACACGCCACTGATTCTTTTCCAATAAGTTAAAACCACGTAGTAGTTAGATTTCAGATTATGATAGGAGGATGGCTATATAGATGTGAAAACTGCAAAACTGTACCTTGATTTCAGCTTTAATCAGTACATTCAGGGCATTTTAAAGCTATTAAGAGTGTTTAATAGTTGATGGCACTGGTGGACAATTTTGCAACTAATGACATAAATTATACAAAGTATTTCTTAAACCTTTTTTACCTACTAGGATTTACTTGTTTGACTCAATTCTGTAATAATTAAAACATCAGCATCTCAAAGTTGTTTCAAAGTTTTCAAAGCTGTGTATTCCACTCCAAAGCCCATAATAGTAATGTGGGTGTTCTGTCCAAAAGGTTAAATTAATATGGAGGAATAAAATATAATATGGAGGAGACACCTTTGCATATCATTTTAATTTAACTATATTCACATAATGCTTGCATATGTGTCAACAAATAGTGATTTTGAGACCTACAGAACCATTCAGTCTTATGGAAACTTTCAGTCTTTTTTTGTTTGTTTTGAAATAAAGTCTTGCTCTGTCGCCAGGCTGGAATGCAGTGGTGTGATCTCTGCTCACTGCAACCTCCACCTCCTGGGTTCAAGTGATTCTCCTGCCTCAGCCTCCCGAGTAGGTGGGATTACAGGTGCATGCCACCACACCCAGCTAATTTTTGTATTTTTAGTAGAGGCGGGATTTCACCATGTTGGCCAGGATGGTCTCAATCTCTTGACCTCGTGATCTGCCTGCCTCGGCCTCCCAAAGTGCTGGGGTTACAGGCGTGAGCCACTGAGCCCAGCCCCCCTTTCAGTCTTATAATGGAAGCATATCATCCAATTTTTTAAGGAAAAAGAGCTACTCTCTGGCTAATTACATTAGCCCATCAGAAGATGAAAGTATCCATAGAGTTTTTACTTGACTATTTTATCTGCCATCGGGCAATGTTTTTCAAGAAATATTTCAAAACTTTACTTGGAAAATATTGCTTGTTTTAGGAAAAAATAAATCAAAGTATGAAGAAATATTTAAATATGAAAATTGTAATTTTCATTGCTTGTCTAAAAAGAAGAAACAATTGATAAGGCCCCAATTATATCCTTTGTGTAAGGCTTTTTCCCTTTCTTCACTATGATCTGGGAAAGTAGAGATCAATCTCTGCAGTTCAGTAGTGTTCCTAAGAAATGGAGTGATGGCTGTTCTTTCACGCTGCCCTGTAAATCAGAGGTTTCACTTATTTACTGGCCATAGAACTGGTGTGTACATAAAAACCATTAACTAGGCCACATTCACACAAAGGAAACATGTTTTTAATTTGGTATTTTGCAGTATATATGGTCCCAAAGAATACATACAATAATTGACTTTCCACACCAGTGATTCTAGAATCATGAAAACGCAAATGCACAGAGACATAAAGAAAAGAAATGACAGTAAATCTCCATCTTTAAGCCAAGTGAAGCATGTTGGCTTCTTGCAGTCTAAACTTTTCTGACATTGCTTTAAAAGAATCCAAATTCCAATATAACTGTATGTGCAATGGTTAGAAAGCGCACACTATCAATTCACTGCAGCACTAAAAATGCCTTCTCTTTTATAAGAGGTCACTATGCATTTGTTTTCTGAAGGACAACTTTTTCATCTTACAAGGAAAAGGAGGCGATACGCTGTATCCTAAGCACCTACAACAGTGATTGGAAAACAGGGAATGGATAAGCTTTTGTTGAATTAATAAATACATGACTAAGATGTCTATGTAATGTCAATGCATTTTTACTTCCAGTTAGCAATTTTAGCATGGGCTTTGTGGTATTATTTAATAGGCCACATTTACAGCCATTACAATTTTTGAATTGTTATTGATACTACCTAATGTTCAAAATGGCAAAGGAAAGTACATGTGAAATAGAGTTTCTCAATCTGAAAATCATAGTTCCATTATTTTAAATATTTTTCTCTTTTATGAACCTAATATTCTAGAGGAAGAAGGGAGGTAAATGCTATATAGTAAATAAATAGGTAAATGTTAAATACAACTTTGAACAGTCTTCAATGAATGGAAAAGGGGAAATTTTAGTATGGAATAAGAGGGATTTGGCTAAAGGGAGAGATGCTGAGACCCCTGGAACAGTCAGCCATGGCACTGCCTGGGGTGGCTGCTTTAGGTGCAGAGGCCTTCAGGGAGAACAGCCAGTTGGAAGGACAGACCTGCCGGGGTGGCTCTGGTGTGGATACCAAGGGGGCGAGTGCTGCTGTCGAGTCAGAGAGGCAGCAAATCTGGTAGAGCTTGTGAACCACGGTAACGAGTTTCAATGCATATAATTCAAAGAGCAGAGAGATGAACTTAGTTCCTTTGGAGACAGCAGTGTTTATGAGCCTGGTGAATAAAGAGGCCACCACAGAAGAGGTATATTGTCCCTGGTATTAGGATAAAAGATAATTTTTATTTTTTCCATTGTATTGTATTCTGTATTTTATAACGATTCTTATAATGTTACATTTTAGTAAAAAAAAAAATCCCTGAAAAACGAGGCCACATACATAAAAAATAGGAAGGAATAGCTAATGTTGCAGAAGGAAAACTAGACGACAGTGATATCCAGGAAAAGAGAGAATTTTAGTATGAAAAAAGCTGGTTCACTGTGTGAAATACCACTGAGAAGTCAAATAAAATAAACATATAACATTGTCCATTGGTGTTGAAAATGTGTTAATAGTGGCTTGCACGTATAGTATTAGTCTGCTTAGGGCTGCCATAACAAAATACTGCAGACTAGGTGCCTTAAACAACAGAAATGTGTTTTCTTACAGCTCTGGAAGTTGAAAGTCTGAGGTCAGGATAGGGTTGGTTTCTCCTGAAGCCTCTCCACTTGGCTTGCAGACAGCCGTCTTCCCGCTGGGGACTCACAGGACATTTTCTCTGTGCTGGTGTATTCATAGTATCTGTATGTCTGCATCTCCTCTTCTTATAAGGACATTATTAGTCAGATTGAATTAGGGTCCACCCTAACAGCCTCATTTTAACTTAATTTCCTCCTTCCAGACCCAATCTCCATAAACAGTCACACTCTGAGATACTGGGGCTTAGGACTTCAGCATACGAATTTCGTGGGAGCACAATTCAGTCCATAACGGCGTATAATTGATTCCAGTTATTCACAGATTCTGTACTGATGAATTTGTCTACTTGCTAAACTTTATTTGTAACCCCAAAACTAATACCCGCTGTGCTTTAGGAACCATTTGCAGATGTTGGGAAACATGGGACCCGCCCATGCTTGTGCTATCAGCTGAGTCAAACAAGGGAATACTCTGCTTTAGTGTTCAAGCTCGCAGACTGTAAACAAGTGCCCTTTTAAAGGTCTGTGCAGGCCGGGTGCGGTGGCTCATGCCTGTAATCCTGCACTTGGGGAGGCCGAGGCGGGCGGATCACGAGGTCCACGAGGTCAGGAGATCGAGACCATCCTGGCTAACACAGTGAATCGCCGTCTCTACTAAAAATACAAAAATTAGCTGAGCGTGGTGGTGGGAGCCTGTAGTCCCAGCTACTCGGGAGGCTAGGCAGGAGAATGGCGTGAACCAGGGAGGTGGAGCTTGCAGTGAGCTGAGATGGCGCGACTGCATTCCAGCCTGGGGGACAGAGCAAGACTCCCTCTCAAAAAAAAAAAAAAAAAAAAAAAAAAAAAAAAAAAATATATATATATATATATATATATATATATATATATATATATATATATATAGTTCTGTGCAAAGCCACACTATTGCATTTTTGTGCTTCCTGTAGGTGATTTTACTGTTTGAAATGGCCCCTGAAGGTAGTGCTGAGGTGTTGCCCCATGTTTCTAAGCACAAGAAGGTTGTGATGTGCTTTATGGGCAAAATTCATGTGCTAGATAAGCTTCATTCAAACATAAGTTATACTGCTATTGGCCAAGAGTTCAAAGTTAATGAATAAGCAATATATATTAGCTTATTTTTTTATTTTTATTTTTTATTTTTTTTGAGACGGAGTCTCGCTCTGTCGCCCAGGCTGGAGTGCAGTGGTGCGATCTCGGCTCACTGCAAGCTCTGCCTCCCGGGTTCACGCCATTCTCCTGCCTCAGCCTCCCAAGTAGCTGGGATTACAGGCGTGTGCCACCTCGCCTGGCTAATTTTTTGTACTTTTAGTACAGATGGGGTTTCGCCGTGTTAGCCAGGATGGTCTCAATCTCCTGACCTTGTGATCCACCTGCCTTGGCCTCCCAAAGTGCTGGGATTACAGGCGTGAGCCACCGCACCCAGCCTGGCTTACGTATTTTTTTAAGAGACAGGGTCTCATTCTGTCACCCAGGCTAGAATGCAGTGGCATGCACGATCATAGCTCACTGCAGCCTTGAAACTCCTGGGCTCAAGTAATCATCCTGCCTCAGCCTCCTAAGTAGCTAGGACTAGGGGTAGCTAGGACTAGGGGTCCACACCACCTTATGCCATGCTAATTTTTTCATGTTAATTTTTTGTAAAGACAGGGTCTCACTATGTTGCCCAGGCTGTAAATTATGCATCTTTAACAGAAACACACAAAACCCCAAGATTATGTATTGACCAGTTGGCCTAATGTGAGCAGAACCTTGCAAGAAACTAACTCATCCTGTACCTTCCTGGGAGCAAAGGTCCAGGATTCACTAATTGTTTGTCTGTGGTGACTTTATAGAACATAACTACTGTGAATAATGAGAATCAACTCTATATGCTAAAGGATAAAGACTAATGAAACAAGAAAGCTGGAGTCCAGGGCACCAGATGGGGTCATTGATAGAACAAGGTCCTCCAAGGGACAAAGCAAGATCGTGCCTAGAGCACAGGCAGGGGCTGAAGACAAGCACTCCTATCAGCAGTTGCACTGAGACAGAGTACTGCAGCATAGCTACAAGCAAGTGGGGCTGAGTTTATAGGTTAGGCTGCATTGTGACTTTCATAGGCCTTGGCAATTTTGCCTTGCTGGGCATATTAACATATGTTAATAATCACATTTGGTTATAGGTGAATACACAAAATATTTTATATATATATATTTGAGATGGAGTCTCATTCTGTTGCCCAGGCTGGAGTGCAGTAGCACAATTTCGGCTCACTGCAACCTCCACCTCCTGGGTTCATGCCATTCTCCTGCCTCAGCCTCCCAAGTAGCTGGGACTACAGGTGCCTGCCACCACACCTGGCTAATTTTTTGTATTTTTAGTAGAGATAGGGTTTCACTGTGTTAGCCCGGATGGTCTCGATCTCCTGACCTTGTGATCCGCCTCCTCGGCCTCCCAAAGTGATGGGATTACAGGCGTGAGCTGCCGCACCCGGCTGAATATACTAAATATTATATATTAGAACATGTTCTTCAACCTAAAATTCCTCTTTCTTTCCTTCTGATTAAAAAAAACAAAACATTTTAATAGACTCCTAAATGTATTGTCAGCCCTAGGCACACTGCCTTATAAGTTCCCCTATAGGATCAGGGCAGTTAATTGAGAAAATTCCTACTCAATGTTCTCAATTTTCTCAGTGACATAGGATGCAAAATCTACTGCAGAGAATGAGATGAATTATAGATCAAAAATAGTTTTATTGAGTTGAAATTTAGAAATGCAAAAAGGAGCTTGCCAAAATTCAACTAAGAACTCCCAATGTAAGATTTTTCAGTCTCCATGACTGTATGATATTTCTTGAGCAGTACAGCAGCCTTGGTGCAGGAGCAGAAGGAAGAATGCTAAACTCATGCTGGGTTATATTTTGTAAGAAATATTGGACAGAAAAATTCAGAATGTCAGGTCAATCAGGAGAAAGTGAGTAAGTAATGGACCCTAAGGGCTAGGTTAGCAAGGACGGAGCAAAGAGAGTGAGCCTGACAGTTTGGACAGACAGGGTGGTTTTCTGGGAACTCTATTTACTTTCTCTGTATTGGGTCTTAGCAGGTTTTGGAGCAAATGCATAGCGGCTTTTGAGGAATAAGAAAGTGAATGAGCTGTAGGCAGGGCAACATGTTGAGAATGAAAGTTGGAGATATCAGCGGTGGAGAAATTACAGGTTGCAGTGAAGTCCATCGAATGGATTGTTACACTGGAGTGCTAGAAGTCATTCATATGGATGTATTTAAGGGTTACAGACAGGGGATTTGGACAGAAATTGCCCTTGGAGTGACACCATGGCTGGAGAGAACCTTCCTTGAGCCAGGAGCCAAAAGAATTGATGCATAAAAGGAGGAATGCCAGGAAGCAAGGAGATGACAAGAATATTATGTTATGCCAGACAGAAACTCCAAAGAATTGCTTAATTTGTTCTCGTTATTTCTTTGTATTTTGTCCAAGCTTCCTGGTAAACCACTGAGCAGTAGTAAATATAAGCAAGAAAACTGACATCCTTGCATCTGATTCTTGGGCTTCTATTGTTTGGAAAGTAGGATAGTAAGTAACCTACATAGGAAGGGGCTGCAGGAAAGAATGTGCTTCCTTGGAAGAGTGAGATTTCAGCCAGGACTAAGAAAGAGATGGAAGATGTAAGGAAAAGTGAGAGCGAGTACAGCAATGTGATTAGAGTGGGAAGGGCAGGCAGGCAAAGGTTTGGTCTGAAGGTTTGCAGAGGAAGAATGAGGTTGGGGGAAAATACTATGGTAAAGTTAGAGCAGGAAAGTGGAGGAGAATGTATTCCTGGAGTTTACTTTTTCACTGGTAGTTAAGGATAAGAGCGATGAAAAGTATTGGATACGTGAGCTCTGACTGAAAGCTGTGGCAGGAAGATCTTTCTCTGCCTACAGAGACAGATCTACTGTGTGGTGTCAGGTCAGCAGTTTTTGCAACTGTAAGCAATTTATCTTTCTCAGGCTTATTCATTCCTAGGTCAAAATATAAAAGGACCAGAACTCACTAGATCCCCAAGGTAGCAGAGAAAAACATTAAGAGCACTCATCCAGATGTTAATAGTATTCCCCAGTGCTATTATTTTGCTCTTTCCATCCGACATTTTATGAGTTAATTATTTTTTAATGAGTCCGTCTGAGGACTTCACTACCATTTAACATTTTTTCTATTGGAAAATTGATTAGAAGTTCAAAACATCTAATTTTATAAATGGGCTTTCAGAAACAACTCACAAGCTGGGGACATACTGTAGTGCCAAGATTTGTGATATTGGTTGGATAAAAAAAGAACTACACTACCCCAGAAAAGGCAATTTTGGAGTGTGTTACTGAGGATTACTCAATAGATTATATCCTTATTTCTTTGGTGTCAGAAACTCCCTATGAAGTCATTATTTCTTGGATGATTTGTGAATAATTTAATATATGATTTTAAGCAGTCATTACTTCGCTTAGCATGAGGTGTTTCAGTGATTATCCTAGTGTTAGTGGAGAGTTTATCCTTTAAAATTTCTCCCCTCCTGATTTTCTCCAAATAGTTTCTTTTTATCAGTCATTATGTGACCTTGCAACGCACATAAGTCATTTACTTTTACTTATACAGATGGGATATAAAAAGATTACATGACCATCTATCCATCTGTGCAGTTTTACAGTAACAGAAAATCCCCTGAAGTCAATAAATGTTTCCTCTCTAGTTCATAGCAGTGCCCGAAATTCCATCATCAGAGATACCTTGCTTTATGTTCATTGCTGCCAAAATCACTTAAAACTAGCTTATCTGGTATTAAATTATTCTGATAAATAACTGAGAATAGTACTTTTCAAGGCAGGACACAAGGATCACAGCAGTGAAATCATCCAGGGCAGCAGATTTCAGGCGCTACTTCTCCCCATAATTTTTTTTTTTTTTTTTTTTTTTAGATGGAGTCTCTCACACTGTCGCCCAGGCTGGAGTACAGTGGCAGTGATCTCGGCTCACTGCAAGCTCCACTTCCCGGGTTCACGCCATTCTCCTGCCTCAGCCTCCTGAGTAGCTGGGACTACAGGCGCCCGCCACCGCACCCGGCTAATTTTTTGTATTTTTAGTAGAGATGGGGTTTCACCGTGTTAGCCAGGATGGTCTCGATCTCCTGACCTCGTGATCTGCCCGCCTCAGCCTCCCAAAGTGTTGGGATTACAGGTGTGAGTCATCGCGCCCGGCCTCTCCCCATAATTCTTACATATGCTTCAGTGAATCCACAAATGTTAGGCATAAAGTTCTATTTTGGTGAGATGTTTTAAGGAAAGATTAGAGACTCAGAACTTCTTGATCTTAATTCTGCTACAAATTTCCCGTGTTCCTTTAAGGAAATAATCGCAAACCATTCCGGCAAATTCACAACTTTGGTGTAAAGGGTAATTGTTTTTATAAAATTCACTCTGACCCCAGGGAATAAGGCCTGATATGAGTCCTGTGTGTTAAAGAAAACAAAGTGAATGTTCTTTTCTAATTTGTTCAGCGATTTGCTCAGTCACATATCCTCACCCATCTTCTTTCTTCCCTCGTGTTGACGTCACTACAGGTCATAGAGAGCAACCAGGGATGGTGGGAGACATTCCCATGGGATCCTCAGTCGCTACTAACCAAAGCTTCTCTAGTCAAAGGTGGGTGTGATATGGCTAATACTCAATGAACTCCAATGCCTCCTAATGTTTCCTGAATTGAGACGCAATATTTAAAGGCCATATGATTCTTCAGAGTGTGTGCACAGACTTGTGTGTGTGTGTGTGTGTGTTTCCGGGGATGGGGGTGAGGGTTTGGAGGATAAAGTGTGCTTTAAAATAAAAGAAATAGTACAAGCCAAGAAACAGAAAAGAGCAGGTTTTCTTAAAGACTCAGGATGACTGGTTTTATGCTAGGCGGTTGTGGCAAGACATGAAGTACTGCTATGGCTCATCTGCTGGCTCTGCTGGGTGGCTCCCCTGGGTGGCTTACCTGGCTGGCTCCCCTGGGTGGCTCATCTGGATGGCATGGGGCAGCATTTGGTCCCACATCCCTTGCAGCTGTGACATAATCTTCTGCTTCATCTTTTCCAAGTTTCAGGAAAGTGCATGTTTAGCTTCTCCCCCGGGACATCCCCATTAGATGGTGCGCCAGGAAACAGGCTCTATGTGGGGAAGAACATAATCAATTTCCAGAGTGTACACTCTCCCATTATGGCCTATTTCGAGCTATTTATGACCAGTTTTAACCATCAGGTGGCAATATTCCTGAATATTTAACAGCCTGCTCTCTTGAGCTAGTGTGAGCCAGATACCGCCCACTGACAGAAACAATCAACCCTTAATTGTTTTATAGAGAATTGTGGGTAGACAGTGGAAATGAGTCTTGTGCACATTAAGGAAAAATAAGATTTTATGGCTGACTAGCATGCCTGGTATATATGTAGATGTATGTCTGCAGATATGGATATCAAATTTTCTGTATCCAATATCATCCATTCATGGACACTGAAGTTGATTTCATGACTTTGCTATTGTGGATAGTGCTGTGAGAAACACATGAGTGCAGGTATCTTTTTGTTCTAATCATTTATTTCCTTTTGGGTGGACACCCAATAGTGGGATTGCTGGATCAAATGGTAGTTCTATATTTTGCTCTTTGAGAAATCTCCCATACTGTTCTCCATGGAGGCTGTATAAATTTACATTCCCACCAGCAGTGTATAAGTGTTCCCTTTTCTCCACATCCTCTCCAACATCTGTTGTTGTAGTTGTTGTTGTTTTTAACTTTTTAATAATAGCCATTCTGACTGGTGTAAGATGGCATCTCATTGTTGTTTTAATTTGCATTTCTCTGATGATTCATGATGTTGAGCATTATTTCATGTTTGTTGGCTGCTTGAAATTTTAATTTTTAAGTAATGTTCCAAGTTATTGTTGAATCTATAACAAAAATTATTAGAAGACCCTTCTACAGCCAGGCATGGTGGCTCACTCCTGTAATCCCAGCACTTTGGGAGGCCGAGGTTGGTGAATCACCTGAGGTCAGGAGTTCGAGACCAGCCTGGCAAACATGGTAAAACCCCATTTCTACTAAAAATACAAAAAATAGCCAGGCATGGTTGTATGTGCCTGTAATCCCAGCTACTTGGGAGGCTGAGGCAAGAGAATCACTTGAACCTGGGAGGCAGAGGTTGCAGTGAGCCGAGATTGTGCCATTGCACTCTAGCCTGGGCAACAAGAGTGAAACTCTGCCCCCCACCCCTCCAAAAAAAAATTAGCCAGGCATGGTGGTGCAAGCCTGTAATCCCAGCTACTTGGGAGGCTGAGGCAGGAGAATCACTTGAACCCAGCAGGTGGAGGTTGCAGTTGGCCAAGATCGCACCACCACTGCACTATAGCCTGGGCAACAAGAGCGAAACTCCGTCAAAAAAAACCCAAAAGAACAAAAAAACAAAAACAAACAAACAAACAAAACCCTTCTACAAAGTTACAACCCTTGCTTTCAAAACCTGTACACTTCACTGTTCTTAGAGGGTTATTGCATGAGCAGATAACTGGATGTAAGCCTTTCTTCAAAGTACTAAAAGATGAAGGTGAGAACATTTAAGTGATGTATTTCACACATAAGCTAAAAAGTTAGTTAGCAGTTAACAACTTTCCTATCTCTGTTTCTTTTTGTTTCACCTTTATCATTTTATCAGATGCCTACTAGCTGGCTATTTGTATTTAAATGTTGTCTCTGTTTATGTCAGGTTTTCTTCAATTAAATTATAAGTTTCTTCAGGATAAGATCCAGGTGTCAGGTTTTATCTCCATTCCTAATGGAGCCTAGCACAACACCTCATCCTTGGAAAACGTGGACCCTATGAAAAGCAGATGTTGAATTCCCTGAGGTTGAAAAGGCCCCCATCAAATCCACAAGCCTGCCTTCCCCAACTATTCACAGAAATATTAAAAATTACTCTACTTTTATAATAGAGAATATCAGGTAAAAACATGGTGAGCATAGAATGGGGTTTGTCATCATGCAGAAGTTTCTGTGAGGTCAGTGAATTTATAGGTTACAAGGGGGCCAGGAGGAAGCAGGGAGAAAGGGACAGAGCAAAGGAAGGTGATACCAGGATGATGCCAAGCAAATAAGGCTTTGATACATCCATGAACCCTTGACTTAGGAGGAAGGAGGAGAGTGTGGCCTGAAACTGAAAGCTGATACAAAGCTGGAGGGACAATGTGGTGGAAAGACAAAGGAGTTGAGAGAATGGAGGAGACAGAGGAATCGAGGAGGTTAGACAGTAAATTCACAAATGACCAGATATAACAGAATGGACCTACTCATCCCGTTTTTTTTTTTTTTTGACGGAGTTTCACTCTTGTTGCCAAGGCTGGAGTGTGCAATGCCGTGATCTCAGCTCACTGCAACCTCCATCTCCCAGGTTCAAGTGATTCTCCTGCCCCAGCCTCCCGAGTAGCTGGGATTACAGGTGCGTGCCACCATGCCCAGCTAATTTTTGTATTTTTAGTAGAGACGGGGTTTCGCCATGTTGGTCAGGCTGGTCTTGAACTCCTGACCTCATGATCCATCCGTCTTGGCCTCCCAAAGTGCTGGGATTACAGGCGTGAGCCACCGCGACTGGCCTACTCATTCTTTTAGAAGTAGACACGATCCAGTTAGAAATATACTTACAGGTGGCCGGGTGTGGTGGCTCATGCCTGTAATCCCAGCACTTTGGGAAGCCGAGGCGGGTGGATCATGAGGTCAGGAGGTCAAGACTAGTCTGACCAATATGGTGAAAACCCAAGTCTACTAAAAATACAAAAATTAGCTGGGCCTGGTGGCGCGCATCTGTAGTCCCAGCTACTTGGGAGGCTGAGGTAGGAGAATCGCTTGAACCCAGGAGGTGGAGGTTGCAGTGAACCGAGGTTGTGCCACTGCACTTCAGCCTAGCCAACACAGTGAGGCTCCATCTCAAAAAAATAAAATAAAATAAAATAAATATACTTACAATCTATACTAATAATGATGAAGATTCATATCATAGAATTCTAGAATCCTATGGATAAGAGGGACTTTAAACAAAGAACCCACCATAGTTCACAGATGAAAAGATAGAGTATATAGAAGTTGCTTCAATTCCATTTCATCAAAATACATTGAGTGCTTAATAGATTATAAAAATAATATTATACATGGAAGGGAAAAAGTATCAAAAGGGCCAGATCTTTCCTCAGAGCTTATCATCTCATGAGTATTATAAGTGTGCCAATCAAGGCAAATATAGTAGGTCCTTCAGTTGTGATGCAAACAAATTGTCAGGAATCACAGAATAGAAAAACATCACTTTGGACTCAAGGGGCCCAGAAAATCCACAGAAGAGAGATCTGAGCTAGGTTTAAATGCAAGAGTATTTTATGCAGGATGAGTTGGAAGGGATACTCTCTCTACCTCTTAGCAGATTTCACAGAATAATCAAATTTTGCCACTCAATAATTTTCTCAGGTCTTCTTGCTTAACCGCTCATATTTATCTATTAGGGTGCCACTAGGATTGGCCTTCATAAGTTTATTCTGACAGAGCAATAGGAGAAAATGTCTGCATTGAAGGCACAGCAAGGATGGGGTAGATTGACACATCCAGCAAAGATTGACTCATGGGTAGTGAAGGGCATGAGGACAAAGAGTGAGGCTGGTGTAGATGCTTAGATAAATGAAGAAGCAGATATATAAGGGGCAAGGTGATGGGTTTAATTTGCCCATACAGAATTTATGTATTAAGATATATCTCAGGCCGGGCACGGTGGCTCACGCCTGTAGTCCCAGCACTTTGGGAGGCCAAGGCAGGCGGATCACCTGAGGTCAGGAGTTCAAGACCAGCCTGGCCAACATGGTGAAGCCCCATCTTTACTAAAAATACAAAAAAATTAGCTGGGTGTGGTGGCAGGCACCTATAATCCCCGCTACTTGGGAGGCTGAGGCAGGAGAACCGCTTGAACCTGGGAGACTGAGGTTGCAGTGAGCTTAGACTGCGCCATTGCACTCCAGCCTGGGCAACAAGAGCTAAACTTCATCTCAAAAAAAATAAAAATAAAAAAGGTATATCTCCTTGTCAATGACTACTATATATGTGTTGTTTCAGTTCTTCTTTTGTTTCTCAGTGATCCAAACAACTTTTAATCAACATTTGATTTGCATTCCTGCAGGAATAACTTGATTTCAGAATATCTTCAACCTGAACACTTTTCTTATGTTGCACCAACAAATTGGCCAAAAATCTTAAAAATCCTAAAACAAATCTCTATCAAGTCTCTAAGAAAAAAAAAGTTATTTTTCTGTTACTTTTCTTCATTATCCTAAAGAGAAAAAGGACACATGATTATAGTAGAATCATAACTTCAAGCTTAACAAAGTTCTAAACACATTGACTGAATTTAGAGGATTTTTGGTTTTCCGTAAATGGAAAACACTTCCAAATAACACTCCTACTTCAATTGGGAGTGTGAGAGACATTCTACATGGCTTTTAATCCTTCTTGGAATCTGCCAAAAAAAAAAAAAAATCAACTAAATTCCTCACTTCCATAGTATTTTGGTAATAGAATGCTATAAAAAAAGTAATAGCCAGCATTCTATTACAAGCTGTCTCCTAGTTCACTTTAGTGTCTAAATAAACAAAAGTCTTGTCAAAAGATCATTTTTAACTCAATGCTATCGCAGTGCAGAATGAACTTGCAGCAGACATAGCTAATATAGGATTCAAAGGAGATACAAGATTTCCCCTTAGAAAGCTTTGTATTTCCCAACAGAAGCAGCATGGGACTAGAAGTCAACTGTAACCTAATAAGTTTGCCAAATATAAACACACAGAATATAAGAGGGGTGGTGTATTACTGAAAATACAACTTAATGTGTTAAAAATGTGGATTGATATCAAACCTGAAAATAGAACTTTGAGTCTTTATACTTACTTCCTCTGAATTTAAAATATTTTATTGATGATTTAAAAATCATAGAAAGCGAAACTTTTGTAGTAATAACTACTGAAAGCCACCTTATATTTCATTTCTTGAAACTGATCTCATTTGATAACTGAAGCACTTTTTAGTCCAGATTCTCCTGCCTGTTATTTTTCCTTTTTTCTTTCTTTTTCTGGATTTTTCTCTCAAGCTTCCAATTTATAAACTATAAGTATTTCCTAAAGATTTAGAACCCAACAGTCTGCTCCTACCTCATTCCTTTTCATATTCTTAGTATTAAATACAGATGAGTGGTTTTTAACTTCATGACTCATTTCCATTTATTTGACACATAAACCTGTATCTGCAATTCATATTTCCTTTCTACCAGTCACTCACTAATCTTTTTGCTGTCCAGATGGTCCATCACCATTCTAAACTCCACATGCCTCAGCACCATGACTTAGTCCCATTTCTTAGCAGAGACAAGTACTTCTCACATTTTTTTTTTTTTTCTGAGACAGACTCTTGCTCTGTTGCCCAGGCTGGAGCACAGTGGCACAATCTCGACTCACTATAACCTCCCCATCCCAGATTCAAGCAATTCTCCTGCCTCAGCCTCCCAAATAGCTGGGACTACAGGCGCCAGCCACCATGCCTGGCTAATTTTTGTATTTTTAGTAGAGATAGAGTTTCACCATATTGGTCAGGCTGGTCGAGACCTCAGGTAATCCACCTGCCCCAGCCTCCCAAAGTGCTGGGATTACAGGCATGAGCTACCACGCCCAGCCACTTCTCACATTTTATATCACCAAGAAGAAAAAGATTTCACCGGTGTTCTTTCTTAATTACTTCCATTGCTTGGAATAGCCTAGCCCTTTTGTATGGACTTTCATCATGAATATTTTACTCCTCTAAACTACCTTGAATAGTTCTGCTAAATCATGTTCTTAAAATACTGGTTTTACGATAGCACCACTAAATTAAAAACTTTTTAAAGACTCTTCAGTAGCTAGCCTATAGAACTGATGAGCTGTCAGCAGCCACAGCTTGATCTGTGTCCTTTAAGGTTGTATTATACAGTCTTGTCTAAGGCCAGCACCCCACCTCCTAGCCAGAAGGCGGTCCCCTGCTCTTTCCGTCCACATAAACTCTACCAGTTTTTCAGAAAGCCCTGTTTTTCTGTAGTATCTTTTCTAACATCACCAATTCTTCTGTGCATTTGCAGTGGAGTTGGCTGACTTGTTAATTATACCTAGGAACACTGGTTGTACTTAGTTTCTAATGTGCCTCTCTTGGCTTTTCAATTTAAGTATATATATTGCACATGCAGGAATTGTGAAGAAATATTGTGTGTACCCCATAATGAAACCAGTGTCATGCACACAGTGGGTATGTAACAAATATCTATTCAATACATTTAATTGAAATCAACACACATTTACAAAGTTTCTATTAGAGTCTACTTACATGGACATACAGAAAAATAATTTGAAGCCCCTACACTTAAGGTTTTATAATTCATGGAAACACAACTTCATGGAGAAAAATATAAAAGAAAAAAATTGGTCATAGTTCTATAGATTTTTGGTTATCTGAAATCCACTTGGAGTATGCAAATTTCTCTCTGTAATGATTAGAAAATTATATAAGTTAAATTGATTATCTGTAGTAGACAGATCATTGGCCTTCTCGTATTGCACTTGCAATTTCAATACATTCCAATGGTGAGCACCTGTGACTCTCTGCCTGAAGGGTTTCTTTTTTTTTTGAGACTGAGTCTCACTCTGTTGACCACGGCTAGAGTGCGGTGGTGCAATCTCAGCTCACTGCAACCTCCACCTTCTGAGTTCAAGTGATTCTCCTGCCTCAGGCTCCCAAGTAGCTGGGACTGCAGGCATGCACCACCACACCCGATGAGATTTTGTATTTTTAGTAGAGACAGGGTTTCACCATGTTGGCCAGGCTGGTCTCAAACTCCTGACCTCAGGTGATGCACCCTCCTTGGCCTCCCAAAGTGCTGGGATTACAGGCATGAGCCACTGTGCCCAGCCTGCCTGAAGGGTTTCTTAGGTCCCCCAGAACCTATTAGGGCAGGAGTGTGCACTCCAGAAAGGTCAGGAAGTTAACTTTCCAGGAAGCCAACCTCGACCAATGAGCATCAGGAGTCAGTGTTTAAATATCCCCCAGTTTTGGCTCCCTGGGAGGAACAACTGTTCTACTTTTCTTAAAGATCCCAGCAGGATATAATCCCAGTTGTCCTTAGTACTAGCCCCTTCCAAATCCTTCCTTCTTCTCTCGTCTACTTTCTCACTCTGTTTCCAATTCAGGGGGTCACTTCCCGTGGAACTTACAAGCATCCAAAAACTCATCTTAGGTTGTGCTTCTAGGGAAGCCCCACCAGAGACATTGTGTACATCACAGAGTGGGGCCAATTTAATAGAGCCGGCAGTTAGAGATGGTGTTCCATATGAGTGCCTTCATGTTTTCTGAACCTGGCCCTTATCCAAAAACTACAGTATTTTTTTTTTCTTCTGAGGGTATATTGAAATGTACAAGAACTTGGTCTCTGTGGTCAGAATAGCATTTGCTGAAATCCTGGTTCTACCTTGTACCTTAGGTAACTTTGTTAAACTCCTTTAAGATCAAGTATCCTCATAGGTAGAAGAGGAATAATGATGATCTCTACCATACAGGGTTGCAATGAGGATTAAATAAAAATATGCATATGAATAATTTAGCATGGTGCTGGGCACAGGAACAATAAATGTTAATTGCTAGTTTTATCAAAGAATTTAAAGCATCCTGAAGCACCTTTCATCTTGAAAGCATAGAATGCTTCAGAATGCGGTGATTTTTATACTAAGAAATTCAACTTCAGATTGATGCCTTAGAACATAAATTGTTGGAAGCCCATATATACTCAGAGCAGTATATTCTTCAAAAGCTTGTCTGTGACCGATTATTTGAAGGTGATGGTTGAATCTGATGGCAGCAGAGTGCTGGGGGCTGAATGTGGGTTCCACAAATATAATCCTGAGCAATTTCTGAAAGCCCTACAATGAATCATTGTTAAGATTCCCAATTTAATAAAATAATTCTGTGAGTGTATTGCACAGAATAAATATTTAGACAATCAATCATTGGCACTTTGAGATTCAAATACTTTATATTACAATTGAGGTTACAAAATATGTTTAAGGAAATATTAGAGATTGTTTACTTCAGATAAATATTTTCCACAGAGACATAAATTGGCTGGAGATTTTTCATGGAAAAACAGATTCCATTTATTTTTCTCTTAGTGATATGAACTTTTGTTCCTTTTTCTGTTATTATTTCTGGGTGGGTACAGAGCTCATGATTTATGTGAGAAGCTATTGGAATATCACACAAGAAATTGTTGGAAAATATTTTAGTCTAAAAGTTGTTGTAACAACATTCCGAAACAAGAAAGATTTTAGTATAATTGAGAGATTTTTCTTTTGTTTTCATTAGATAGCTTAATGAAATACTTCATTGGTTTCATGGAAATCAGAGATGCCAAGGTCTCTCCCACATCTTCTGTGTAATCTTCCTTCCAACACTGAATATTTCATCAAGTTTTCCTTCAATTTTTAGTTCATGCTATCAAAACACCTCCTTTCTCCTTTAACTTCATTCTATAATTCAGATTGTGCTGCAAATATTATTGCTTTCAAATGAATCTCTAGGCTGGGCATGGTAGCTCACACCTGTAATCCCACCACTTTGGGAGGCCGAGGTGGGCAGATCACCTGAGGTCAGGAGTTCAAGACCAGCCTGGCCAACATGATGAAACCCCGTCTCTACTAAAAATACAAAAATCAGCTGGGCATGGTGGTGCACACTTGTAATCCCAGCTACTCAGTAGGCTGAGGCAGGGGAATTGCTTGAACCTGGGAGACAGAGGTTGCAGTGGGCCAAAATCGCTCCCCTGCACTCCAGCCTGGGTGACAGAGTAAGACTGCATCTCAAAAAAGAAAAAGAAAAAGAAAAAAAAAAGCCTCTATATATTAATAAATATTTTTAATGTTTGCTTTTCTCCCAGTATAAAGAAAGTTAAGTGTTGAAATAGAGAATTAAATAGGCAGATAAACAAAGATATGATTAAACTATTTCTTCCATAGTCAAATATTGGGAGGGGTCAAAATATTTTAAGATATTCCCTAACTATAAGTAAATAAAACATAGATATGTGACAAATGCATGCTGAGGACAAAGAGGTACAGACCCAAGAAGAGAACATGCCACCAGCGACCTCATTGGCAGTCATTAGGCGCAGACCTCTCTGTTACCCGTATTTTTTTTCTGGCTGCTCTAGGTGTCTGCCTGTTTCTGTTGTGCTTCTATGATCTGTTTCTTACAGCTGGGTCTCTCTCATCTATTGACTTTGCAGTGAAAAGACTTGGGTCCCAACAATAAGAAGAGTTAAGTGTTTTAGGTGATGGATATCCCAATTACCCTGATTTGATCATTGTATATTGTATGCATGTATCAAAATGTCACAGACCCCTGAGATATTTACAACTATCATGTATCAATTAACAAATTTTTAAAAATTAAATAAAAAAAAAGACAAGACAGATTCAAATCAAGGCTCTGGCACTTAACTATTTGTGTGACCTTCACATGCTAATTAAACTCATAGAGCACCAGTATGTAATTCTGTTAAAAATGAGGCTAGTAATCTACTCACAAAGTTCTGGTGAGAAGTAAATGTAATGATGTAACAGAGTCTAACATGACACCTGGGAGAAACTCAAGAAATATTAGATGCATTCTCCCTCTTGCCCACTGTGGAGCACGATGTGGCAATATAACCTTTAATTATATTCTCCCTGAAGATAGCTGTTTTGTAATTTTATTGTTTCCCTGATAGTAACTAAGAGACATTTGAGACTAAATGCCTCCACTTTCTGTTCCTTATCCTATGGACCACCTTCCTTCATCCTATGGCCGACCTTCATCCAATCACCCTTGCTTTTGGGAAGAAACAAGTCAAACAGTAAGTTTTCCAGGATTACACAAACATATAGTAAAATAATGTGAGTATGTGGAAAAATAGACTTAGAACTTGGAGTCTAAAATTCAAGAACAAGATCATGAATTCTCTAAGCCTTAGTCTTCTTGTCTTTAAATGGAAACAATGCTTTTCCTATCTTCCTCCAAAAGTATTTTAGTATCAAATTAAATCCTTTGATATGAACATATTTTAATGTATTTCAAACAATGTACACACACAAGTTTATGAAATTTACATTCAAAGCAAACCACACAAGTTAGCCAATGAAGATTTCACACTAGGACAACCATGAAAATATGCAGAATACAGGGGCTCCCGCTCCCCTATATCACACAAATTTCTGACTCCTGAAGGCCCTAACGTGGAACAAGGTAGGCAAGAAGCAAAAAGCAGGGGATTATTTCAAACAAAAGGACGAGTGTTAATGGAACTGAGAGTGGAGACTCAACTCCAGCAGTGAAAATATGAAAAAAAAGATGGATTTTGTGGCCACTGGAATCTCTTAGCAGGCAGAGACTAACAATATCTCAAGGATATGTAAGCTGAAAGCAGTACATATTAAAATCCAAAGTGATTTGTTTGCACTGACTCATTAAATCCATCATCAACTAGCTGATGACTCAAAAATCCCACTCACAACTTCTCATCTTTGTCCATTAGTAGGTGTGGCTGCAGCAAGCACTCAGTAGCACAGACAGTGCTGGTAGTGTTGACGTCTTGATGGGATGGAAGTTTTCTGTTGATTCTCAGCCATGTCTTTATTTTTATAGCAGCCATCTGGACGCCAACAGTGCTAATATACTGCAAATCCTCTTCTTTTCATCCATGCCATTAAAGAGAGAAAACACAACATACGCACACCACACATATCCTTTCCTTTGAGTAGTTCTATGTAGGCGTGGTGAGAAATGCCTACAGGCAGGTACCAGAAGTGAAAAATCATCCTCTATGAGAATTTCTATTTCAAGGTAGAGTGCGGGACAACCAGGTCTAATGTGCTTGGACAGTGCCAGAACCGGCAAGTCAGAGAGAATGGAGCTTTGCTGAGGCATAGAGTATGAGGGAGAAATAATTTTTCAGCTGTGGAGGGTCAGAAGGCAGCCCAAGCGCACAAAGTGCACAGCGGTACTGCCAGTTATACAGTTTAAAACACTCTTTAAAGGTTCCACTCTTTTTCTGTTATCAAGGAAAATAAGATATGGGGGAGGGGGTTAGCGGCTGGCAATTAGACAGAGGAAGGAGAAGCTGGATATTTGCTTTGAAAGTGATGACTTTTTAGGTGAAGAAAATTTCATCATTTTGGTACATATTTGATTTCTTTAAACCAGCCTTAATCAATCAGTAAAGACATGGCATCCTTTCTAAGCTTCCCCTGCAATCAGGAATAAAATATTACAAATTCATTATTATCACAATAAAATTTAAAAATTGGAAGTCACATACAAACCTGAATGACAGAAAAGCTATTTGATGTATTTTAACAGCGAGATAATGCATTTACAAAGCAACATATTTTCCTATGTTGAGTTCCTTCAAAATTAAATTTATGGACCAGTCATACATTCCAAAAGTGGAAGGTCACTGTGATGTCTAAGTGTATCATATGACTTCAGGGGTTCAGACATGGCAATTCTTTCTCCTGATGCATTAATTGTATAATTGGAGAGGGTAAGTATTAAATATCAAAAATCAGTATATTTATCTTAATTTTGGATATATTTTGAATTATTTACTGACAATTATAGTTTCAAGTAGAAAAGCATAGAAGTGTTTGTTAATGATTCTGGAACACAAAGCCAAGACAACTTCGTATAGTTACCAAAAGGGACAGCAGTTTGGCATATGTCAGCTTCTGGCTCCAACTGGTCTAAGTGGAAAACACACACACACACACACACACACACACACACTGCCTGCAAAGAAAGTAGTGATCCTGGTCCTGCTATGAGCTGAACATTGAATTTTATGCAAATCAGCTCAGTTTCCTTGTCTGGAAACTTGCAATTTACTATCCCCATATCTATTCTACCTACCTCAAACAACAGATATGAAAAGAAGTTACAAACTTATATAGAAGTGGACTGAAAAATAAAGCAAGTTCTACTAGAGAACAGCTACAGAAGGTTCTATTATGATTATTTATTTGGTTTAATGACTCACAGGAATCGTGCTCACCATGGCTTCATGGCAGAGCTGTAACATTTTTCCTGGTCCTGAGCCCACTTTGACTTGGATGCTCTGCAGTCTGGGTTTTTATGGCAGAGACGTTCTGACTCTAGGTGAAGTGAGATGTGAATTTGGATATTTTTTGCAGTTTTCCACAGAAGAGAATTGACCTTTTCAAAACATCAGCCCAGTTCTTTAAAAAGTGGATGCTATTTCTTCTATTATGGGATTCAATCACTTTCCCAGGCAATGAAATAATTGTAGCATGGCATTTTATCAGGAGATGGAGCTAGCTCTCTTGATTTTTCTCAAACAAGTGACAAAAGGTTTTGTAAAAGGTCAGATCACTTTGTGAGACACTCAGTCAAAGAAATAAGAACAAATCTAGGCCACTTTGGGTCGATGAGAGGCCTGATAATTTTTGGAGCACAGAGAAAAAGAAAAATAACCAATCCAACAAAATGGAGCAACATGGAATGTGGTGAAAATAAGGATGATTTTTCCTGCATGTACCCTCTTTATCCCTGTGGGCAATGTCCCTTCTGTATGGCTCAGCTTTCCATTATGGGTGACCATTTGGACAGTGAGCAATATCTCTGTATCACATGGGCTAACAAGCTGAAGTAACAGAATATTCTAGAAGCCTCGGCAGGAGTTGTATGGTAGACTGAGGGAGATCGAGACATAATGATGATATCATCCAGACCCTCTTCCTCCCTTGTTGAGCTTCATGGTGTTCTTCCTGGACTCCATTCCCCACTTAAAAATTCACTATTGGAAAGATATGAGATGAGTGACAAACGGCTGTAAGTACACAGGACAGCCCAGATGGCAGGTAGGAGAGTGGGGGCTCTGACATAAGAACTAAATGCATCTTACATGTGTGGAGGGAGTGCTGTGTATAACTGGGAACTCCCCTCCCCAGGGACCTGAGACAGTAGAGCAAAGAAGAATACTAGCATTCTCCTGTTTAGGGCCTGCTTTGTCCATTAGAAGGAGAAAGAATAATTCATTCTAACAAGTATTTCAGGCTTTCAGAACATGCTCTTTTAGAATTTGTTTAAATAATCAGTTTCATAGGTCTTTGAAAGTCATACAGAGCAAATAAAATAATTCTGCCTACTGTTCTCTCAGCTTTCCATGTGGGTTTTTGCTATGAGTTGTTACCTAATAACAAAATCTGTAGGATTTTGCTAAACAGACACATTATTCCACTACCAATGAAATTAATAAGAGTTTGAAACACATGCTTACGATACCATTATTGTTATTAATTCCCTAATAGACTGATCGATCACTTTCGATTAGGTGATTTTTTTATTGTTGTCTGTATTGTTCTTTTTATCGCCGACACCTACCAATGTACCTGATATGGCAATAGAAACTAAATAGATGTTTGTTGATAAATGAATAAACCCTTAACTATGTGTGAGACAATATAACAGGTGCCCATATAGAGGACGTGCACTTATATCTTTATATTCAGTGTCTTTATCTAGGAAATGAGAATGTTTGGACCTATTGTAGCTACCACACAGAGTTGGTCTAAAAACCAAACTCTAAATCTAAAAGGAAGTTCATTGAAAAATTAAAAGTGTTCTAAAATAAAATATGTCATTGTCCAGCAATTACATGACCATATTATGAATCATAGTGATGTCCCCCAAAACCTCATTGCATCTGTCAAAGTTGATTCCCATAGATGCTGGTCCTTTCCCAGATGGCACTATGTTAAAGAAGTCTTCATCTCAGTTCAGTTCTCATTTTTTTTTTTTTTTTTTTTGAGACAGAGTCTTGCTCTGTCGCCCAGGCTGGAGTGCAGTGGTGAGATCTCGGCTCACTGCAAGCTCCGCCTCTCGGGTTCACGCCATTCTCCTGCCTCAGCCTCCTGAGTAGCTGGGACTTCTGGCACCCGCCACCATGCCCGGCTAATGTTTTGTATTTTTAGTAGAGACAGGGTTTCACCATGTTAGCCAGGATGGTCTTGATCTCCTAACCTCGTGATCCACCCGCCTTGGCCTCACAAAGTGCTGGGATTACAGGCGTGAGCCACCACACCCGGCCCAGTTCTCATCTTAATCTAAGGCACTGTATTCTAAAGAACAAGTCTACAACCAAGCTACTTGTTCATGTAATCATCTGGGAGTGGAAGATGGTCCACAAAGATAAATTTACAAATCAAATAGTGGTTATGAAATGTGCTGCCACAGGAAGACTCTTAGGAAATGCAAAAATAAGATAGGCTAAGGAAAATCAAAACAAGTAATCAGTTGAAATAAAGGGCATTGTGTGAAAACATAAGAAAAAGGAGTAACATGCTATGAGGATTTAATAGAAAGATAAGTAAATAACTCCATGGCAAGAAACTGGAATTAAACAATAGCAATTTCCCTCACAGGTCACACTCAAAACGCTGTTAACCTTTATCTCCTGTGCTGACTGAGACAGGAAGAAAGAAAAAAGGGAGCAGTCTGGAATGAATGAGAAACACAAAGAATGACTAGGCCAAAAAGGGAGAAGCTGGCAATACCTAAGGATAAACGGCAGAGAAGTTCAAGTGTGTAAACTCATGAGTAAATCCATGTAGGGGCCCTAGGGAGGAGAACTCTAGCTCTCATCTCAGACCTCCTGAAAGCAGCCATCAGTGTTATTTTAGTCTTGTTTTTGATGGCAAACCCTTACTGTTGCCCAAGGTCATGACCTTCAAGGGGGCAGTAGTTCACTAATATCCACTGGAGATGAGAATGGTTTGCAGACCTGTAATTAGAATAAAATGTGTAGAGATTTTTTACACGGGTTGTCCCAAAAGTGACTTTTTCTCCAGACACAACCCGGTAAGTGTTTTTCTGATGCCTACTTTTTCATTATAATGATGCCTCAGGGAATCCATGAAGGAAAAAGAAATTCAATCTGGCTATGAGTAAGAGTGCTGCTAGAAGAGCTTAACATTCTTTAGCACTTTTTTCTCCCTCAAAAAGGAAACAATGGACTTAAGTGTTTTTAAAAATGTGCTGACTTCTATCAGGGTTTTCGGATAAACTGATAGGAAGGCTACGGCTCCTAGGCCTTGCCCACTGGGCTTGGAGAGAAAATTCTCCCCAAGTTGGGTCCCCTCCTCTAAACAGGATTCAGTTCAAGGAGCTAGCCTCCCCTAGATCTCCTCCAAGTGGATGCACTCAGATGAGAGGCGCTGGTCTCACCATGCTCCCCTACTCCAGGACCTCCCCTGAAGGCCTGGCCTCATGGGTCCAGCCGAGAGGAACTCTACACAGTTATTTCTGGCCAAGAGTCATTGGCTCCAACCCAGCAAGAAAATATTTCCTGATTCTTTTTTATTTTCAAGCTAAGGTCAAAAGAACTTTAGAATCCAACAGAGGGTTTTCCAGTATCTTTCACTTGTTCTGTGTGCAGGACAACAGCTTGAAGGAAAGGAGGGTTCCTGTTCTCACTTTGACAGATGGCATGTCACACCTCAGAAAAAGGGGCTGAGCAGAGCTATCACAGGCACTGTGAAATTATATGAATAATCAAAATGTTTTCTTTGAGTGGCCATACAATGACTTTCTTGTGAAAAAGTCAGAGACTAGTCGGGAAATGTACTCAAGAGTCTAGACTCTTTCAGCTACCACTTATTTAAAAGAGGAAGGAAGGCCAGGCGCGGTGGCTCACGCCTATAATCTCAGCACTTTGGGAGGCCGAGGCGGGTGGGTCAGGAGTTACAGACCAGCCTGGCATATGGTGAAACCCTGTCTCTACTAAAAATACAAAAATTAGACAGTCATGGTGATGTGCGCCTGTAATCCTAGCTACTCTGGAGCCTGAGACAGGAGAATTGCTTGGAGACAGAAGAATTGCTTGAACCCAGGAGGTGGAGGTTGCAGTGAGTTGAAATCGCACCACTGGACTCCAGCCTTGGCGACAGAGTGAGAATCCATCTCAAAAAAAAAAAAAAAAAAAAAAGCAAGGAAATGAGGGTGCAGGAGTGGGGAAAGTAGTGGTAGGGTGGGAGCTGAAAATTGTCCTGGTTCGGAAACAAATTGGTCTTAGGGAAATGCAAGTCAGAATGACAATGAGATACCGCTTCACACCCATTAGCATGGCTGTGATTAAAAAACTAACAACCAAACAAACGAAAAAACAGAAAATAAATATTGGTGCAGATTGGAGAAATGTGAATCCTCTACATAGGTGGTGGAGTGTAAAATGGTGCAGCTGCTGTGGAAAACAGTAAGGCTATCCCTCAAAACACTAAATATAGAATTATCACGTGACTTGGAAATGCCACTGCTGAGCACGTGCCTCAAAGAATTGAAAGCAGAGACTTGGGCAGATATCTGTATACCCATGTTAATAGCAGCATTACTTAATAATACCCAAAACAATCCAAATACTCATTGATAGATGCACGGATAAACAATATATGGTAAATAGGCATATTGAAATATTATTCAGCCTTAAAAGAGGAGGAATTCTGAAACATGCTACATGAAAGAACCTTGAAAACAACATGCTAAGTGACACAAGCCAAACACAAAAGGAAATAGGTTGTATGAGTCCGTTTATGGGAAGTATTATGCCTAGCATAATCATATTTCTAGAGACAAAAAGTAGAATGGAGGTTGGAAAACTGAATCATAACAGTTTTCCAAATGTACAGCCCTCTGGAGGGAAGGGGAAATAGGGAGTTATTGTTTAATGTGTACAGAGCTTCAGTTTGGGAAGAAAAAAATTCTGAAGATGAATGGCGGTGATGGTTGGATTATAGTGCAAATGTACTTAATGCTACTGTACTATATGCTTAAAATGGTAAATTTGATATCCTTTAATGTGGTATATTTTTGCTAGATATACACACACAGATTTGGTAGCTTCACCAAAAGCAGAGTTTCTCCACTGCCGTTTATATACCAATGCCACCCTCGGGAATCTTCAGTTATGACATTTCTATGTTCAGTATCCTCCACCAGGCAGCAAGCAGCACTCACACACATTTGATAAGGAAGGCCTCATTCTCTTTGCCCTGCCAAGAAAAAATTGAGAGCAAGACTGTAGAAGATACAATTCCACTGTTTAAAGAACTTTCAATACAAATATATATCTAAATATTTGAATAAATCACATTACTGTCATGATTTTAAATGTACATTGATATGTAATGTTTTTCCCCACAGAAGACCTGTGGCTCAATAGAACAGGAAATAGGGTCCCCTCTATAAAGATGAAGGCTCTATAGACTGAAAGCTCTTTGGTAATGCAACTAGGAAGAGAGTAAAGGGACTGAAATTTAGTTTCCAACTATATTACTATATTCCACAGTGTCTTATTTCGTATGGGAAGGCTGAGTTAAACAGTTGCATAGGGTAAGCCAGAGATTTAAATCAAGCCACAGGATTAATTTCCTTAAATTGCAGGCTGCATTGAGGACAACCTTATAAATATCATCTATTTTATTCCTCACCGTAATCTCAGTGCTTAGAAAGATACCTGGCACAAGGTGGATGTTCAGCAAATATTTACTGGCACAATTAAGGGACCTTAAGCTTTACATTTTCTGAGAGAAGAACACTGTTGTTATATGGAAAATTAACTATAAGATAAGGTCTTCAGAACTGTAGGCTTGTTTCGATTTTGGAAAATAACATTCATACAGAAAAAATGTATAAATCATATATGTAAGTTGTAATCAGTAAAGGGAATGGGAAAAATTTTAAAAAACACTTTAAACAGGTCAAAATAATGAGAACATGACAAACATCCCAGAACCTGCCTTCGTCCTCCTTATCATCACCTCCTCCTCCATGTCCCCTGGAGCCAAACACTTTCCTAATGTTACAATAATTGCCTTCTTCTTTGGTTTTATATTTCCACTGCCTGTGTGTATCTCATTAAACACTGTATTTTAGGCTGGGCGCGGTGGCTCACGCCTGTAATGCCAGCACTTTGGGAGGCCGAGGTGGGCGGATCACGAGGTCAGGAGATCGAGACCATCCTGGCTAACATGGTGAAACACCATCTCCACTAAAAATACAAAAAATTAGCTGGGCATGGTGGCTTGCGCCTGTAGTCCCAGCTACTGGGGAGGCTGAGGCAGGAGAATGGTGAGAACCTGGGAGGCGAAGCTTGCAGTGAGCCGAGATCGCCCCACTGCACTCCAGCCTGGGAGACAGCGAGACTCCGTCTCAAGAAAAAAAAAAAAAAAACACTGTATTTTAGTTTCCTTCGTTTGGAGTTCCATCTGAATGGAATTGTGCTATGTATATCACACTATCTGTTGCTTCCTCTGATTGACCTATGTCTGTGACATTCACCTCTGTTGTAGGTACTAAGGAGCAGTTTTCTATTTTTTGTGTAACATTCCACTGTATGACTATCACTTAATATTTTATCTATCATAGCATTAGAGAGCTTTTAGACTTCTTCCCATGTTGGGCTCTTGTGAAAAATGCTGCTATGAACATTATTTCATATTATTCATGATGTGCATACTTCAAGGGTCTATCCAGGGCGTATTCCCAAGAGTGCAGTTGTTAACTCATGATATATATCTTCAGATTATTAAATAACAACAGTTTTCCAAGGCACTTGTATCTGCTTAAAGTTTCACAAGCAATGAATGAGAGTTACTTTACATCCTGGCCGATATTTTAATTGTATGTAATTTTGTATTTTAGGGTTTTAATTTGCATTTGGTGATTATTAATACTTTTATTACATACGTCATATTTGCATACACATATGTTTAATGTATTTGTGTGTACTATATATGTGTGTATATATTTATATATATAAATTTGTGCATGTGTAAGTGCATATAATTTGGGTCTTTTATAAAAAGTATCTATTCAAGTTTTTGTCCAATGTTTTATGGGGTTATCTGTTTTTCTTTTTGTTTGTAGAAGTTACTTATAGATACTGAAAACTAATCCATTGTCAGTTTTATATAAAACAAATGTCTTTTCTGAATTGATATTTTGCCTTTTTTACTCTCTTAATGGTGACTTTTGATGAATACAAGATTCTAATTTTAAGTCACAAATGTATCAATCTTTCATATCATAACTTGTGCTTTCTGTGCAGAACAAGGGAATTATCATACTCTCTTATATTACATAGTACATGAAAGCACTAATTATGATAGAAAAGACATTATATAGATTTGTGACATCAAAATTAGAATCTCTATTCAACGTGAAAGGAAAAACAGAGAAATGTTTAGTATATAATATAATCCTGAAATTGCTTTATTTGGCTGGGGTGAGATACTGTATCTTTTTCTAAATGAGTATTCAGTTATCAGCACTACTTATTCAAGAGTCAATTTTCCCATTTCTGACTTCATATTATGTATTATATTATCTGCTTAAGACTCTCTACTCATTCACTTCAACACAGAGTGTTCTGTAGGTCAGGCACTGCTCACCAATAAACAATGCAGAACATGTGGAATGACTTTCTGCCCTCATGGAGTGTGTGCATTTGTAAGAAGAATCAGATAGCAAACAATGGACATAGTAAATAAATAAGTTGTTCAAATATATATGTATTTTGAGAAAGGGTCTCGCTATGATGCCCAGGCTGGTCTCCAACTCCTGGGCTCAGATATCCTCTTGCCTCAGCCTCCCAAGTAGCTGGGACTAAAACAGGGACCACAACGCCTAGCCTCTGTTTAAATATTATAGGATGATAAGTACTATACAAAAAGAGAAAAAGTAGTCCTGGGGAGGAACAGAGGGGTTGAGTAGTTTTCAATTTAAATTGGATTGGTCAGAGTAAGTGCATTGAAAAGTGATCATCAAGCGAAGCGCAGTGGCTCACGCCTGTAATCCCAGCACTTTGGGAGGCTGAGGCAGGCGGATCATGAGGTCAGGAGATCGAGACCATCCTGGCTAACACGGTGAAACCCCGTCTCTACTAAAAATACAAAAACATTAGCCGGGCGTGGTGGCAGGCACCTGTAGTCCCAGCTACTTGGGAGGCTGAGGAAGGAGAATGGTGTGAACCTGGGAGGCTGAACTTGCAGTGAGCCAAGATTGCACCACTGCAGTCCAGCCTGGGCGACAGAGCGAGACTCCATATCAAAAAAAAAAACAAAAAAAGAAAGAAAGGTGGTCATCAAAGAGTGAATAAGATGAGGAAGTTATTATAGCAGTATGGGCATCCAAAAGAAGAGCATTCGCAGTGACTAGGCCTACAGGCAGCTGCAGACCTGGCAGATTAATGAGACAGCAAAAAGACCAGTGATATTAGTAGGAGCAGAGGCCACAAAATGATGGGACAGGTTTTGCAAGGTTCTAGGGCATCATAAGGACTTTAAGCCATTGCAGAGAGGAGCAATCAGATTTATGTTTCAAAGAATCCTTCTGGCAGCTGGTTGAAGAAAAGACCGGGTCTGGGGTAAAAAGGAAAGCAGGGAGATCAATTAGGGGACGATTGCAGAAGTATATGTCAGATATGATCACAATTCTGACCAGATGGTTCAAATGGACGTAGGAAAGAAGAGGTCAATGCTGTGTATTTTAAAAGTAGAGTCAACAGAATATATAACTAGATTGATATGGCATATGAAAGAAAAGGATGAGTAAGAGTGAGCCTGGGTTGGTGTTTGGGAGAATGATTAGAAATCTAATGTTGGATACATGAAGTTTTAGTTGCTCATTGGGCCTCCAACTGGAAATACTGAAAATATATAGAGACGGTTGAGTCTCTAGTGCCAGAGAAGGGTGTGGGTTTCACATACAAATTCCTCATCCTATTCAATTTCTCTTTCCCTGAAGCAAATCTACATTTTCTTAAATACCTAGCTGTGTAAGTACAGTAAGACATTACATGTGAAAAGGCATTCCTCCCATCTTATGTTTTCTTCTCAAGAGCATCTTAACTATTCATGGCCCTTTGCATGCCCATAAAAATCTTCAAATAAGCTGGTCAAGTTTCATTTAAAAGCAAAAACAAAATGGGCAAAACCTCCTGATACTTTCAACGTAGTTGCTTTTAATCTATACCTCATTTTTGAGAAAATCAACAATTTAATAGTTTGGAGACTTCTGATCTTTGAGTATGGTTTCCCTCTCAATATTTGTAGGTCTTATTTAATATCTCAATGACATTTTATAATCTTTTCTGTAGACAATTTTTCCTGCTTTTGTAAAAGTTCTATAATCTCTATCCCTTTAGTATTTGCTGATATGTAGAAATACAATTGATTTTTGCTTAATAATTTATTTCCCAATAAACTTGCTAAAATAATTTGCACTTCCAGATTTAATATTTAAATAATTCTAATTTATAATTCTACTTTGTTCATAATAATAATATTCTTCTAGAGATCCTCTTACAACTTTTTTGCTCTTTTTTCCTTTATCATCCTGTTTCCTTTGTGCTTGAAGGAAGGGGAAGTTATTGCAATGGTTAATATCTGCAATAAACTATTGAGCTGAAATGGTGGTATCGGGCACCTTTGTCTTGATTCAATCCCAAAAAGAATACTGTCAATATTTTAGTGATAGGTACAATGTTAGCTGTAAGGTTTTTATAGATATGTTCTATTGGAAGAAGAAAGTTCAGTTCAATTATTTGTTTACTGTGAGGTTTTTGTTTTTACCATGGATGGATTTTGAATTTTACCCTATGTTTTTCTATGTTTGTTGAGATAATTTTAGGATTTTTATCTTTCTACTCTTAACATGATAATTACATCATTTTTAATATAAAAAATTCTACATTCCAGCTGGGCATGGTGGCTCACATCAGCGGAGGCTGATGTGGGTAGATCACAAGGTCAGGATATCAAGACCATTCTGGCTAACACAGTGAAACCCCATCTCCACTAAAAATACAAAACATTAGCTGGGCATGGTGGGAGGCACCTGTAGTCCCAGCTACTTGGGAGGCTGAGGCAGGAGAATGGCATGAACCTGGGAGGCAGAGGTTGCAGTGAGCCGAGACCACTCCACTGCACTCCAGCCTGGGCAACAGAGCAAGACTCCGTCTCAAAAAAAAAAAAAAATTCTACATTCCTAGGATAACTGATTTGGTCATGATATATTATTCCTTTATAATATATTGCTAGGTTAAGTTTGCTAACATTTAATTTAAGCTTTTTTGCATTTATTTTCATGAATGGCAAGGAATTATAATTTTTTTCCCTTTTATCCTTGTTGCATTGCGGTTTCTAGGGTTATGTTATTCTCAGGAAATGAGCTGCAGAATGTTTCCTCTTTTCTTTTTCTCTTGGAGGCTGTGCTTGTTTGGATTTATTTCGACTTTCATTGAATGTAAAAACTCTAGTAAAATCATTTGGGCCAGGAGTTTTCTGAAAACTCTTTCTGAGGGAAGTTTTCTGAATAGTAAGTCAGACTTAATGGTTTCTGGACTTATCAAGCAATCTACTTTTTCTTGGGTCAGTTTTGTTAAATTGTGTTTGTTTTACTTTGAGGAATATTTCCATTTTATCTAAATTGAAATGTTGGCATAAAACTTTTCTTGATATCATGTTATTGAGAGGTGACAGCGTGCTGGCAGTCCTCACAGCCCTCGCTAGCTCTCGGTGCCTCCTCTGCCTGGGCTTCCACTTTGGCGGCACTTGAGGAGCCCTTCAGCCCCCCGCTGCACTGTGGGAGCCCCTTTCTGGGCTGGCCAAGGCTGGAGCCTACTCCCTCAGCTTGCAGGGAGGTGTGGAGGGAGAGGCACGAGCGGGAACCGGGGCTGTGTGCAGTGCTTGCGGGCCAGCTGGAGTTCCAGGTGGGCGTGGGCTTGGCGGCCCACACTCGGAGCAGCCGGCTGGCCCTGCCAGCCTGGGGCAATGAGGGGCTTAGCACCAGGGCCAGCCGCTGCGGAGGTTGTACTGGGTCCCCCAGCACTGCCAGCCCACCAGCGCTGAGCTTGATTTCTCACCGGGCCTTAGCTGCCTTCTGGCGGGGCAGGGTTCGGGACCTGCAGCCCGCCATGCCTGAGCCTCCCAACCTCTCCATGGGCTCCTGTGCCGCCCAAGCCTCCCCGAAGAGCGCCACCCCCTGCTCCATGGCGCCCAGTCCCATCGACCACCCAAGGGCTGAGGAGTGTGGGTGCACGGTGCAGGACTGGCTGGCAGCTCCAACTGCAGGCCCGGTGCAGGATCCACTGGGTGAAGCCAGCTGGGCTCCTGAGTCTGGTGAGGACTTGCAGACCTTTATGTCTAGCTAAGGGATTGTAAATGCACCAATCAGCACCCTGTGTCTAGCTCAGGGTTTGTGAATGCACCAATCGACACTGTATCTAGCTACTCTGGTGGGGCCTTGGAGAACCTTTATGTCTAGCTCAGGGTTTGTGAATACACCAATCGGCACTCTGTATCTGGCTACTCTGCGGGGGGGACTTGGAGAACCTTTGTGTCTAGCTCAGGGATTGTAAATGCACCAATCAGCGCCCTGTCAAAACAGACCGCTCGGCTCTACCAATCAGCAGGTTGTGAGTGGGGCCAGATAAGAGAATAAAAGCAGGCTGCCCCAGCCAGGAGTGGCAACCCGCTCGGGTCCCCTTCCACATTGTGGAAGCTTTGTTCTTTCGCTCTTTGCAATAAATCTTGCTACTGCTCATTCTTTGGGTCCACACTGCCTTTATGAGCTGTAACATTCACCGCGAAGGTCTACAACTTCACCCCTGAAACCAGCGAGACCACGAGCCCACCGGAAGGAAAAAACTCCGGACAAGCCGCCTTTAAGAACTGTAACACTCACCGCGAGGGTCCACGGCTTCATTCTTGAAGTCAGTGAGACCAAGAACCCACAATTCTGGACACAGTTATTGTTCAGTGTCTTCATATTTCTAACAATAATTATTTTGCTTTTACTGGTTTTCTTTGAATGATACTATCAGAGATATTTCGATTTTATTAATTTTTCTATAACACTATCTCTTGTTTTTCTGAAATTTTCTATTGTGCATATTCAAGTTTATTAATTTTTGTTCTTACCCTTAATATTTCCTTTCTTCTACTTTTACTGAGTTTAATTTGCTCTTCTTTTTGTTATTTTTCAAAATTCTTGGATAAATATTTTATTAATTTTTCATTATATTTTCATATATACATAACTAAGCCCATAATTTTCCTGTAAGTTACTATTTTGGCTGCACCTCGCAACCATAGACATGCATTTTCTTTATTGTTCAGTTCAAAATATTGTCATTTTTACTATTATTTCTTTTTGGATCAATGAATTTTTAAAACTATGCTTCTTTCTTATTTTATTTTTTAAATTTTAATTAATTAATTTTTTTTTTTTGAGACAGAGTCTCACTCTGTTGCCAAGGCTGGAGTGCAATGGTGCGATCTCCACTCACTGCAAGCTCTGCCTCCTGGGTTCACGCCATTCTCCTGCCTCAGCCTCCCGAGTAGCTGGGACTACATGTGCCCGCCACCATGCCTAGCTAATTTTTTGTATTTTTAGTAGAGACGGGGTTTCACCATGTTAGCCAGGAAGGTCTCGATCTCCTGACCTCATGATCTGCCCGCCTCAGCCTCCCAAAGTGCTGGGATTACAGGTGTGAACCACCACGCCTGGCCTTTTAATTTTTATTTTAATAATTTTTGGGAAGGCCAATCTGAGAATCAAATCAAGAACTCTATCCCATTTACAACAGCTGCAGAAAAATAAAATACCTAGGAACATACTTAACCAAGGAGGTGAAAGTTCTTTACAAGGAAAACTGCAAAACACTGCTGAAAGAAATCATAGATGACACAAACAAATGGAAACACATCCCATGCTCATGGATGGGTAGAATCAATATTGGGAAAATGACCATATTGCCAAAAGCAATCTACAAGTTCAATGCAATTCCCATCAAAATACCATCATCATTCTTCACACAACTAGAAAAATACAATCCTAAAATGTATATGGAACCAGAAAAGAGCCCACATAGCCAAAGCAATACTAAGCAAAAAGAACAAATCTGCAGGCATCACATTACCTGACTTCAAACTTACAACACTATAGTTACCAAAACAGCACGGTACTGGTATAAAAATAGGAATGTAGATCAATGGAATAGAACAGAGAACCCAGAGATACAGTCAAATACTTACAGCCAACTCATCTTTGACAGAACTACATTTCTTAATCTTCAATCATGTGAGAGGGTTTCTAGTTTTTGTTTTTGTTTTTTGTAATTTATTTCAAACTCAAATTGCATTCTTTGAATATGTTCTATGTTATTATATTTCAATTTGAAATTTGTCAAGAGTTGATTTATCCTCCAGGAAATGATCAGTTATTGTAATTTTTAAATGAATATTTGAAAAGAATATGTATTCTCCAGTTCATGAGTGCAGAATTCTGTTATTCTCTTCTGTTTTGTCTTTTAGGTGTTACTTACCAGTTGTGTTCTCTACATTTCCTCTACTGATCTCCTGTTTATATGCTGAAATTTTTCACTTTGGTTATTTTGCCTATTTTTCTTTATACTTATATCAATTTTTGATTTATATATCTTGAGACTATGTTTTGAAATACATAAACTTTTACATACTTTCTAAGACATTCATCTCTAAAAAATGTCCCATGTTATGTCTAATTTTTGCTTAAAGTCTGTTTCATCTGTTAATAAAATTATAAGAGCTTTATTTTTGATTATTAAGTGCTATTATTTTCTTTTGAATTTTTTTCTGTCAACTATTCTGCTTCCTTATAATTTAAATAGGACAGAAGATGGTAAGATCTTTTTTAAAAAATTGGCAAATAATATTTGTCCTTTAACTAGAAGATTGGATCTATTTATGTTTTGCAATTATTGATACATTTAGCTTAAGTCAGCATTTTTTGTGCTTTTCTTTCTTCATACCTATTCAGTTTTAATTTTCTCTTCTTTAATTATTTTAATTGAGCTATTTTTAATCATTTGACTTTTTAAGTTTATATCCATAAGTTTGTCTATTTAAAATACAAGTCATGAGAAAAATTCCAATCTTTACATATTAATGTTTAATTGTAATACTTTTAATATCCTGTTGAACCAACAGTTGAATTTTGAGCACTTAAATCCTGTTATCTCGTCCCAACTTTATTTTACTTTCATTACTTATTTTACTTCCCTTTTGCTTGTTTTTTAATCTCAAAACTCTATTGTTACTGATACAAATAATACTTATTTAGATTAACGTACATATTTACCAGTTTTTCTCTTCATTACTTACTGCATCTAAAACTTTTCATCTGGGATCCTTTCTCTTCTTCAAGAAGAACAATAAGAAGCAAATAAATAAAAGGAATTACCTCAGTCACATTTAGAGAGCCTTTCTGGCTTTGGCCTACAGATAATAAAATTTGTTTCCAGTTGCTTTTTCTCTCTTACAATAGAGATAATATCACACTTTAAAAGCTGAATGAGGCCAGGAGCGGTGGCTCAAGCCTGTAATGCCAACACTTTGGGAGGCCGAGGCAGGTGGATTGCCTGAGGTCAGGAGTTTGAGACCAGTCTGGCCAACATGGTCAAACTCCATCTCTACTAAAAATACAAAAAACTTAGCCAGACGTGGTGACGCACGTCTGTAGTCCCAGGTACTCAGGAGGCTGATGCAGGGGAATTGCTTGAACCCGGGAGGCGGAGGTTGCAGTGAGCCAAGTTTGCACCACTGCACTCAAGCCTGGGCGATAGAGCGAGACTCCATCTCACACATACACACACACAAAAAAAAGGAAAAAAAAGAAAAAAAAAAAGCTGAATGAATAGCCACATATACAGCCTGCTTCCATTCAGCAATAACAGCCTGTTATTAAATGACTTGTTCTTGATTCTCTGACTAGACTAGATCTTATTAGAAGGGATTTATGTTAATCACCTCTTGACCAGCAATACTTAGAACTGTTCTTGGTACCATCAACATTCAACAAATATTTCTAAAACTAAATAAAATCTTGATGGCCATCCTCAAAGAAAAAATATTCTAAAAATAAATAATTTTTAGCATTATGTAGTATGATGTTAAAAAACTTGAAGGGTCCAGGCCTGGTGGCTCATGCCTGTAATCCTAGCACTTTGAGAGGCCGAGGCGGGCAGATTGCCTGGGCTCAGGATTTCAAGACCAGCCTGGGCAACACGGTGAAACCCTGTCTCTACTAAAATACCAAAAATTAGCCAGGTGTGGCATCGTGCACCTGTAGTCCCAGCTACTAGGGAGGCTGAGGCAGAAGAATTGCTTGAACCTGGGAGACAGAGGTTGCAGTGAGCCAGTGAGCCCAGATCACACCACTGCACTCCAGCCTGGGCAACAGAGTGAGACTCTGTCTCTAGAAAAAAAAAAAAAAAAAAAACTTCAAGGATGACATCTTTTACTGTTAATAAATATACATTTTTATTATTTTAAAGTAATGTAGTTTTACACATATGTCTTATAATGTTTCTTTTTTGTAATGATGAGATTTGATTTTAATAAGGGAAAGAAGTTTACCATGTCTCCTGCCCTGCCCATGTGATTCAGGTTAAATGTTATAATAAACAGTATTAGTAATCAATGTTCTGGAAGCATTATAACACATTTATCATCCCAATTTAATGAAAGGTAAACAGATATTTGATCACACGTACTATATAAAGAATTGTACCAGCAATTTGTATCTTTCTTATTTATTACACAATGTTTAAAACTATATATTCTGGTTTTAACATCATATCCCAGTTTTAGGAATTCCTAGCCCTGTGACCATGGTCAAGTTACTCGGTGCTCTATAAAATGGCAAATAATGGTAACTATTACTTTTTTGTTGTTGTTGTTGTTGTTTTGAGATGGAGTTGCACACTGTCACCCAGGCTGGAGTGCAGTGGTGTGATCTCGGCTCACTGCAAGCTCCACCTTCTGGGTTCACACCATTCTCCTGTCTCAGCCTCCCGAGTAGCTGGGACTACAGGCACCCACCACCACGCCCTGCTAATTTTTTGTATTTTTAGTACAGACAGGATTTCACCATGTTAGCCAGGATGGTCTCGATCTCCTGACCTCGTGATCCGCCCGCCTCAGCCTCCCTGAATGCTGGGATTACAGGCATGAGCCACCATGCCCGGCCAATAGTAACTATTTCCATTTCAAAGTCTTCATTGAAAAAAGAGTTAATTTATATAAAGTCTTAAAATAACACCTGGAATATAGTACTACCTGAATAAATATTAGCTTTTTTTAAGTCATATTATTGTGTTATATAACATATATTTAAGTTTATTAATATTTTATAATAAAAAACATAAATTATAAAATAGATTAAATATTGCATATCATATTATTTTTCCAGCACTTTTCAGAGTGATTGCACATGTTTATCATTCTGTTTCAACAACATACATGTGAAGAAAGCAGGACACGGTGAGTATGATATTCTGATGATGAAACAGTGTTAGAGAAAACAAGTAACTTGAAAAAAACTACGTCATGATTCTGGCACTGACCTGGACTCTGAGTTTTCTTGCTCCCAGGGGAGTATATTTCACATCCCGCTTGGCCCCTTTTTCCGGTAGAAAGAGAATGGGCCTGCCCTGCAAGGGTGACCACATCGCTCCTCAGCATGGGAATCTAGTTAAGTCACAGTAGTTATGCAAACCACTCCATTATCATTTCTACTATGGAGATAACCCTACCTTAAAGAGAGACACAGCCTCTTTCCTAGACTTTGAACCTGACTGTATCCCTAAGAACTTCATACAGCAAATGGAAACCTCTGCATGACAGGATGGCCCAAGTGGTAGAACAACTTGCACAGCAGCCTGGACCTGTTGCAGAACCTTCTCCTGTTCTGGACCCCATTCAAAACTGGCAGCCTTTTGGGTCACTCCATAAATGGGCTGGAGTAACACACCCAAATGAAGAATGTGTTGCCTCCAAAATCCAAATAGGCCCACTATGTGTTGTGCCTCTTTCTTTGTTATAGGAGGGGCCAAATGCAGCAACTTATCCTTCACCTTAGAAGGAATGTCTTTACAGGCTCCACACCACTGGACCCCTAGAAATTTTACTGAGGTAGAAGGTCCCTGAATTTTAGTCAGATTTATTTCCCATTCTGTGGCATGCAAATGTCTCACCAATAAATCCAGTGTATTTGCTACTTCTTGCTCACTGGATGAATCAGCATAATGTCGTCAATGTAATGGGCCAGTGTGATGTCTTATGGAAGCAAAAAGTGATCAAGGTCTCTCTGACTAAGACTATGACACAAAACTGGAGAGTTGATATACCCCTGAGGTAGGACAGTAAAGTTATATTGCTGGCCTTGCCAGCTAAGGGAAATTGCTTCTGGTGGGCTTATGGACAGGAATGGAGAAAAAGGCATTTGCCAAGTCAATGGCTGCATACCAGGTACCAAGAGATGTGTTAATTTGCTCAAGCAATGAAACCACATCTAGTATAGCAGCTGAAATTGGAATCACCACTTGGTTAAGCTTACAATAATCCACTGTCATTTTCCAAGATCCATCTATCTTCTGCACAGGCCAAATGGGAGAGTTGAATGGGGATCTGGTGAGAATCACCACCCCTGTATTTTTCAAGTCCTTGATGGTGGCACTAATCTCTGCAGTCCCTCCAGGGATGTGACACTGTTTTTGATTTACTATTTTTCTAGGTAGAGGCAGCTCTAGTAGCTGCCATTTCACCTTTTCCACCGTAGTAGCCCTCACCCTACCAGTCAGGGAGCCAATGTGAGGGTTCTGCCAGCTGCTAAGTATGTTTATGCTAATTATGCATTCTAGCACTGGGGAAATGATCACAGGATGTGTCTGGGGACCCACTGAATCTACTGTAAGTTGGACCTGAGCTAAAATTCCACTAATTACCTGACCTCCATAAGCCCCTACTTTAACTGGAGGACCACAATGATGTTTTGGGTCCCCTGAAATTAATGTCAGCTTAGAGCCAATATTTAGTAGTCCCCAAAATATCTGATCTGATCAGACATTTGATCATTCCCTTTCCCCAATGCACAGTTACCCTGGTAAAAGGCCAGAGGTCTCCTTAGGGAAGGATGGGAGAAAGATTCACTGCATAAATTGTTGGTAGTGTAGTGGGGTCCTTCCTCAAGCGGACCTGGCCTCCCCTTTATTCAAGGAGTTCTAGGTCTGTAAACTGGCTCAAGTCTGGAAATTGATTGAAGGGCCATCGTTCTCTGTTTTTACAATTCAAATTAGTCTTTTGTCCATTCACCCTAGAAGTTTGTTGCTTGTATAAATTAAGTAAGAAGGCAGTAAGCTTCCTATCAATTTCACTAGTAGGAACACTGTGATTAATTAGCCAATGCCAGAGCTCTGTAAGAGTCAGATTCTTCTGATTGCCGCTTTGCCTCTGCTGTCCTTTTTGATAGCTACACCCACCTTGCCTTTGATGGTTGAGTGCTGCGACTTGGCCCCTGCCACCTCAGAATCCAATTATTCCCATTGTATTTAAATTATGTGATTGAGTGACTGTGGTTCCTACTGTTAGATCTGACATACAGAGAAGAGCAATTACAGGGCTCTTCAAAGAGGCAGAGGCTGCCCTTACAAATCTATTTCACAAGGCATTGGTCAAAGGTATATCTTCTGGACCCTCCCAGCTGGGATGAGTAGGACTAAAGTGACTAATCCATTCCAAAATCCCAATCTCCCTAAGCCTTTGGATCCCTTCCTCTACTTTAAACCAAGGGAGATTAGGCATTTCCAGCTTGCTCACAGTGGGCCATCTTTTAATCCATAGTTTAGCTAAACAAGCAAATAAGCTATCAGAATCTTTTTTAACTCCCCAAGCTGCAACATTAAATGCACAGTCCCTACTTAGTGGGCCCAAATCAATAAATTCAGCCTGATCCAACTCTATGTTCCTTCCACCATTTTTCCCCACCCTTAATATGCATTCCCATGCTCGTTCTCTAGATTTCTGTTTATATAAATTGGAAAACTCAAGCAGTTCTTTTCGAGTGTAGAACACCTCCTCATGGGTCACACTCTTAACCTTACCTCTAGGGGCCTGCCGGGACTTTAGTCTAGTTATAGGTCTAGAAGGAAACATGGGTGTTGGGAGTGGCTCCTGAGAAGAATCAACATTATCTCGCCTGGCAAATGCCTCAGGGGAGGCCATCGCTGTTGCCTCAGGCAGCACAGGGTTTATCTCCTAAGACAGGTAGAAAGGCTGATGGCAGCATGGGTTGGTGAGGGTATGTTGCCACTACTGGGGTTGGGATAGCTGTTTCTTCTGGCAAGAAAGGTTCATCAGAGTTTACAAACTCGGTGTCCCCAGCTTCATCAGGTCCTCCCACACGTCCCCATTCCAAGTTGCAGGGTCCCATTCTGTTCCAATCAATGCCCTCACTTTAACAGTAGACACCTGGTGAGGCTGTGCATGCACCTTTCATTGCAGGTCAGCCACTTGCATGATAAGAGCTTGTGTCTGTTTTTTCACATTTTCAGTTCTTTCTCTCCAGGAAATAAGACTCTTGCTCAGGACAATCTTAGCAGATTTGAGGCTCAGTTTCTGCTTCTGAAATCAGGAAATAGAATCCCAAAGTGCTGGGATTATAGGTGTAAGCCACCATGCCCAGCCTGTAGGTGCTTATTTATTACAATTACATTGAGAAATTTCATCTACTAAGGAGCATTTTGCTTTTCAAAACATCCCTGATCTACATGATTTACCAAAAAAAAAAAAAAAAAAAAAAGTCTCATCTGAGAACTGTGAACTGTGGAAGAAATCAAAACTATTTTTTCTTTTAAAAAGCCACACCCACCCAGGAGGCGGAGGTTGTGGTGAGCCCAGATCGCGCCATTGCTCTCCAGCCTGGGCAACAAGAGCGAAACTCCATCTCAAAAAAGAAAGAAAGGAAAAAAAAAAAAGCCACATAATGAAACCACTCATGAAACCCTAACAATGTACTTCACATTGAAGTGGAAAAATATCCAAAAGGAGCAGCTTCAACTTCCATGAGGTGAAAGTGCACAATGAAGATTGCTTGCCTTTGCTGCATTTGGGAGTTATATGGTTATTTAGTAACATTGTTTAAGAACTACTGGATATTAATGCAATCCTGCATAAAAATATAATTTATTCGATGTGAAAAAATAAGACAGGTCTTATTACTAGGAACCACCAAGACCAATCATCATGAACATTTTTAAGATTGTGTTTTATTTTTAAAAAAATTAAATGTGTGCAGCTATTATCTTATGTTGAAAAGACTGAAAGTTTAAAACAACAGAAATTAATATTAAAAATTTTTTGTTCACACTTAAAAATATACTTTACATGTAAATATATAAGTGTATAATACATAAAATTAATGAGAAGATTTTACTAAATACATTCCATCAAAAAGTACTATAAATGTAAGCACTTATTTATAAAATCATTAAGTGTTTTCTATGGCAAGCCAAGGGTGGTGCTTAATTTGAAGCTATAATATTTATATATATTGATGTGAGGTACCATATAAAGATTAACATTTTAAAAATGCATTTGAAAGTAACCTGTAACTAATTAAGTGCTTGCTTATGCAGCCATGTTTGTTATGGATTATTTCACCTGTTCATTTTACTGAGGAGGTGAAATCAAATTTTATGGAGCAGGCTTAATTAAATTGATCATTCAATGATCCAGACTTTTCAGTAAGGCAACAAAAATAACCAAGCGGACTTTTCAAATATTCAACAATATTTAGTATCCACAGCATGAATTTCAACATCCGTTATATTTTGTTTCTCAGAAAATATAGGCTTTATTGCCCTAGAGTTCCCCTTATTATATCATATAAGCAATATCTTTTTAAAGAATAAAACATTAGCCATCAATCACATATTATAGAATACAAATGAGAGATTAACCTTTCCTGAAGAAAAAGAAAATTGATTATAAAGCACAGAAAGATGATGATACTGAATTCATTTATTTGCCATATGGGTGGATATGTATATAATTTGTTATATCTGTAAATATCTTATTAAAGATCCTATTTTTTGTTTCTACATTCAAATCTTCCTTCTTGCTTTTAATAGAGCATTAGCTCCTCTGAGCTTCAGCAAAACATGCGACAAGGTTAGAAACTGCAGAGAAATATGACACAGGTGTGATGAAAACTCCTTTGTATTAATTCATGAATTAATATGAGTCTCTGATGTTGCAGACATCTCTAGATTTTTTCCTCCTTATTTCTTTTGATTGGTACCATTTGACATTACTGTTCTTTAGTATGTTAGTCCTTTATTTGACATCAGAATTTATCATAGCTTTGGACACGTTGGATACTGATACTTTCTTCTTTTATGGAAATAGATGATCATACACAGAACTCTTGTAAATTATTTCTAAAAGCAGAAAGGAATAGTAAGATAAATATTGAAGGACAAGTGGATTCAAAGATTGAATTCATTTGTTATTTCTAAAAACAAAGCATTAAATATTCATGTTGCATTTGTTCATGACAGTTAAACTTCTTGAGTGGAATGCAGAGATCTTTTATTTCAGCACTGTCTTAATGCAGGATTAGTTTATTTTGGTAATATATTATTGTTAGAATTAAACCAGGCTTCAGGCTTTTCAAGTTTGATTTGGGCTTTTACTTTTCATGTCTATGTGTGGTCCTTTGGTCTCAAGCTTTGATAGATTAACGATGACCACAGATTCTTTCCAATCAGTATTCCCATCAAGAGGCAGAGGCTATTTCTGACACCGGCCTGTGACCGGTTTGACCAATTGTATGTGGCAGAAGTGCCACCATGACAGTTCCAGGTCTGGGCTGTAAGAAGACTGACCCTTTCCACCTTGGAGTTTCAGGGCTCTGAGTATCTTGTAAATGTTGACTACCCCATCGACCACCTTGTGAGGCCCCGGGGATACATAAAGGGGCTCAGCAAAATCCAGGCTTCCAGATGCCTCTGTCAAGGCACCAGTATGTGCCTGAAGCCCTCGTGACCCCTCCACACCAGACATCAGTCCAGCTGCTGGCTGACAACCACTGAGTAAACCGAGGGATGGCACCCAGAATGGAAGAATCACCCAGGGGAGACCTGCCTGAATTCCTGACACACAGTGAAATGAAATGAGATGGTGGCCATTTGTAACCTCTTGTTTTGAGGTAGTGAGGCAGAACAAAATGGCCAAGGGAATGGTTAGTGTCACAAAGATGGCCAATAATATTAATGGTATTAATTAACTTGTGAACAACAATAAAGCTAAAATTTAAATTCTGAGTTTCTAGTTCTATATGTAGTCGACCCTCTGTATCTGCAGATTCCACCTCTGTGGATTCAACCAACTGTGGATCAAAAATATTTTTTTAAATTGTGTCCGTTCTGAACATGGACAGATTTTTTTCTCATCATTATTTTCTAAACAATACAATAGAACAACTGCATTTACATAGCATTTACATTGCATTAGGCATTATAAGTAAATTAGAAATGATTTAAAGTAACAGGAGAATGTGCATAGGTTATATGCAAATACAGTGCCATTTGATATCAGGGACTTGAGCATCTGCTAATGTTGGTATCTTAGGAAGGTCCTGGAACCAGTCCTTCATGGACACCATAAACCTTCAAAATGTCCTAATGACCTCCAAACCAACCCAATGAAAATTTAAAATAAACACATTGATTAAAAAAACTTATTCTAAATCAGTGACTTGTGTATTAACCATTTATGTTATTGACTTAATTTTCAACTTTAATCCATAGTGTAGGTCAAAGCAATGTATATTTAATAACCTGTGCACTTACGAACTAGGTATTTTAAACAGCATTTTGAGTAAAGGAACCTAAATTAAGAAGATAGTATGCTACTTTTTGAATGTGGTGGTTGACCTCATCAGACAAGATGTAGTGGCAGCCGGTGGAGAGTGTGTTTCATAGCCCTGGCCTCCTGGGTCACTCAGTTCCCTTTCATTACTTCATCTCTTTATTGTCTTGGAGGCTTCTGCCTGGACCCCTCATTCTTCTCCATGGTAAACCCTTCTCGTGCAGCTTCATGACTTGCTTAAGGTCACTCACTCAGTGACATTTTCCTTTTGACCGTTCAATAACAAGATGCTTAATTCCTTCCTTCTTTATAACTCCATAGACCCAGGGGCAAGGACAATAAATCTCTGGATGTGCATCTTCACATAGAGTCAACCCACTGTAGTCCTGGTGACCAGTGACTGTGCTTCATGTAGTTCAATGCAGAGGTTGCAGAGGTGCAGGCTTCTTCAAAATCTTGTGGTTTTATTGTCAAAACACAGGACCTTTTAGGGTGCAGGGAAAGAAAAGGCTTCTCACTGACTCAGCCTATGTGTAACAGGGCAGGAAGGGGTGGTTCCTATGTGTGCAGGAGGGAGAGGGTAACCAGCCATATCGGCGCAATGCCCAAAACACCATTTTTAACCTGTAAGTCATAAGACAAAGGCAGGAACCAAACAACAAGAGAGCAATTCAGTTTCATTATAGACACTACTACCCTATTCATCTGCATAAAGCATCTGAGATAAAGCTATTTTGATAAATAAAATCATGTTCACAATGCAGAAAACAGTGAGCATCTGAGACTCATGGAACTCTAGAAACTGAGAAACTGTATTATTCAAACTCCTAATGTGGTGTGCCTGGGGCACACAGACCTGGGTAACATCTTCCATGTAACCAAGGACACACGTCCAGTGAGTGCCTGAGACAGGAGGAGATCTCTTTGTCTAAGCTCTCATGGCAATGATCTTTCAACCACATCATACATGATAAAGAAACTGTAGAGGGAAGAGAAATTTGAAATTGAAGATATTTACCCATCTTCCAATGGTTTCTAGATTTTTCCTACTTTCTTTCTGACCTGAAATTTTTTCATTTAAAGCACATCAAGTTTAGGCCTCTGAATTTGGAAACACGCACGTATACCCCAAGCATGAACTTTGGATTTACAAGTGTTGAGAAGTATTAACTGTGTGTTTAATGGGATTTTGTTGTTGTTGTTGTTTTTTGCTAAGTGGAATGTGGGATTTGTTCTGGCTTGCCAAGTATTTCATATAAATAGTTTTCTTAATGAAAAGAGGCTTGAGAAAGATTCTTACTTTGAAAAGGAGATTATGATTAAAATTCTTCAAATTGTAGCCCACAGGGACAAATATTATTATGGACTAGGTGATTCGAAGAAATAATTTAAAAATCAACTCTACTAATTAAATTTCCAAATTCATGCACAAAGACTTGGCTTAATTAGTAATTCCATATACATATATGCAATAGAATGAACAGCTTCCTTAGCACCTGAACTATGAGTCATTTTTGCCCAAAGCAGGTGAGGATAGTGAGCTACTCTACAGGATAATGGAGACTTGGGGGTGGGGCGTGAAGAGTCTGGCATTATATTAAAAGGATATTTTATTTACTGAAGTAGTTACCTGTCAACTAATGCTATTTAAGCGCATTCTTTTAAATAGGAAAAAAAACCCCTGGGTTTTATGTTCTTCAATTTCTTGAATTAAGATGATTAAAAGTGGAGATTAAATATAATCTTTATTCCAAAGTCACTCCTGTGTACTATGCCAGATACTTAGGCAGCAGTTAAATTCCTTGAGTCCACTAAAATTGCATTTGCCCTGTTACCATTTCAGCAAAAGAAGCTATTTTCATTTGTGAATACATGATTTAGTTATAAATATTTCAGGCGTATGTTTTTCATCTTCTATTTGCTTACTGACTCTTTTCCCCCGAATTTTCTGTAGCCTTGGTGTATAGGATTGAACTATATTTCTTTTCTTTTTTTTTTTTTTTTGAGACAGAGTCTAGCTCTGTCACCCTGGCTGGAGTGCAGTGGCGCGATCTCCGCTCACTGCAAGCTCTGCCTCCCAGGTTCTCGCCATTCTCCTGCCTCAGCCTCCCGAGTAGCTGGGACTACAGGCGCCTGCCACCACGCCCAGCTAATTTTTTGTATTTTTAGTAGAGATGGGATTTCACCGTGTTAGCCAGGATGGTCTCGATCTCCTGACTTCGTGATCCGCCTGCCTCGGCCTCCCAAAGTGCTAGGATTACAGGCGTGAGCCACTGCTCCTGGCCTGAACTCTATTTCTTATAACCTGGTTTGTGTAAGTGCACAGGATGAAGAGTTTGGGGGGGCTGAAGGCAGAACTTGCTAGGAAGGCTGACTCTTTTTTTCTCTATGGAAATTTCTTCAAATGCCCTGCATCAAGTGACACTCCATGGAACCAAGGGAGTATCACACTGCAGTCATTTGCAGCTTATTTTCCAATTACCACCCTACCTTGGAGCTCTGAATATGTTCACTGGGCCATCAACATCCATTCCTGCCTCCTCTTGTGTGCCTTATGGTATGGTAGAGGCTGGAAAACTAAAAGCCTATTTCCCAGACTCCTTTGTGGACAGGGTCATGGATGCAAATTAGATGCATTCATGCTCTACCTGCAATTCATCTCTGAACTGAAATCCCATATCCTGCTGAGGTTTCTGCAGGCAAGCAAGGTCCCAGGGACACGAGTGTGGACAAGAGCTGTGGAGGCAGCCTTGTGGATCCACTTTCTGGTCACAAGTGCGGTCAGGAGGTATTGAGCTGGTTGTAGAAGAGGAGATAGCGGTGGTAGTGCCTTCCAGGTTCTTAGATTGAAGCTATAGCAGTGGTTTCTACACAAGAGAGAGCCATTATTAGACCTGACTCCTACCATTCTAGCCCTTGCAAAAATGTTATATTCCTTGTATTAAATCTTCTCCTTAAAATACGTAAAGCAATTTATTGCCCTGAATCTATCTGATATGCCTAGCATATGGCAAGCCCTGGAAGGTTTTCCTGCTGATGCAGAGATCCCCAGGTGGCATGCAGGATTTCTTATTCCCAGTTGATCCTTGATTTTTCCCAACCTTCCCACTTGGCCCTTAAGTTCACTTATTTGTTTGTTTGATATGGGTTTTGTTTGTGGTCATGGCAGTGGTTTATTCTACTGGATTTGGAGGGAGGTAGAGTCTTAGATTCATTTTTATTCCGCCATCTTTCCCTTACATTGAAAAGAATGATTTAAAAACTCATCAAAAAGAAATATACTTCAGGTTAATTTTCTTTGACAAATTTCTTTGACAAATTCAGGTCTTCCCCGAAGGCCTTATAAATTCAAAGTGAAAAGAAAACGTACAATTAATTATATTTGTAATCAATTTGTTTTGGGTCTGTTTTATGGTACAATATTATATTTTGTATATGCACTTTTTGCACCAGAAAGTTTTTAAAAATACATATATCTTGGCCACTTTAAGCATTTGCTCTTTGGATCACTGACTATTTACAGTGTTTATTATGCACCAAACAAAGATGAGTGAGACAAATTATCAGCTTTATTTCTCCAATGAATATTATTGCTTCAGAAACTATCACTATATGTTTCTAAAATATCAATACACTAAATATAGTAACCTACCTTTCTTAGACCTTATTGAAATGGAAGAATGATGAAAATTGATATATATTGATTCTGTTACTGATACTGTCTGATAGTGGTCACAGAAAATTTCATAAGCAATTATCATTCAACTTTTACATCTGGGGAAACAAAGATCAGAAACATAAAATGACTTCAAAATCATTTTCCAGGCCACTGAATAATGGAGCTGAATTCAAAATCCATGGTGTTTTCACTTTCCTGTGCATTTCTTCAGGAGATACAGTTTACAAAAAGGTAAATTTTAGAAAAAAATAATATACATGTTATCTTATATCTGAATGGTCTTACTACATCTCAAAGTAATTTGTAAGTTCATTATTTCATTTAGTAAACATTGCCAGGAGATAGACTGGCAGGAGTGGAAGTATTGTGTCCATTTTATACATGTAGGCAATAGAAGTATCTAATCTAAGTTTTTACCTTTTACTAATTATATCAAGTTATTGTTTGTTTTAATGTTTCAAAAGTCACGTGATTGCTAGGTAAAACACCGACAAATTCTTTAAAGAAGGACAATAATTTTTACTTTTCTCAACTTTCTTGGATAAATACATTTAGAAAAGTTAACAAAAATTAATTAGAGAAACTGCTCTCTGACAACTTTTATGTATAATATTTATGTCAATTTTACTTAAATGGCAATGTTCAATTTTTCAAAATTTGATTTAAAAAATGTGCACAAACATCAAGAAAGAATGTATGAGTAATGTTTTAATCAGTTTTTTAAAATTTGCCTGAGGAATGAGTATCAGGAAAAAGGATATAAATGCATCCATAAAATTTAAAAATAAATGTTACTGCATTATGGCACTAATCTGTGAGTTAGGACTATTACAGAAACATAATGCTGCTTAGTTCAAAAACAAACACGCTTACTCTGGTCCCCTTCCCTTGGCTGTGACTTTACCAACCTCAGTACTTTTCCAAACATCCTCATTAACTATGGACTTGAAGAAACAGCAAGCAGCATGCCAGCTCCAGAGGGCATTGCTCCCTGTGTAACTGAGCTGCATCCAGAGAAAGAAAAGAAGTGAATGCATACATGGAAGGTGCATCACACAGACATGGCATTCAAAATACATGTGATGCCCTTGAAAGAAGAAAATCAGAGTGATCAAACAGGGAGGTTCAAAGAGACCTTGGGAATCACTGACACTGTTCCTTCTGCCAGGCAAAATTATACTAAACCCACCTGGGATTGTTTCAAAGTAAGCTATTTGCCTTTGGTTGTTTTTCTGTTTTACACTAGTCAGAATTTGTTCATTTTTAATCTCAAAGTTATTTCATACTTCAGCTAGTTTTCAGAATTGTTGAAATTGCTTATTTGTTGAGTTGCATAATACACCTTGCCCACATTCAATCCTCTGCCCCATTTAAACTTGCATATTTTGATAACCCCTTACGTGACCATGATGAATTGTGATTACCTCCTGAAATGTCACAGGCAGGTGAAAGTATGACTCAATTTCAACTTGTTATCCTTGATGCATTTCACATTAATTTACATATATCTTTCTCTAAGATTACAGACAAGAGGGAAAATGGAAGAATAATTTCATGGATCTCTTAAGAACTGTTCAGAACATTAGTTCTTTCAAAACTGTGGTTGCCGAAAATTCAGCTGAGATAACAGAGAGCTCCCTTCACGGATGATACAGGAGCAATTCAGATCCTACTGCTTTCACACAAAAAAGTATCAAAATCTAATTCCTAAAAATGCAAAATGTTGCCAAGTCTGCCAGCTATAACTTAGCAAAGCTTTCAGGGATTTCCAGTGTGCACTTTCATCTTCTCACCAGCCATGTGTATATACACAGTGACTTCCAATGTTCCATGTTTTCTTCTTCCAAAGACACATTTAAACAACATGTTGTTGCTAATTTTGGGATTTTGCAGTGGGTGCATGTAACTATGAACAATCACGATGCTTTGCAAATCATTAGCTATCAACATACAGTGGATTTTGCAGTACAGAGACAGCTTGAAGTAATAAACACTTGACAATCCTAAATTTCTAGAACTTGATGTAATTTACTAAACGAAGAATATAAAACCATTTCTATAAACAGAGCAAAATGAAGCCCCAATAGTGAGGGCATAGAGCAGGAAGAGCATGTTGAAATATGACTTTTGCATTTGTATGTATGACTGAAAATAAGAGGTGGCAAGCTGCCTATTCTCAACTTTACCAACTACACACATTTTTCTGTGAGGCAGTCTTGCTATTCAGGATTGCCTTAAGGAATCTGAGGAGATCAACTGCAATTGTAAACAAAGAGGGCACTAAACCAAGCAGTGTCAATGTATTACCATTAAGAAAGGATCCAATAAGATTGCTGATATTAAAAATTGACTCTTAACATCTTCATATTTTAAACGTGGTGTTGAAATAAATATTAAATAGGACAAAACCAGTAGCCAAGGAGATGATGACAAAAGACTTTCTCAATCCACGTGAACTGCTTGTTTTGATTACATCCTTTACCCAGTATTATGTTTAAGGGATTTGGCTATAACAAAATAAGTGTCTATTTCAAAATCTGATGATGAATTTCTCCCATGGATGCATTGGTTTGTAAAGATCAAAATTGAATGATTAAGCTATGGTAAAATTTCTCTAATATTCTACTCAATGCGCTACAACATCAGTCCCCAACCTTTTTGGCATCAGGTACTGATTTTGTGGAAGACAGTTTCTCCATCCAGGAGTGGAGGGCGGGGTCAGGATGATTCAAGCACATTACATTTATTATGCACTTTATTTCTATTATTATTACACTGTAATATGTAATTAAGTAATTATAAAACTCATCATAAAGTAGAATCAATGGGAGCCCTGAGCTTGTTTTCCAGTAATTAGATGGTCCCATCTGGGGGTGATGGGAGATAGTAACAGATCATCTGGCATTAGATTCTCATAAGGAGCATGCAACCTAGATCCCTCGCATGCACAGTTCACAATAAGATTGGTGCTCCTATGAGAATCTAATGCTGCTGCTGATTTGACAGGAGGCAGAGCTCAGGAAGTAATGCAAGTGACAGGGAGCAGCTATAAATAACAGATGAAGCATTGCTCCATGGCTTGCTGCTCACCTCCTACTGTGTGGCCCGGTTCCTAACAAACCACAGACAGGTACTGGTCCCTGGCCTTTACAACCAGTAATATTCATAAGAGCAAACATTTGGATGTTTACTGTATTCCAGGAACTTTTTATAGTGTTTTACATGGACTCACTTAATTCTCATCACAAGCCTACATAGAAGGTATGATTATTATTCCCATTTTGCAGATGAGGGAATGGATGCACAAAGAGATTAAGGAGGCTACCCATGGCCACATAGGAAGAAAATAGCAGAGCCACCATATGTACCAGGTAGCCGGGTCCCAGAGCTTGATATATTCTAGTGTCTCCCTGGAGATCTCTACAAATTAATCAACCAATAGGTGACAAGTTTCTAATACTGACTGTAATAGTCACTTAGCCAAGACACCCAGTTGTCATAATTATCTGTCCTCTTTCAATATTTCTTTTCCATTTCTCATGCTTGTTTCTGTTCTGCAATGCTAATCAATTTTTCATGTGGCTGTCTCTGTGCCAAGAACATCCTTTCTCAATAATCTCCTAGGAAGTTTTCATGGTACATGATTTACTACATAATTAAAAGAAAATGGTTTGCTTTGACACCTACTTGTAAATTGCCTCAATTTGGAAATGAAAACACAGCTTTTTAGGCTCAACTATAAGGACTTTATTTTCTAAACTGAATATGTTCACAGTTTATTTTTACAGTAAGGAATATATAGATCATAAAATATAATAAGTGTAACTCTTTCTTTAAATATAAATATATTCATATTTTTATTTTCCTATTTTTAAAATATTTTTCTTTATTTTATATTTAGATTTAAAAGCATGATCATGAGTTAATTTATTAACACTGCTATTTATGATGTTGCTTGTTTTTCTGTGTGACAATGATGTACATTTGCTGAAACAAAAATTAAGACTCCCATCTTGACTAACAGCAAAAAAGAAGAAAAGAAGCTAAAGAAGAATTTAACCAGTGTAACCCGTTCATCAATTCTTAGTGTTCATCAATTCTAACACATTCATCAATTCTAACACATTTTGAGAAGTGGCAAGCTTCTCTCTGACATTGTGTCCTTTTCTGAGAAATGTCCACTGAACTATAGCTGGCATTCTATGTGAGAAGCATGTGCCAGAGATTGCAAAAGAAAGATCATGTGATGTCAACCCAAGCCACAAACTGGTACATGAACCTGTTGGCAAATCATAGTTTATCACTCCCTGTCCATGAGTCATTTGAAATGGGAGTGCCAATTTTAGCAGATGTGTTTTCTGTCTCCATAACAAGTTGTGAATATGAATACTTATTTTCATAAATAAATCTGATTGTCAATATAATCTGAGTTTTCTTAGTGTTACAAACATCTTACTGCCTGCATAAATTGAAGCATCTTATAGGATGACTTTTGTAGCATGCAAGATCAGAGTGAAGTAGGGCAACTTGAGTAACAATTTATGGTAAATTGGTAAATTATACAAAATGATTATTTGTTGTCTTTTATTATTTGTTATCAATTTTAAAATTTCAAATATTTAATAAGGAAGGATAAAAAGACTAGAAACAGAAGAATATGCCTATTTTATGGGCAATGAAAAGACAGTGTAGACTCTAGGAGTTTACAATGGAGGTTGAGGTATAAGACAGCTTTGTATAGGTCAATATTAATAATTTATCTTTTGGGACCAAAATTAAACCATGTGGTCTGCAATCCACCTGATAAAGCTTCATGGAAAAGTTAAATCTTGATCCAGGCCTTAAAAATATAGAATTGGAGTAAAACCAAGGTAGTAAGTAAGATGATATTGAAGAAATAGATTTCGGTATGAGAAGATAACAAAATAAGAAAGCATAACATTTTTGTGAGTGATGTACTCTTGGCATTTGAGAAGTCTTTAAGAAAATTAACAGCATCAGTTAACAGGCTGGTTTGGAAGAGGAGGATGAGAAAGTTGGGAGTAATCAGGAAGTTTTGTCCAGAATCCGAATGTGAGGAGAGCAGCTTATGTTGAGATTAAAGCATTGAATCGGAGCATGCTTCATAAGAATTATCAGCAGAACACATACATTGATTGCGTATGACAGTTCCAACAAGAATTAGTCATCAGAAAATTCTCGAGAAAGTTTACTGGACTTCATGGGGAAGGAAGATGTTAATGAATATAGGGAGATGACAAGTTTGTTTTCTGTACATGTCGTTTTTGATGAGAGAGTTGCTTATTAAAGTAAGTACATCATGTTCCTGGTCTTTATAACTTTGTAGGAAAAGAAAGATAAGTTCCTAGAAGCCAAGATGTAGGTTTTCGATTTCTTCTGTAACTCCGGCAATTACTGCAGATGTTTAGCAAATATTTAATGGTGTTATATGAGCTGGAAATATGGGAGAGAAATTAAAATTTCAAGAATAAAAATGTAGACAAAGTGTTTATCATGATTATAAAAGGGATAGTTACATACATAAAACCTGATCTTCAAAATTAGTGTTTGTCTAGGTAGGAGAGAAAAGGATTGAGGCCATAATTCTGGAGTAACAGGATACAGAGAATGTAGCTGAAGCTATAGAAGAAGGAGAAGAAAGAGGAAATCAAGAAGTAGAGGATTGTTGATGTCAAGAGACTATTCAAAAAGAAGTATATAAAGGTCAAATGCAACAAAAATATATTTGAGGCCAGGAGCGGTGGCTTACACCTGTAATCCCAACACCTTGGGAGGCTGAGGCGGGCTGATCATGGGGTCAGGAGTTTGAGACCAGCCTGACAAACATGTTGAAACCCCATCTCTACTAGAAATGCAAAAAAATTAGCCGGGCATGGTGGCATACACCTGTAATCCCAGCTACTGGGGAGGCTGAGGCAGGGGAATTACCTGATCCTGAGAGATGGAGGTTGCAGTGAGCTGAGATTGTACCACTGCACTACAGCCTGGGCAACAGAGCAAGACTCTGTCTCAAAAAACAAACAAACAAACAAAAAAAACAACAAAAAAAGATATTTGACACTAACGAATGACAGAAAGCTATTAGTTTCAGCTAAAAGTGATTTTGCAATCTGCAATCTAATTCTCACTAGCCCTTTAGACTTTGCATAACTTTGTATTTTAGACCCTGTTTTATAAAGTTTTGAGAAGTTTGGCCATAGGCAAATCAAGAGTGTTCTATGGATATAATAGCCTGGTATTAGACAGCATTGGTTCAATTGCATTGGTTCTTAGCTGGCCTGGCACTTAGAATTCCCCTCACCAAGACAAGTCATTGCAGCCAATTCCAGAGTTTGTGTAAAACATGTGTCAGCTGTTCATGCTTCTGCTAGTTTGATACCATAACCAGAATGGAGATCAAAATTAATGCTCAAACTAAAATTTCACCAAGAGGCTTGTAGCATGAAAACCCTTTCCTGGCCGGGCGCAGTGGCTCACGCCTGTAATCCCAGCACTTTGGGAGGCTGAGGTGGGTGGATCATAAGGTCAGGAGTTCGAGACCAGCCTGGCCAATATGGTAAAACCTTGTCTCTACTAAAAACACAAAAAGTAGCCAGGCATGGTAGTGCATGCCTGTAGTCCCAGCTACTCGGGAAGCTGAGGCAGAAGAATTGCTTGAACCTGGGAAGCGGAGGTTGCAGTGATCCAAGATCATGCCACTGCACTCCAGCCTGGGTGACAGAGCAAGACTCTGTCTCAAAAAAAGAAAAAGAAAAAGAAAACCCTTTCCTCTCACTCTTGGAAAATTAAAAACAGACTTCTTGTGCTTAGGACTAAGCCCCTTCTCTCTTCTGCTTTAGTTCCCTGTTCCTTAAAAATAACTTGATATTAAATAAAAGTCTTCAAGCATTAAAAAAATAAATTATAAAGAATTGTACAATATTAAGGCACAACTAATGACAATAAAGTAGCAGTGGTAGTAGTAGCCACAGTTATAGTAGCAGCATTAGTTAGGTAGTATAGCATTAGGGTAGGGTGGTATATGGGAGGTACAGGTGATGTCATTATTACCAACTCTCCCTTGTGATTTGAAACTTTCTTTGTGTCCACTACAGCCATAGAACTCCCTAACATGGTGGTGACTACTTTTCTGTTTTACTAAGTTTTATAGATTGTATTTACCTTTATAAAAATAGTGGCTGAATTTTGTTCTGCCTACTACTGAGTAATGTTCACACACACACATACACACACACACACACACATATATATATATATTCTTCCTAAGGGTAGTGGAGGCTGGGATGTCGTAGTGAACGCAAGCATCAGAAAGTCTGTTCCTTTAAAAATATCCTTCTTGGCCGGGTGAGGTGGCTCACACCTGTAATCCCAGCACTTTGGGAGGTCAAGGCAGGTGGATCACGAGGTCAGGAGATTGAGACCATCCTGGCTAACACAGTGAAACCCAGTCTCTACTAAAAGTACAAAAACTTAGCCAGGCATGATGACAGGCACCTGTAGTCCCACCTACTCGGGAGGCTAAGCAGGAGAATGGCGTGAACCCAGGAGGTGGAGCTTGCAGTGAGCCAACACTGCGCCACTGCACTCCAGTCTGTGCAACAGTGCAAGACTCCATCTCAAAAATAAAATAAAATAAAATAAAACAAAATTAAATTAAAAATAATAATATATTTCTTGAAAGGCCATTATTTATTTGGATTAACAAACTCTTTTTTTGAAGATTGCAGAATCCCATAGGATTAACTTGCCTTTAATCACTGATATAGCCTGGCTGTCATCTTGAATTGTAATCTGAATTTTAATCCCCATGTATTGGGGGAAGGACCTTGGGGGAGGAGATTGGATCATGGGGGCAATTCCCCCATGCTCTTCTTGTGATAGTGAGTGAATATTCACAAGATCTGATGGTTTTATAAGGGACTTTCCCCCTTCTCTCTGCACTTCTCTCTCCTGCTGGCTTGTGAAGAAGGACATGTTTGCTTCCACTTCTGCCATGATTGTAAGTTTCCTGGGGCCTCCCCAGCCCTGTGGAACTGTGAGCCAATTAAACCTCTTTTCTTTATAAATTACCCAGTCTCAGGTATGTCTTTATAGCAGTGTGAAAATGAACTAATACAATCACACCTCAATATTATATGAGATTGATAAATTCATTGAATTCAAATTTGGATTAGTTGGGAAAAGTAGAAGAAAGAAGAGAGGGGTAGGAGAAGGACAAAATGCAAAGACTAGGAGATAAGCACTAACAAAAGCCTGACAGAACCCTGATCTCTCCCTTTTAATCTTAGGAACCTCTGGAAGCATTTCACAATGGGCTTAAATCCATGCTCCTTTTTGATGTCCCTAACAATCTCAAATACATAGGATTTTGTGAAATTTTCCTCTTAGGTGCAAAGGGAGGGAAGGGGATTAGATTCCTCTGCAATCTAATTCTCACTAGCCCTTTAGACTTTGCATAACTTTGCATTTTAGACTCTGTTTTATAAAAAGAATAGCTTGAAGAGAATTTATAAATGCCTAAACTTGAGGAGACAGTTTTTCTAATTAAAAGAAACTAAAAAAATAGTAAAGAGAAATATAATCTGGCAGGATCAGGTGATAATGGCAGGCAAGAGGAAACATCTGGAAAATGTACGGGGGGTAATCACAGGCCCACTTTTTCTGGGGACTGAGCTTGACTCCTGCTACTGAGATTTACAGCCTTGAAGAAATATGAGTTCAACATCTGCTTATGTATTCCCAAATGGTGCATGCAGCTAAGAACAGTGCTTATGACACTGATTACCTTAGAAACTGCATTGTCCATTCCTGCAAATACTTTTTTTAATTTATTTTTTGTTGTTGTTCAGACAGAGTTTCCCTCTTATTTGCTCAGGCTGGAGTGCAATGGTGCTGCTGAGACCAGCTAGGCCGGGGAGACCCTAACCTAGTGGCGCTAAGGAATTAAAAACACACACACAGAAATATAGAGGTATGGAGTGGGAAATCAGGGGTCTCACAGCCTTCAGAGCTGAGAGCCTTGAACAGAGATTTACCCACATATTTATTGACAGCAAGCTAGTGATAAGCATTGTTTCTATAGATTACACATTAACTAAAAGTATTCCTTATGGGAAACAAAGTGATTGGCCGAAATAAAGGGATGAGCTCTGGCTAGTTATCTGCAGCAGGAGCATGTCCTTAAGGCACAGATCACTCATGCTATTGTTTGTGGTTTAAGAACACCTTTAAGTGGTTTTCCGCCCTGGGTGGGCCAGGTGTTCCTTGCCCTCATTCCAGTAAACCCACAACCTTCCAGCATGGGCGTCATGGCCATCATGAACATGTCACAGTGCTGCAGAGATTTTGTTTATGCCCAGTTTTGGGGCCAGTTTACGGCCAGATTTTGGGGGCCTATTCCCAACATGGTGCAATCTCAGCTCACCACAACCTCCACCTCCCAGGTTCAAGCGATTCTCCTGCCTCAGCTTCCTGAATAGCTGGGATTACAGGCATGCGCCACCATACCCACCTAATTTTGTTTTTGTATTTTTAGTAGAGATGGGATTTCTCCATGTTTGTCAGGCTGGTCTCGAACTCCCGACCTCAGGTGATCTGCCTGCCTCGGCCTCCCAAAGTGCTGGGATTACAGGCATGAACCACCGCGCCTAGCCCATTCCTGCAAATACTTATATATTCTCCATGCCCAAATGGAACTGCTATTGTAGTAAGTCCTACATGGCAACCTCCAAGTCCATTTGAAAATTTCCATTATTTTTAGGCCCCAAGGGCCAATCTGATTACACATAGAAGCCCCATCTATTGAAAGATGAAATAAAATGAATAGCATTGTCGAAAAATTTCCTTGTGTTAATGCTTTAGTGGTTATTTAAAAAAGATTTCAGATAGAGGGATAACAACTGAATTTATTCTTTAGGCATTTAGTACAATACGTTGATAAATATTGTATGGCAATGTAAATTCATATGTTATATGAAATGATACATTTTAGGATTTTTATGATTTCCATGTTATACCCACATTTTTAAAAGTATGCTAAGAAAAATATTCACTAGCCAACTGGGACATTTCCCTGTTCACTTATTTTCTGTAATTTAGCACACATAATTCTTTTTAAAAGGTTATCATTAGCCCTTCTTTTCTTTTTTTTTCTTTTTCTTTTTTTTTTAAGACAGAGTCTCGCTCTGTTGCCCAGGATGGAGTGTAGTGACATGATCTCTGCTCACTGCAACCTCTGCCTCCTCCCAGGTTCACGCGATGCTCCTGCCTCAGCCTCCCAAGTAGCTGGGTTTACAGGCACGCGCCACTGTGCCCAGATAATTTTCATGTATTTAGTAGAGACAGGGTTTCACCATGTTGGCCAGGGTGTCTCAAACTCCAGACTTCAAGTGATCCAGCCGCCTCGGACTCTGAAAGTCCTGGCATTAGAGGTGTGAGCCACCGCACTTGGCCAGTTCTCATTTTCTTAATGTAAAATAATCTATGATTTAAGACTATTGGCACTGTTCAACTTACTCATCTATCTGCTTTTTTATAAAGCATTCAGTGGCTAAATGTGATTGGTTTAAGTGTAAACAAACAAACAAAAAAATCACTTAGGACAGAGAGATAAAGCCATTAAAGTGTAACTGCCTATTTTTCCTTCTGGCTGTTAAAGTGTGATCAGTAATTGACTCACAGGTAAATCGTTTTGAGAGGTTTCAGTTTGCTTATCTGGCCTTGCCTGATATCAGAGGTGCTCACTGGTTGTTTTTAGATCTGGCAAGAGTTAGCTAGTCAAACCTCTGTACTGAATACTGATGCTGGAAATCTTAATTCTGTATTCCTATGACTTGGAAAGGAACCAACTGCTCTAGGATTTGTTATTGTAGAAAAAAATTCCGTTTAAAATGACTGAATACTCACTTTTATTATTGACTAAGTCTTGGAAGGTAGTGATTCATTAGGATTTTTTTTTTCCTTCAAACATTTAGTTTTAGTTTGAATTTGGCCCCAATTCTGAATGACAAATGTGTAGCTTTGAGCTGAGTTACTTAACTTCAAGTAACAATCATCTTTAAGCTATTTTATTTTTGTTTTACGTAACCTATTGAAATCCTACATCTTCACTTAATGGGATAGTATAATTTAATTAATTTAACTAATTTAATCCATGTTAACAAATTAATTCCATCATCTCAGTGACTTAATAAACAAGATATCTTATCCATTCACCCCCAACTGTGTTGCAGGTCCAAGGATTCTCCAGGGAAGCTCTCTTCTGAGTAGTAACTCAAGAATTGAGTCTGTTTCCATCTTCAGTCTTCACATTATCAACATAATCACTCTGGCAGAAGATGAAAGAGGGAAAGAAAACTCATGCCTCAACTTTGAAAGAGCATTCCTCCTTCTGTCTAATTGGCCAGAATTAATCACATGGTCCCAAAATAACTGGAAGGGAGGATGGGAAAGAAAGCCTTTCTATCTGACTAGGACAACGAAATGAGATTCAGACAATCAACAAAAATCCTCAACAACATTGTAGTTTGTCAAACCTAGTAACATGAAAAAGGATAATACATTATTCCAAGCAGGGCTTATCCAGGGAATAAAAGACTAGTTCAACATTTAAAAATTAATGTAATTCGTCTTATCAACCTAATGAAGAAGGAAAAACATGTGAGCATCCACATAGATATAGAAAAAATACTTGACAGAGTTCAGCATGTATCCATGATAAAAACTCTTTAACAATCTGGAAATAGAAGAATACTTCCTTAAGAAAAAATGAGTCTACAAAAAAAGTTATAGCTAACATCATACTGCATGGTGGAAGACTGAATTCTTTCTCCCTAAGATTAAGAAGATAAAGCTGTCCACTCTTACTACTCCCATTAACATCATGTTGAAGGTCTTAGCCAGTGCAATAAAAAAACTTATAAAATAAGCTGGGCATGGTGGCTCACATTTGTAATCCCAGCACTTTGGGAGGCTGAGGCAGGCGGATCACGAGGTCAGGAGATCGAGACCATCCTGGCTAACATGGTGAAACCCTGTCTCTACTAAAAACACAAAAAATTAGCTGGGCATGGTGGTGGGCGCCTGTAGTCCCAGCTACTCAGGAGTCTGAGGCAGGAGAATGGTGTGAACCCTGGAGGCGGAGCTTGCAGTGAGCAGAGATTGCACCACTGCACTCCAGCCCGGGTCACAGAGCAAGACTCTGTCTCAAAACAAACAAACAAACAAAAATAATAAAATGAATATAGAATAAATAAGTAAAATTAAAACAATTTTCATATGACATAATTATGTAGAACATTCTAAAAAATCTATAAACAAGCTATGAGAACTATTGTGCAAACTTACCAGGTCACATGAAATAGGGTCAATATGCAAATCTAAATCACATTTATATCTGCTAGCAATGAACAATTGAAAATGAAAATTTTAAAATTACACACAAAAAAATTAGGTATAAATCTAACAAAATATGTTCAAAGTATATGCACTGAAAACTATAAAACACTAATGAAAGAAATCAATAAAGATGAAAAAAATTAAAAAGAGAGATATATCATGCTTATTAGTTGGAAGAATTCAAACTCAAATTTGCTGAGATATTAATTGTCTCTAAATTGATTTATAGATTCAACACAATTCCAATTAAAATCCCAGCAGGATTTGTTGTAGAAATCAACAGGCTGTGTGTAAAATTTATGTAGAAAGGCAAATAGTCAAAAAAAATTGTAACAAAGTTGGAGGATTTGTTATACCTAATCTCAAGACTTATTACAGAACTACACCAATCTAAAAGGCATGGTATTAGCCTAAGAGTGGACATATAAATAAATGGAATATAATAGAGCCAGGATCAGCAAACCATAGCTCCTGGGGCCAAATTCAGCCTAGCAACACAGGTGCACTTATTCAATTGTATATTTTCTATAGCTGCTTTTGTGGTAAAGAGAATTAAGTAGTTACAAACAAACATTATGTGGTCCACAAAGCCTAAAATATTTATTTTCTGGACCTTTTACAAAAGGAAAAAAAAAAATAGCTTGCTGCCCCTGGAATAGAATGTACAGAAAAACACTCACACATCTATGGTCAATTGATTTTTGACAAAGGTAAAAGACTATTAAATGGAGAAAGTATAATCTTTTTAACAAACAGTGCTAGAACAATTGAAAATTCATATGCAAAACAAGCAAATAATTTGATGCATTGCATTTTTAAAATTAATAAAATTCAAAGTGAATTATAAATTTAAATGGAAAATCTAAAATTATAAAATTATTCAAAAGGATAAACTAAAAAAAAAAATGACAGTACCAAATACCAGTTAGGATTTGGAGACAATGGAGACATATATTTCTGGTAAAAATGCAAAATGGTACAGCAAGTTCACAAAAGAATTGGGAAGTTCTCAGAAAGCTAAACATATAATTATCACATGACCCAGCAACCTTTCTCCTAGGTATCATTCCAACTAAAATAAAAACTTATGTTAACACAAATACTTGTATGCGAATCTTTAAATTGGCTTGATTCAGAATCAACAAAAACTGGAAACGACTCAGTCACGCATCAGCCGGTGACTGCAGAAGCTGTGATATATCCACACAATGGAATTCAGCAACAAAAGGAATAAACTACTGATACAAGCCACAACATGGATGAATTCTGAAGTGATTACTGTAAGTGAAGTATGTCAGATTCAAAAGACCACATATTATATAATTCAGTTTTGAAATATGCAAAACCATAAGTATAGAGAAAAGATCAGTGGTTGCCAGGGAAGTGTTGACTTTAAAGCAACCTGGGGTTTTTTTTTTGTTGATAAACTATTGTTTATCTTCATTTTTTGATGATCACATGAGTGTATGCGTTTGTCCAAACTCACACAACTATGTCCTAAAGAGGAAGAATATTTGTCTGCAGATTTTAACTTAATGAAAAAATAAATATTTATTATCAAGTAATATAGGGCATAAATTATTTAGAGCAGCAGTCCCCAAACTTTTTGGCACCAGGGACTGGTTTTGTGGAAGATAATTTTTCCATCCATGGGCGGGGGATGGTTTTGGGATGATTTGAGCATATTACATTTATTTTGCACTTTATTTCTATTATTATTACATTGTAATAAATAATTAAATAATTTCACAACTCACCATAATGTAGAATAGGTAGGAGCCCTGAGCTTGTTTTCCTGCAACTAGATGGTCCCATCTGGAGGTGATGGGAGACAGTGACAGATCATTAGGCATTAGATTCTCATAAGGAGCATGCAGCCTAGATCCCTCACATGTGCAGTTCACAATAGGGCTCATGTTCCTATGAGAATCTAATGCTGCCACTGGTCTGACAGGAGGCAGAGCTCAGGCAGTAATTCGACCAATGGGGACCAACTGTAAAATACAGATGAAGCTTTGATCCCTTGGCTGCCACTCACCTCCTGCTATGCAGCCTGCTTCTTAACAGGCCCTTCCTTGTCCAGGGTTGGGGACCCCTGACTTAGAGTATTACTGAATAATGGCTTGATCTTGGAGAAAGAAAACTTGGGTGAGATACCAGTTCTACTAGTTCTGAGTAATATGAACTTGGGCAATTTGCTTACCTTACTGTGCCTTAATTTTGTTGCTTATCAATAGGAATAGTAATTATACCTATACTTTAGGGTAGGAGAAACAAATCAGGTAATGCCTGAAAACTACTTAAGGCAGCATCTAGCAAGTAGTACATATGGTACTAATGTGTAGGAATAGCAGGATGCTAGCATATGTTCCACACAGATTCTTACCCACTGTCTTATTTCAACTGATTCATGTTTCGCTTAAATACCTACCATTTGTCAAGTACCAGAGGGAGTCAAGTGCACAGCTCTTGCAGAGTTTATGATCTCACTGAAAAGATGAGTTACTCATATGAAAATATTTAATTAACCAAGACCTCATCTGGTCTGCAACATACACTGCCATGATATTACACAGAGGCACTGCATGCAGTCTTGGGTACAGAAATGCAGGGGATTAAGGTCTGTCGAGGCATTTGCCCTCAAGGTTATTACAACCTAGATGTAGAGATAAATATGAACACAGATCTCAAATCACTAACATATTTTAAAATGAAAGTGCAGGCCGGGCGCGGTGGCTCATGCCTGTAATCTCAGCCGAGACGGGTGGATCACAAGGTCAGGAGATCAAGACCATCCTGGCTACCATGGTGAAACCCTGTCTCTACTAAAAAAAATACAAAAAATTAGCCGGGCGTAATGGCAGGCGCCTGTAGTCCCAGCTACTAGGGAGGCTGAGGCAGGAGAATGGAGTGAACCTGGGAGGCAAAGCATTCAGCGAGCCAAGATCACGCCACTGCACTCCAGCCTGGGCGACAGAGAGAGACTCCATCTCAAAAAAAAAAAAAAAAAAAAGAAAGAAAGAAAGAAAGAAAGTGCAATAGGAGAAGTAAAATTTATCCCATTTCAGCAGGTGTAGCTAAAAGGAAAAAAATAAGTACAATGTACCCCCAAATTATTTATTTAGGAGGGTTTAGAGGGATAGACAGAGATAAGAAAAAAAGGCATTTTTTAAAAAGAGAGTACATATGTTTAAGTGTCAAAAGGAAATTGTGGTCAAAGACAACTTGAAATGTTGGAGAAATTCTTCTAGACTGGTTAGTTGAATCTTGAATTAAGAGAAATGGAAATTTTATGGATAGTTTAGAAAAAAATGAGGACAAAATTATAAACAATTTACAGTAGAAGAGAGTTTATTAATCCAAAATAACACTAGGAAATATAGTATTGCTATGTCTATGGTATCATGTGGGTGGAAGCTATTTTACCCACATTCTTTTTTTTTTTTATTTTATTTCATTGTTTAGAAAACAGAAGGGCTCGAAAGAAATTTAAGACATTCTGTCCTCCCTCCTTCCTCTCGGAGTCTGGAAGCATCTGTTTTAAAACAGTGTCAGAGTCCCTGTGTTGATTAGCACCGCCTCTTGTTCAGTGGATTCTCACATACTTTCCTGCAAGCAATTCATTATTTCTTCCCACTCACTTACGCAGCTTCCTCTAGCTCACCAAGCAGAGGCCAGACGTGAGTGGCTTTCTCACTGTCTGATATTGGGCTCACCTCCCACACTGTCTCAGAGCAGTCTCGTCCAGTGGGCAGAACACCGATTGGAATCCAAATCATTCCAAACAATGTCCTTAGCCCACAGTTCGAAGAATTCTAATACCAAACACACTGGACTGTGTGTGTTGGGGTGTGGGAACACAGCGCTGTGGCAGATTCTATGTGGATATTTGACGAAACAACATGCATGGACATCTATGTAAGAACAACTGTCAAATGTCTATTGAGAGGAAAAACAGTATTTGGCTTATACAGCAGCTAAAGAAATGTGTCTGCGATTACAAAAACGTTTGTTCTTTCAGAGGAACAGTTTGTCTTTATTGTTCTTATCATGGCTTTAGTTTTTGGTTTCACTCTCCATCCCCACTTAGCACCAGCAAAGAAGGTATAGAAACGTGGGTAAATGATTTCACCTTGCTTGGCCTCTTGAATATAACTGAAGAATGGGTTGGACTGTGGTTGTGTTTCTTTCCAGCTACAGATTGTCCAAGTCCAAAGACTTGAGGGCTGGGAGTTCACCCAGAGAGCAGGTGAAAGAGCCCCAGCTCATGGTAGCTGCTCAGCACACGTTCAGTTCTTTTTCCCAAGGTGGCCCCTTAAATTCCTGTCCAGCCTTATAAATGCATGATCCTGCAAAGGAATAATTAGAGGGAGAAGGTAAACATTGACAAGAAACATAAATAACCCCAAAAAACAAAGAATTATAATATGAAAGGGTCACTACACCACCCCCTCAACACCAACTTGGTTTAGAAAGACAAGCAATGAAAAAATACAGAAGTTCATTGTACTAAAGATAGGAAGAAAAAAAAAACGAGGATAAAACCATGAACTAGAAAATCAGCCTCTGGAGTCCCGATGACGGGAATGAACAGGCCTATTTGCATCTCCTTTCACACCCCTATTATCCGAACCCAGGGAGTGTCATTGTGCCCTTGACCAAAACGATCCCCCATGCTGGGAAGCCTAAAGCCAGGTATTCATGATTGCAAAAGTACCAGATGTTGCAATCTTGGCTTATTGTTTATGCACATAATTAGATATACGTATTTCTATTTTGAGCTCTGCTGATGCGTTTTCAGCTAAATGGCCTAACAAGCACGTTATACATATAGAGAATTAAAAAGTCAGATTTTCCACAGATTCCAGCAATACTATGCATTAACTTCCTCTGAGGTGCAGTTTATGCACATGAAAACACCAGAGCCCTAACTGCTGCTGGGTTTACCTAAACTAAGTTAAGACCTCAGAACAAAGTTATTTACTTAGCACGGAGCCAAATGACCAGTCTGAAGTTTTTAGGGAGATAACCTTTAACCTAACTCCTGGGGGAAAAACAAAGCAATGAAATAAGATTTGTGTCTTTTGTGAAAACAAAAGTAACTCTTGCTCTAAAATATCCACCCCCTTCTTTTAAGGAACAATCAAAACCCCCAAAACGCAAAACCTCAAGTTATCTCTGAAAACACAATTAAAAGCATGAATTTCCAATTCAACTGCAAAAGAAAAAAAATTATTGGTTCTGCCATGCTCTTAATGTATCCTAAATACTGATTGCTATCAACTGACAGAGTTACAGAGAATGTGGTCAGAAGACAAAGCACACAAAGAAAATTGCCTGCGAAATAGGGGTTTTAAATTCTCAAAGGCTCATATTTTCCCCAAATGATTGAAGGGGGAGATTGTGGGAAGATGAATGGTATTGAAAAGAAAGTACACCTCAATATAAGAAAATATTTTTAAAAATCGAGTTGGTAGCTCATCCCCAAACCTCCAGACTGTCACTGTGTGTGTGTTTGTGCCATGTGTACTTTTATGGCTTTTTTTTTGAGACGTAGTTTCACTCTGTCGCCCAGGCTAGAGTGCAGTGGTGCGATCTCCACTCACTGCAAGCTCTGCCTCCTGGGTTCACGCCATTCTCCTGCCTCAGCCTCCCGAGTAGCTGGGACTACAGGTGCTCGCCACCATGCCCGGCTAATGTTTTGTATTTTTAGTAGAGATGGGGTCTCACCGTGTTAGCCAGGATGGTCTCGATTTCCTGACCTCGTGATCCACCCGCCTCGGCCTCCCAAAGTGTTGGGATTACAGGCGTGAGCCATTGCCCCCGGCCAACTTTTATGGCTTTTTAGGCTCAAAGAAACAATGACTTTGCACTAAGAAAAAAATATATATTTATGTATGTATGTAACTATATATACTATACATATGATACTATTTGGAATAAATATATCTAACATATTGGTGGAGAAAAAAACATGGTTTTATTTCTATAAGGAGGAGAGAAATCTGAAAAAGAGAACATTTATTTGTATGAATGCAATAAATTCTAGAGCAAACTTAAACAGTAAAATAGTATAACATTGAATCATTTAAAAAATTTACTAGAAGAGTGCCAATGAAGGAATGCACTATTAATGAATTTATTTGGATGTGAGCTATGTTAATTGATTACCAAATACTACTGCTTTTTTGAAAAAAAATCGAATTTTTTTTTGCTCTGTGACCCAGGCTGGAGTGCAATGGTGCGATCTCTGCTCACTGCAACCTCTGCCCCCTGGGTTCAAGCAATTCTCCTGTCTCAGCCTCCCAAGTAGCTGGGATTACAGGTGCACACCACCACACTTGGCTAATTTTTGTATTCTTAGTAGAGCTCGTGTTTAGCCATGTTGGTCAGGCTGGTCTCGAACTCCTGACCTCAGGTGATCCGCCCCCCTGGGCCTCCCAAAGTGGTGGGATTACAGGTGTGAGCCACCACACCTGGCCAGAAATTTTTATAGTCAGCATAAAAGTGTGTGTGTGTGTGTGTATATATATATATATAGTGTGTATACACACACACACACACACACATTCTATATATTTTTTTCTCTATTTTCTTAGAAAAGAAATCTTGGACAGGCACGGTGGCTTACGCCTGTAATCCCACCACTTTGGGAGGCCGAGGTGAGTGGATCACAATGTCAGGAGTTCAAACGCTGTCTCTACTAAAAATACAAAAATTAGCTGGGCATGGTGGCGCGTGCCTGTAATCCCAGCTACTCGGGAGGCTGAGGCAGGAGAACTGCTTGAACCGGGACCCGGAGCTGGAAGTTGCAGTGAGTCGAGGTCACGCCATTACACTCCAGGCAGGGCTACAGAGGGAGACTCCGTCTCAAAAAAAAAAAAAAAAAAAAAAAAGAAAGAAAAAGAAAAAAAGAAAAGAAAAGAAATCCAAGGAGAACAGGAGGAAAAACAAACCTAATATTTTAAAGTCAAGCTCTTCTCAGAGTCTCTCATGGAAAGAAACCATCACTCCGTCAGCCAAGAGCGAGGCCAGAGAAGGGAGGAGCTGCTGGGGAGAGAGGACTGGCCAGAACCCGAGTCTCCTGCACCATCATTAGGATGAGGAATTCTGGGCTGTCATAGTGAATATGGGAGCTGCATGAAGAAGAAGAGCAGGGCATTGGTTTTGTTTTGCTTTAACGTGCCATGCGGCCTCCTGGAACCATCCCCTCTAACATGGAGGGGAAGCAGGAACAGGCTGTGGATGTGGGCACACAGCCAGGAAAGAGGCAGCGTCACCTCTGCTCGCCTGGGCAGGATCCTTGCCAGGTGATACCTTTCAGCGCCTGAGGATGTGAACACAAATGACAAACTCCTTTCCACGCGCCGTGGTTCTAATCCAAAATTGCTACCCTTCTTCAGTTGTTAGGGGAGTAAACATGTGCTGCTTTGCACACATTGGTTTTACTCCTTTGACTTCTTCCTTTCTCCTTTTAAAAAAGTGGTACCCAGTATTTTCTCACCAGTATTCTATTGCCCTGTTGCAGCCAAATTTTATGGTGGCAGAAAGAATTAGCAAACCAGGCCAAGAAACACACTGAATTTGATTTGATATGAAATTGTACATTGCATTTCCAACTATTTCCATCATTATAGTAATTGATTTATTTCTGCTTTTATGCTGACTATAAAAAGTTTCTATTTTTTCAGAAAAGCAGTAGTATTTGATAATAAATGAACATAGCTCAGATCCCAATAAACAAAATCATTAATAGTGCATTCCTGCATTTGCCAAGTTTTAATAACTTTTTTAGAAGATCGAATGTTTTATTATTTTACCCTTTAAATTTGCTGTAGTATTTAATGCATTCACACAAATAGATTGACTCTATTTTAGATTTCTCTCATCCCTATAGAAATAAAACCACGTTTTATCTCCACCAATACATTACATTATATTTAGTACACATAGTATAACAATGTATAATATATAAAATTATGTAACATGAATTACATAAACATCACAAACAAAAAATTTCTGTTAAATATTTTTACTTAGGTGACTATTTCAAGATATGCAATTGCCAGATATCCTTTGTTTTATCTTCACTCTGTTATTAAAATGAAATCTATGGATTTGTCACTCTCTCTATATGTATATAAACCCCCTTGGTTGCAAAATAAATCTTTTTACAAACTGTGCTCACCACATGACAAAACACTTATCTGGATTTTAGATGGTAACTGTGATCTCAATCAAAATTATGCAATGATAATTGCAAATACTGTTATCAAAAAGTACCATAGTTTATGAAGTTAATGTTTATTTTTCTGTAGCTACCTACTATTCTCTTTCTGATATTGCCTAATTCCATCACAGTTTGTCTATGTTCTATGTGTCAAAGACTTAAACAGAAATGAAACTTCAGGTGCATAGAGTAATAATTCTACCTCTCTGAGAAAAAAGAGGTGAAATTAGGTTATCTATGAAACTCCTGTGGGGCCAGAAATGTGAATACAAAGGCACAGCCCCGTAGCGAGTGACACCCGGCATCCCACAGTCCACCTCAAAAACAGCTAAAGGAGTCATTGCTCCATGACCTATTTTGCCCACAAGACAGTTGGATGCCATGTGACAGTCTATTTTAGGGATAAAATTATTGTTAAATCAGAGTATCCTTCATGACCCCTTAAATCTGGGAATTGGAGTTGCTCGATTTTTCGGCAGTCATTAGAAAGAAACTTGCTGGCTGTGTCTACATATGTAATGATACAAATGCAAAAGAGAAGTTCCCACTTCATTTTTATGGCAGAGAGTCTGAGAAATTCTGTTCACTCTATGTGTTTGGACCAGTAGGCTATGTGAAAGGAAAATATCTTATCCCCAAAATCACAGAGGAAAACTCAAGCCTGGAACTGCTTAGGGGAAACCTGCCTCCCATTCTATTCAAAATCACTCTTCTGCTCACTGAGACAGATGCATATCTGATTGCCTCCTTTGGAAAGGCTAATCAGAAACTCAAAAGAATGTAACCATTTGTGTCTCATCTATCTGTGACTTGGAAGCTGCCTCCCAGCTTCATTTGGAGTTTTCCTGCCTTTGCTTCAAGTTGTCCCGCCTTTCCAGACCGAACAAATGTACTTCTTACATATATTGATTGATGTTTCATGTCTCCCTAAATGTATAAAACCCAGCTGTGCCCTGACCACCTTGGGCACATGTCTTCAGGACTTCCTGAGGCTGTGTCACGGGTGCATCCTCAACCTTGGCAAAATACACTTTCTAAATTAACTGAGACCTGTCAAATTTTGGGGGTTCATAGCTACTACTCATTAATTTGGCCAAAGCTTATTACTCAGGACCATTTTGATAAGAATGATTTAACTGAAATCTAAATTAAATGAATTCGATTTTGTATTTTTTATTTATTTATTTATTTTTCTGAGATGAAGTTTCGCTCTTGTTGCCCAGGCTGGAGTGCACTGGAGCACAATGGTGTGATCTTGGCTCACTGCAACCTCTGCCTCCTGGGTTCAAGCAATGCTCCTGCCTCAGCCTCCTGAGTAGTTGGGATTACAGGCACCCGCCACCACGCCCGGCTAATTTTTGTATATTTAGTAGAGACGGGGTTTCACCATGTTGACCAGGCTGGTCTTGAACTTCTGACCTCAGGTGATCCACCCGCCGCGGCCTCCCAAAGTTCTGGGATTACAGGCTTGAGCCACCGTGCCCAGCCCAACATTATTTTCTTTCTTTCTTTTCTTCTTTTCTTTTCTTTTCTTTTTTTTTTTTTTTGAGACAGAGTCTTGCTCTGTCACCCAGGCTGGAGTGCAGTGGGGTGATCTCGGCTCACTGCAAGCTCCGCCTCCCGGGTTCACACCATTCTCCTGCCTCAGCCTCTTGAGTAGCTGGGACTACAGGAGCCCACCACCACGCCTGGCTAATTTTTTGGTTTTTTTGTATTTTTAGTAGAGACGGGGTTTCACCACGTTAGCCAGGTTGGTCTCGATCTCCTGACCTTGTGATCCGCCCGCCTAGGCCTCCCAAAGTGCTGGGATTACAGGTGTGAGCCACCGCGCCCGGCCATTTTCAGGTATCTTTATAGCAATACCCCACTTCTAAGTACCAATTTTCTTAGACCATTCTTGCACTGCTATAAAGAAACACCTGAGACTGGGTAATTTAAAAGAAAGGTGGTTTCCTTGGCACACAGTTCTGCAGGCTGTACAAGAAGCATGACAGCACCTGCTTGTGGGGAATCATCAGGAAGATTCCAATCACGGCAGAAGGCAAAGGAGGAGCAAGCATCTTACATGGTGAGAGCAGGAGTAAGAGTGAGAGGGGAGGTGCCATACACTTTCAGCGCCAGATGTCTCAAGAACTCACTATTGCAAAGACAGCACCAAGGCCATGGCGCTAAACCATTCGTGAGAAATGCACCCTTATGATCCAGTCACTTCCCATCAGGCCACACTGCCAGTATTGAGGATTACGATTTAATGTGAGATTTGGTGGGGACACAGATCTAAACCATACCACCATTTCTTCAATTAAAAAAATAATAACTGAGAAGGCTTTATTATTGGAATTTATGATAGGTACTATAATACTAAAACATGAAATTCCAGGTCAATAGTGGATACTTAATAAATATCTGTTGAATGAATGAATGAAAAAAAAATCTGTTTGATTCTACTTTATCTCCTTCTTATTTTTCATATTTTACCCCCATTTTAGTTTATACATTATCTTTTGTGGAATGAGAAGAAATGAAGAGCCTGTGTTCACAAGATGTACAAAACTATTGAAATCTAAATACTCATGGAATTACTCATGTGGGTGTGTGTTTGCATTTTTTTATAATTTAAGTTCTGTTTCATTTGATTTTGTTTTCAACAAAAATCCAAACTGTCTTTATATTGGTAAGACTGGTAATTTTGCTAGACCTTTTCCTAATATTTTCAAAGCTGTACTAACATGAAAACTATACATGTGCATGGATGCCTGTATTCTTTGTAAATCTTGGTATTTATTTATATTATTCAATTAAAATGTTAGCTTAATTCCTTTTCATGTGGTATATTTTTGTGTACTTGGTTCTCAGTGAGACATTTAGTTATAAAATTGTAGACTCCGTAGTAACTTTCTGAAATATTTATTAAAAAATTTTTTAAAAAAATCATTCATCTAAGTGATTATCGACATATAATTTTTATCTATCACTCATTAACCTTACAATTTTTAGCTTCAATAAAACTGACCCAAGATTGAGGACTATGGCAAAACCAGGTGAACCCATCAGATATATCTATCAGATATGCGGTGACCTATTATAAAGGAATGCTTGTCATTTCATGCCTAGCATATCAATATTTTTTTTTTTTGTAGACGGAGTCTCGCTGTCCCCCAGGTTGGAGTGCAGTGGTGCGATCTCGGCTTACTGCAGGCTCCGCCCCCTGGGGTTCATGCCATTCTCCAGCCTCAGCCTCCTGAGTAGCTGGGACTACAGGCGCCCGCCACCTTGCCCGGCTAATTTTTTGTATTTTTAGTAGAGACGGGATTTCACCGTGTTAGCCAGGATGGTCTTGATCTCCTGACCTCGTGATCCACCCGCCTCGGCCTCCCAAAGTGCTGGGATTACAGGCGTGAGCCACCGCGCCCAGCCTTGCCTAGCGTATCAATTTACTGCAATGTTATTTTCATGGAAAATGCTGTTTAACAGGTCTAAAAGAAAAGTTTTCTATATTTTCTGAGTTAATTTGCTGACCTCTGTCACCAAATTATCTAAAATAATGTATTTTTAATTGCCAAAAGCATGAATGTCTGCATGTGTATTTGTATGTGTAGAGAAATAAAGAAAACTGCATTGTTTTATTTAGTGCATTTATGTGAAATACGTGTCTGAAAGAATGGACGAGACACCACCATCAGTACCACGCCACGTCTATAAAAACAGAAGCACTAATCAAAAGCTGTTTTATTAGAACCTGCCTTTGGTTTTTCTTGGAAGAGTAGATTTCATCAGATTTTAGAGCAGTAATGTACTCAGTCTTTCATAGCACAATATTGAGGGTCTGATTATTCCCCCAACTCATGGATAAATATTCTATTATTATAAAAATATTTCATTGTTATTATGGGTCCAGGGAAGGGGGGGGGGGTAAAATCTAGAGACAGAGGTAAACTTACCATTAAAGGTAGAGATGGGATCTTAAAATATTAATATTCCCACTAGTTGCTGGAGATTCCTTTCTGATTTTCCTCTGTGTTTCCCCTAATGTTTCCATTCAGACCAAGACAAAAACTAGGATGTGATTTGGAATAAAAGGTGATCTCCTACGAATCCAGACTTGCGCAATGGCTGGGCCCTCATTGGCTCCCTGAGGAACAAAGGTAGGTGAGCCTTACTACTGTTCTTAGGAACCTGGCGTTCACAGGATTGCAGGGCCCTGGTACATTTGTGAGCGAGTGCATGGACGCATGTTTACAGGAATCTCGTATGCTATCTCTCAGACACAGATAAACTTGTCAGCCACTTACCAGGCATTGAAAACTGTTCCAGACCCAAAATATCATCCCATCAGTCCACCAGCCACTCAGAAATTCTCTAGAGTTGAGTCACCCCTTATCTAGGCCAAGTTCCTGTTAAATACCAATAGCTTTAATTAGGGGCGAAGTAACATATTAACCCATTAGTAAATCTCAGCTGTTTTGCAGCCAGCAGGACTTTCAAGGAAAGGGGCAGATGGCAGAATGCATGATTCCAGATTGATGCAGACCATGGGTATTGAGTGAAATGTGAAAATCATGGCAGGGCACAGTGGACAATGCAATTGTATGTGGTGAGAATGAACATCTTGCCATTTTGAAGGATACCAAGATAAGGCTTTATCCTTGAGAGACAAGACTTGCAATAACTACAGTGCCACATCTACTGTGATAACAGCTATAAGTCAGACATTAAAACATGAGTAAAACCTAATACATTTCTTCATAAAGGTATCATCAACTAAGCTCAGAAAATCACAATAAAAGTACACAAATAATAAAAGCACAGCAATCGATATAAAGTATCAGTAAATACTTGTCTAAATGAACAAGCATCCCTGTAGAAGTACTAGTAATAGAACATAGAATTTCAAAGAAGGGTGAAACAGTGTATCTAGCTGTACTTTTCACTAAAGACTTTAGAAAAATTAGGCCGTTTTAAAGGCTGGGTAAGATGTTAGCAGGTTGATATAAAAGGAAGGAGGAAAGGGACAGCACATCTGGTACACAGAACAGCATTAACCATGGCACAGGGCTGGGAAAGTTGAACAGATATTTAGGAACCTGCTTAGAGTTCACTTTGGTTATAGCACAAGAAACATAGGAGAAACAGTGGAGAAAAAGGAAAAAGGGATAGCCCTGTTTTAAGGGAGAACACTGAAAACCATTAAATGTTGGACTAAGGTGCGTGTATTTAATGACAGAAATGCACTGAAGTTTTTATTGGAATTTTTAAAACAGAAAATGACATCATTGTTACCCAAGTTAGAAAATTTCAGTCCTACAAAATGGAAGTCACATGCAAGATTAGTGACAGGAAGAGACACCAGGGTCCATCAGATGTCCAGGATGGATATCCAGGACATGTGGCAGAGGATCTTTAGAAAAGTGACTAGGCTGTGAGGGCAAAGAGGATGAAAAAGGGTCAGAACAATTTTTGAGTTTCAATTCTACAAAGCTGTCACAATGGGTAAAAAGGGCAAAAGAGAAGACAATGTAGTGTTTGTTCTCGTTTGGTTCACAATGGACACATAAAGGAAAATGTTCTCCAGATATCCAGTGAAAGATTTTGGCAGACAGTGGAAAATGTAGCTTTTGGATTCAGGAGGTCATCAGGTATAAAGGACAATGTCTGTGTGGGATTTACAGGGAAGTCGACAAGGGTTGACTAAGAAGCCAAATGGAGGATCCAGGTAAGCTGGGGAACATGTGGAGTCAGCGTGATCTCCAAGTTTACATGACACTTCTAGGAACAGGAGAAAAGATGAGAGACTTTAGGAATTACTCAAGTATGAGAATTAGCAAAATGCTCAAGTAGATGAGGGAGAAAATCACAGAGAAAAAATGTCTCAATAACTCAATTAACTGGAATCATTTAAAAATCACTAGGGCAATTCCTTGCTGGCAAGCTCAGTCATTTTCTAGAAATGATGTCATATGAAATAAAGGCTACAACCTTTATTTCTAGCTTCTCATCTATAAATTACCTTGAGAATCTTAAAAAATGAAAATAAAGATCATCTTCTAGCTTAAAGGAAAATATCTGTGTTCATGTGAGGCAGACTCTTGCTTCGACCCTCATGACATGGAACACGTGTGTCCTCTTGTACCCCAAACAGGTGTGGCTTCATCAGGGTTTCCTTTCTTTCTTTCTTTCTTTCTTTCTTTCTTTCTTTCTTTCTTTCTTTCTTTCTTTCTTTTCTTTTCTTTCTTTCTTTCTTTCTTTCTTAACAGCATAAAGAGGTGTTTTTTTTTTAATTGTGTGTATGTAACATTAGGCAAAATTATTTAAAGTCAATAAATTTTTATTCGAGGAATTCCATCTTGTGATTTCTTTCATTCTCCATCAAGGTCACTTTAGATCCTCTAAAGAACTGGTGTCAAAATTTATCTTCAAAAGATTTGTCTTCAAGTTAGCCCTTTTTACTGAAACTGATGCTTATTTTAATCCAGTTGTCCTGTCAGCCCATAATTATTTTATTTTGGTTTTTGTCATCTCCTTTTTACATGGATATACTGATGAAGACTTCAAAATTCACCTATGGAAAAATCAAGAATCTTTGAGGTCTAATTTCTTTAACCAACTTACTTTAGGGTCATTTTTAGTATAGGTGGATCTGCCTCGTTCTCAATTTGATGCCCTAAGCAATCATACTCAATAGTACAGATGTGTGGAATATGTCAATACCTTTAACTCCAGACATCATGTTCTCAAGATAAAAGCTTTTAAAACCAAATGCCATCTTCTGTATCAAGTCAACATGAAATTGGAATACAAATTTAATACAGCTGAGGATTTCCCTCATATCCCATGCTTTTTAACTATCTATTCTACAGTCCTAGAATCAATCTTTTTGAAATTAAGAGTCAGGGTCTGTCTTTGCTGCCCAGGTTGGAGTACAGTGGTGCCATCAAAGCTCAGTGCAGCCTGCAACTCCTGGGGTCAATCCTCCTGCCTCAGCCTCCCATTCCTGAGTAGCTGCAAGTACAGGCACATGCCCCTAAACCCAGCTAATTTTTAATTTTTTGTGGAGATAAGGTGTTACTTTCTTGCCCAAGCTGGACTTAAACTCCTGGCTTCAAGCAGTCCTCCAACCTCAGTCTCCCAAAGTATGGGGATGGCAAGCATGAGCCACTGAGCCTGGCCTGGAACCAACCTCTGTGGTTATCAATACTCCCATCAGTTAACTGTCTCAGGTATCATAATATCCCTTCTTATATGTATCAAAACTCATACTGAACAATGAGTTCCAGGTTGCAAAAGAGGACTTATTTTTTGCACCTATCCACAAGTCTTTGTCCACAAGTTAAACAAAAACATACAGAAGTGCAGTCATCGGGGTTTTCTTGACCACTGAACTCCAAACATCATCTTTGCCTGTGTGAGCAAGAAAACAAATTCTAGTTGGACTTTTTAGTAGTTATAGAGAATGACAACCAGCAAAGCAACTCAAAAGATTAAAAGCAATGCTCGAATTGACTCCTAATAATTACTCCTATTACCAAATGGCAGTCAGTGATTGTTTTCTCCCATTTCTCAGTTTTTCACATGCTTTCTGATTATAATAGATTTGTGAATCAGCAGGGGAAGAATGTAGTATGAGGAACTTAGATATTCTTGTGATTGCTGCAGAAAACAAAATAACTGATGAGTCGAAGAAAACTAGTCTGTGTAATGGATTTTGTGGCCTTTGAAATTATTCCGGCCGGGCGCGGTGGCTCACGCCTGTAATCCCAGCACTTTGGGAGGCCGAGGCGGGTGGATCATGAGGTCAGGAGATCGAGACCATCCTGGCTAACAAGGTGAAACCCCGTCTCTACTAAAAATACAAAAAATTAGCCGGGAGCGGTGGCGGGCGCCTGTAGTCCCAGCTACTCGGGAGGCTGAGGCAGGAGAATGGCGTGAACCCGGGAAGCGGAGCTTGCAGTGAGCCGAGATTGCGCCACTGCAGTCCGCAGTCCGGCCTGGGCGACAGAGCGAGACTCCGTCTCAAAAAAAAAAAAAAAAAAAAAAAAAAAAAAAATTATTCCAAAAGTTCATAAAGTGTTTTGTTTCATTCATTTTATTTATTTATTCTAAAGATTTTTCATTAAATATTTAATCAAATTAAATAATTATAATAAATAGCATATAGGCTGTGTAGAATGCTCTGGAGAAAAAGCAAAGATAAAGAATGGGTGGACTCTGCCCTCAGGGTGCTTCTGGTCTGCTAAGAAAGATAAGGCATATACAAGAATAACTACAATGCAAAGTAAAATATTGTCAAGAGCAACTTGCATTTCTCTTACAGAGTAACTGTTATAACCAGAATGACCTTTCCACGATAAACAACTATAAAAATTAAACACAGGCACTATAGGGCTGTGATACTTGAAAGAATGAAAACACATAAATTGAGCTTCCTGATGGCTCCAGCCTTTTGCCTGGAGGCACTTTCTAGAAATAATGCGGAGATGTGCTGTCCAAGCAGAGAAGAGAGATCTCAATGAAATGGGTAGTCAGAAATCAGAGTTCAAGGCTGCCAGGCAGGCTGCATGTACAGGAAAGGGAAAAGTACAGGAAGAAGTGGTGCTGAGAAGCAGCCATGGAAATGTACATCGCTTTCTCCTTAAGTTCTTGGAGGAATACCAAGCAGCACACAGAGACCTCACTGAAAAACCAGGCATTTATCTGAGACCTGAGAGTGCAGTAGAAGTGCATCTATCTACTCTAGACCTGTAAGACTGACTTTTTTTTTCTTTCTTTTTTTTTTAGACGGAGTCTCGCTCTTGTTGCCCAGGCTGAAGTGCAGTGGCATGATCTTGGCTCAGTGCAACCTCTGCCTCCTGGGTTCAAGTGATTCTCCTGCCTCAGCCTCCCGAGCAGCTGGGACTACAGGAGTGTGCCACCACACCCAGCTAATTTTTGTATCCAATCTCTTGACCTTGTGATCCACCCGCCTCAGCCTCCCAAAGTGCTGGGATTACAGGAATAAGCCACAGTGCCCTGCCAAGACTGACTTTATATCCACCTTTACAAAGCTTTTACAGACCATTGGAAAATGAAGCAAAAACTGTTAGTAAACTGTCTACCAAAACCAAACAATCACTCATAAAAAAAATCTTGGCTTTTGATAAAGTGATATTTCACAATATCCACCATAATTTTCATTTTAATTACTAGATATAAAAAAGTGACCAATAACTAATGAATTTTTTGAAAGTCAGTAATTATAGACCCAGAAATGACAAAGAGGTTGGAATTAGCTGACAGATATAAAGGAACTAATGAGCTTAATGAGTGAACAGATGGGGAATCTCAGTAGAGAAATGGTAATTGTACAAAATGTTTACATGGAAATTCCAGACCTTAAAACCTAAAATATCTAAAATTAGTTAATCACTTAACTAGTTAGTAAATTGGATACTGTGGAAACAATATCAGAAAAGCTGAGGAAATCGCATTAAAAAATAACAAAAAGCACATAGAATAAAAATGCTGAAATATTAAATAATGACAGTTTTAAAGACAGTGGGGCAATATCCAATGTTCTCAAATACATGCAATTGGACTCCTAGGAAGAAAGGAGAAAGAAATTGGGATAGAAAATGTATTTGAAGAAATAGCCCCAAATTTTCCAAATTTGCTGAAGATATCAACTCTTAGATCCTAAGCATTCACTAAATTACAAGCAGATTGAACATATACACAATAAAAACTTGTATAACTATCATAGACATATCTCTGAAAAAAACAATGATAAAAAGCAAACTTTTTTTTTTTTTTTTGTTCAAGACAGTCTCACTGTGTTACCCAGGCTGAGTGTAGTGGGACAATCTCGGGTCACTGCAACCTCCACCTCCTGAGTTCAAGCGATTTTTGTGCCTCAGCCTTCCAAGTAGATAGGATTACAGGCATGAGCCACCATGCCCAGTTAATTTTGTGTGTGTGTGTGTGTGTGTGTGTGTGTGTGTATGTGTGTGTGTGTTTAGTAGAGATGGGGTTTCACCATGTTGGCCAGGCTGGTCTCAAACTCCTGGCCTCAAGTGATCTGTCTGCCTTGGCCTCCCAAAGTGCTGGGATTACAGACATGAACCACTGCTCCAGGTCTGAGAAAACCTTAAAAAGCAACAAAACACTAAGTATAATACACCACAAATAGAAGGAAAACATAAATAAAAAGTATTGTATTTCTTATAAAAAAGACAGCAATGCAAGCCAGAAGACAAGGAAATTCTATCTTAAAAATACTGAAAGAAAAGATAACATGTCAATCTAGAATTCTATAACCAGTGAACATTTTTAAAAAATGATGTTGAAATAAAGACATTTTAAAATAAACTAAAGTTAGAAGAATTCAGCACCACAAACTTGCATTGAAAGAAATGTCAAATAAGGTTCTTCAGACTAAAGGAGAAAAATGTCAGATGGAAATTTGGATTACACTTTGAAATAAAAGCCATGGAAGTAGGAACTACACTGGTAAAAATAAAGACATTTTCTTTTTTTAAAACTTGTTTTTAAAAATTGAACCTTAAGGCCAGGCGTGGTGGCTCATGCCTGTAATCCCAGCACTTTAGGAGGCTGAGGTGGGCGGATCACAATGTCAGGAGTTCGAGATGAGCCTGGCCAGCATAGTGAGACCCCATCTCTACTCAAAGTACAAAAAATTAGCCGGGCATGGTGGTGCACGCCTGTAATCCCAGCTACTCGGGAGGTTGAGGCAGGAGAATCCTTTGAACTCGGGAGGTGGAGGTTGCAGTCAGCCAAGATAGCACCATTGCACTCCAGCCTGGACAACAGAGCAAGACTCCATTTAAAAATAAAAAAAATTTAACCTTGTTATCATGGCTATCCTTATTCAAACCCCCTGAAGCTTTACTGGTGCAATTACCCTCATAATTGCCCACAGACTTACTCTGTCCTTACTATTCTGCTTAGCAAATTCAAATTACGAGTGAGTCCACAGCCGAATTATACTGCTCTCTTAACGCCTTCAACCATTACTTCCACTAATAGCTTTTTGATGACTTACAGCAAATCTTACCAACCTTGCCTTACCCCCCACCATTAATCTAATAGGAGGACTCCTTGTAATAATAGCTTCATTCTCCTGATCAAACATTACCATTATGCTTATAGGACTTAATATATTAACCACAGCCCTTTATTCCCTTTATATACTTGTCACAATACAACGAGGAACATGTACATGCTATATTAACAGTATTAAACCCTCCTTTACAAGAGAAAATATATTAATATTTATACATCTTTCACCTATTCTTTTTATCTCTAAACCCTAAAATAATTATAGGCTTTATACCCTGTAAATATAGTTTAGTCAAAATATTAGATTGTGGATCTGATAATAGAAGTCTGTAACTTCTTATTTACTGAGAAACTATGCAAGAACTGCTAACTCATGCCCCCATGCCTAACAACATGGCTTTCTCAACTTTTAAAGTATAAGAGCGACCCATTGGTCTTAGGAACCAAAAATATTGGTGCAACTCCAAATAAAAGTAATAATCATGCATTTTTCCATTACTATAATAACCTTAATCTCCTTAACCTTACCAATCATTATTACCTTCATCAACCCTCGCAAGAAAAACTTGTAGCCATATTATGTAAAAATAGCTATCGCGTGCACGTTCACTATTAGCCTCATTCCCACAACGTTTATGTATACCAACCTAGAAGCCATCACCTCAAACTGACATTGAATAACAATTCAAACCCTTAAACTCTCATTAAGCTTCAAACTAGACTACTTCTCCATGATATTTATTACAGTAGCACTATTCGTCACCTGATCTATTATAGAATTCTCAATATTATATATAAAGTCAGATCCTAACATTAGCCAGTTTTTTCAAATATTTACTTATCTTCCTAACCACAGTATTAATTCTGGTTACTGCCAACAACCTTTTTCAACTTTTTATCAGATGAGAAGGTGTAGGAATTTTGTCTTTTTTACTAATTGGCTGATGACATGGCTGAGCAGATGCTAATACAGCAGCCCTCCAAGCAATCCTACGTAATCGCATTGGTGACATTGACTTCATTTTAGCCATAGCACGATTCCTCTCATCCTCTAATACATGAGAACCTCAAAAAATATTTATCCTAAATCCTATCCCCGATTTTCTTCCATTAATTGGCCTTCTCTTAGCAGCAACAGGAAAATCAGCTCAACTTAGTCTCCACCCCTGACTTCTTTCCGCCATGGAAGGCCCAACCCCATTCTCAGACCTACTCCACTCTAGCACTAGAGTTGTGGCAGAAGTTTTCCTGCTTATCCGCTTCCACCCATTAATAGAGAATAACATGTTAATCCAAAACCTTACCCTATGTTTAGGAGCTAGCACCACCTTATTTACAGCAATCAGTGCTTTAACACAAAATGACATAAAAAAATTATAGTATTCTCCACCTCAAGTCAACTAGGCCTTATAATAGTCACAATTGGCATTAATCAGCCACACCTAGCATTCCTACACATCTGCACCCACGCCTTTTTCAAAGCTATATTATTTACATGTTCAGGATCCATCATCCACAACCTCAACAATGAACAAGACATCCAAAAAACAGGAGGACTATTTAAGACTTTACCCCTTACTTCCTCCTCCCTTATTATTGACAGGCTAGCACTTACAGGTATGCCCTTCCTCACAGGCTTTTACTCTAAATATCTCATCATCAAAAGCACAAACACTTCATATACTAATGCCTGAACCCTCTCTATTACTCTCATTGCCACTTCTCTAATAAGTTTCTATAGTATCCAAATTATTTCCTTCACCCTAATAGGACAACTCTGCATCCCAACCCTAATCAACATTAACGAAAATAACCCTTCCCTAATAAATCCAATTAAATGCCTTATAATCGGCAGTATATTCACTGGATTTCTCATCATCAATAGCATTATCCCTACTTCATCTCCCCAAACAACAATATCACTTGATCTAAAACTTACAGCCCTAAGTGTAGCCATCCTAGGACTCTTACTGTCAATAGAACTTAGTTTTATAACTAATACTCTTAAAATAAAATACTCATTACAAATATTCAACTTCTCTAATATACTAGGATTTTACCCAATCACAACTCACCGTACAACCCACCATAAGGTATATACAAAATAAAATAAAATATACAACAGTGGAATAAAGGATGAGGGAGCAGTGAAAGTATGTTGTTACACATCTCTCATCTAATATGTGAAGTGGTATGTAATATTGCCTTTTCGACAGAGACTGTGATATGCTCTCCGTTTGCATGCTGCAAACCATAGACCCACCTCTAAAACTAAAACAAAAGTGTATTGTTAATGAGACAATAATCAAGATAAAACAGAATACACACACACACACACACACACACACACACGCACACACACACACACACACCACTTATTAATCCAAAAGAGGTGAGGACAAGAAGCAAAGGGAAACAAAGAATAGATGGGCCAAATAGTGGGAGAAATGACAGGATGTAAACCCAATTACATCAATAATTACTTTAAATGCAAACGGATGAAACACTCCACAATTTAAAGTACAAATTGTCTGTCTAGAAAACACACATACAAGATTCACTATATGCTTTTAACAGGAGATTTATTTTACATATAAGAAAACAACTAGGTTAAAAGTACAATGATGGGAAAAGATAAAACATGCAAATGTTAATCATAAAACAGCTGGAGTGGGTAGAAAGTGTATGTTTCAAGGCATGGAGTATTAACTGAGATAATGAAGGACATTTCATAATGATAAAAAGTTCAATTCTTTGGCCGGGCGTGGTGGCTCACGTCTATAATCCCAGCACTTTGGGAGACGGAGGTGGGCGGATCACGAGGTCAGGAGATCGAGACCATTCTGGCTAACACGGTGAAACCCCGTCTCTAATAAAAATACAAAAAAATTAGCCGGGCTTGGTGGCAGGCGCCTGTAGTCTCAGCTACTCGGGAGGCTGAGGCAAGAGAATGGCGTGAACCCGGGAGGCGGAGCTTACAGTGAGCCGAGCTCGCACCATTGCACTCCAGCCTGGGCGACAGGGTGAGATTCCGTCTCAAAAAAAAAAGTTCAACTTTTCAAGGAGACATATATGCTCACCTTATAAAAGAAACTCAAGATACATAAAACAAAAACTGAGATAATTAAAGGAGAAATAGACAAATCTGCAATTATAATTGAAGATATTAACTCTTCTGTTTCAATTATTAATAGAAACTAACCAAAAGTAAAACAAAAAATAGTAAGGATATAGAAGATCTGATCAACACCCTCAGTACACTTGACCTAATACAACAGTTCATCAACGAGCAGCAGAATATACATGCTCTTCAGGTACACATGGAATATTTACAAAGATGCACCATATGATGAGACATAAATCTCATTAATTTAAGACTACTGACATGACAGAGAGTGTATTTTCCAAACATAGCAGAAGTAAAGTAGAAATTAAAAGCAGAAAGATATTTGTAGAATCCCCCAAATATTTTTGATTTTTGAAAATCAAAAATCACATTTTTTTTTTTTTTTTGAGATGGAGTCTTGCTCTGTTGCTCAGGCTGCAGTAGAGTGGGCGATCTCCGCTCACTGCAAGCTCCGCCTCTCAGGTTCACACCATTCTCCAGTAACTTACCTTCCCACCAGACAGCTAAAGTTAAAAGGATTGACATCAGGCTGGGTGTGGTGGCTCACACCTATAATCCCAGCACTTTGGGAGACCAAGGTGGGCGGATCACCTGAGATCACGAGTTTGAGACCAGCCTGACCAACATGGAGAAACCCCATCTCTACTAAAAATACAAAATTAGCCAGGTGTGGTGACGCATACCTGTAATGCCAGCTACTCGGGAGGCTGAGGCAGGAGAATCGCTTGAACCTGGGTGGCAGAGGTTGCGGTGAGCCAAGATTGCGCCATTGCACTCCAGCCTGGGCAACAAGAATGAAGGTCCATCTCAAAAAAAAAAAAAAAAAGACTGACACCAACTATTGAAGAGGTAGGCAGCTGAATCTTATTCATTAGAGTATAAAAGGTTTTAAACACTTTGGAAAATATGGCAGTATTTATCCATGATAAATGAAAATGTATGTGCATAAAGATTGTTCATAGTAGCTTTCTTCTAATAGCCAAAAAACTGACAATAATAAATTTTCATCCATGAATGAACAAGTTATGTTGTACTCATCCAATGGAATACAACTAAGCATTAAAAATAATCAACAATTGATAGGTGATAAAATATGGTTTACTCTCAAATATAGTTTAAGTGAAAGAAACTACAATATTAAAGAAGACACTATTATACTGAATGATTCCTTTTATATGAAGTCGTAGAAATAGTAAAAATAATCTGTAGTCAAAGACATCAGAACACTAGTTGCATTCGGCAAGGAGTAGTAGTGGAGACTGACTGTCCAAGGGCCATAGGGAATTTTCTGGGATAATGCACATACTCTGTATCTCTATTTCAGGGGTATGCATTTCTTAGCACACATTAAACTATACTATTGAGAATTGTGCATTTTACTATATATAAAGTTGTTCTTAAGTAAAAACAGTAAAAAGGGAAAAAAAGTGGTCAAGAATTTAACACACAATGTGTTAGGATAGTTATGATGGGAAAAAAAGATTGTGTTCATTCTGTGAAGCAAGTATTGTGGATATCTTAGAAAAGGTGATATTTCTTCTGGCCCTTAAAAATTATAACGGATTCTGGACCACAGACATTGTGGGAAGGAAATTCCAGTAAGATTTATGTATAAGAGTAAGCAAAGGTATAATTACAGAAGTATGTGGGATATTCAATGAGCAACAATTAATTTCTTTTAGCTAATGAGTAAAAGGAATGATGAAGCCAGATGGTTGAGGAATTCAAAGGGAAGAAGATTGGATTTTATTCTATAGGTAATTGAGGGACACAAGTGATTTTGCACAAGTGAGTGAAATGATCAGAACTATGGTTTTGAAGGTATAATACAAATGACAAAGTGAATGAATAAGAGAAAGAGAAGAAATTGTGAGGCTCTTGAAATATTCCATCTAGATAAAATGAATACAGCTGCCGTAGGAAAAGAAAGGAGGGATCAAATCAAGGAACAAAACATTCTGGGTGTAAATCAGAAAAACTCAGCACATGTTGGACCAAAATAGCAAAGAAAGAGTAGGGCTAAATAATGATGTAAGTTTTCAAGTTATAATTGCCCAGTAGAGTGTTGACAACATAAATAAAATTTCTTGGGTCTATTTCTGAATTTGCCTTAGGTAACAAACTGTTTAAATAATATTTTTAAAAAATATAGTAATGGTTTAATTTGTGTCATGCTTGAAACAGACTGAAAGAGTGTCTGGAGTTTAATGAAGACCAGTTGTATGTTTAGGCAGAGGTTCTCCTGGTTTCCTTATAAGAAAGAAACTGTCGAAATTTCCACAACTCACTTCCACCCCAGCCAAATATGCCTCTTATGCTACTTTCATTCGTTTTCATTAATACTCTACTTCCATTAGAAATAAAAATACCTCCTAGAAGGTGTCACATACACATCCATTACTATTTTAGTCTGAATCAGTGTCTTGAAAAATAACTTCGTGGTCATCTGTCAGGCCACAGAGTCATGACATGGAGATCAGGTAAGTTTCAAAGAAACAGTGGGGGTGGCGGGGGGAAAGCATCACCTTATAGATCCCTGAAGTAAGGAGTCTGGGAAGCCAGGATGAAATGGAGTCATGAGGACGCAGCCTCTCTGAACCAATGCAATGAAGGGAAGGGAGAAGAAAAAAGCAGAGGGAGGCAAAGATGTGGGAGAGTAATTTCTATCCATTTCTTAACTGTAAGACCAAATAGTGACACAAAGCAAACAGCAAAATCTCCAGTAGCTGTAGCATAGGCAAGCACATTCAGTGTCAGTCATAATGAAAGAGGATGAGGAATTGTCTTTATTCAGGCTGTGGTAACAAAATACCTTAGACTGGGTAATATATAAACATTGCAATGGGTCTGGAGGCTGGGAAGTCCAAGATCAAGGCATCAGCAGATTTGGTGTCTGGTGAGGACCCTTCCCTCATAGATGGTGCTTTCCATGTGTCCTCACATGGTGGAAGAAGCAAGGCAGCTCTCTGGGGCCTCCTTCACAAGGGCATAAATCCCATTCATGGGATGGCGTCCTCATGGCCTAATCAACCCCAAAGGCCCCACCTTCTAATATCATCACCTTGGTGATTAGATTTAAACATACAAATTTTTGGGGAACACAGACATTCAGACAAGGAATTGGCTTTGTGCCAGCACCATCACTTCCATTCAGGCAAACTGTGAAAGAGAGGACTCAAGATGTGTAGTAATCACTGGTATCTTTGGGTTTCTTCCTCTCCCATCAATCACTATCAAAACCAACTTCGACACTCAGGTACAGAAAAATGATTAACCCCTGAAAATGTTACTTGCTTTCTGTATAAAGTATGGTAGTGTAGCTCAATGGCTTTCACCTTTTTGGCCCAAAGTAAGAGATGCATTTTACAATATGTCCTTATAAGCACAGGTATATAAAACAGACAAAACTGATACTGAATTCTCTTCCATTCTATTCTATTTCATCCCATCTCCTCTTATTCCATCCATTCCACTGCACTCTACTCCACTCTACTCCATTTCATTCCATTCTAATTTGTTCTACTTTATGTCATTAAAAAATTCTGGTCTCAACCTATGCATTGATGTCATGGCTCACTAAAAGATTGAGAATGACAATTTGAAAAGCACAGACATGTTGTATCAGAGTTCAGGCTGTGTGTGCAGGTGTGAGTTCCTCTATGTGTGTCTATATTTAACATGTAAATGTACCCCTTACTCTGTACCCCAGACATGTACATTTTGCTATCCTCAGTCCTATCATATGTAATACCCTTTTTATAACTAATAGGTTGAATCACTCCTTTACTTTCCTGGAAAAAATCAAGTGCTAATGTAACACACAGTGCTCACATAGTATTAAGCAATTATTATACTAATATAAAATCAAAGAGAAATACTTTATGATAAAAATATGGATTTCATGCCCAGGCACAACCACACTAAAAGATGTACCAATTTTTTCTGTGTTTTTTTTTCTTTTTGTGGAGAACAGGGTCTTGCTATGTTGCCCAGGCAGATCCGGAACTCCTGGGCTCAAGTGAACCCCCCAACTCTGCCTCCCTAAGTGCTGGGATTACAGGTGTGAGCTACTGCACCGAGCCAGACTAGAAGATGTTATAAAGTGATCCCACTCACACCTATGCATACAGTCACCATGAACCTGACCACTCCAAATTTAGATGACTGTAAGGGTGTTGTATTGGAGGCTCACATACTACAGTTGTGATGTCAGCAGCTACCTGATTTTCCAAAATGTTGAACAACTCTTGGTAAAGTTCTGATCAAAACAAATTTGTATTCAGGTCTATCTTCACTCAAGTAAGCTTTGCATCATTAGTAAATTTATTGCATATTAAAACCCTGCAAATGTTATTTGTATTTATGTATAAAACAGATTTAGGTTTTAGGATCAGAAAATTAGATAATTGGTTACATGAATATCCAGAAACACCCTAAAGTTGTGTGGGGCTCTCTCACTCATTGCAGAAGATTTAACATCCTTGGCGTCTATTCTCCAAATGCATCCTCTCCTAATCTGTGTGAAAATCAAAACTGTCCTATAATTTTCTAACTGCATCATCTTTTTTGAAAACACAATTCTAGAGTAAGGCAGCCCTGCCATTTATCAATTGTTTGGTTTTGGGCAAGCTGTTCAACCTAAGTCCCAAATGTCCTCATCAATAATATTGAGAAAATATAAAGAACTATTCAACAGTGTTTTATTGAAGATTAAGTTAAGTCTGATATAATAGCACAGTGCCTAGAAACACAGTGAGCAGTGTAATAGTTGTGTGTAATCTTAATAATTGTTATTTTAGAGGGTCTCTACATTACTGCTGTAATAAAAATGATAATAATAATTGAACTTCAAAATATACTCATTCTATGACATACAATCGTTCTTCTAGTACAGAAATAATCAAATAGTATACAAAGATTTTTACACAAATGTAATTGCTACAGGATTATTTAAAACAAGAGAAAATGTGAAATACTCCAAAATATTCAACAATAGAAGTTGTTCAAATATATGATGAAAATATAACATGATTGGACACTAAAACCCATAAGAACAACCTGAGAAAATGTTTAAAGATAATGCATAGATAAGTACAAATTACAAAATGGCATATACAGAATAATTCAAGATTTATTAAATATATATATATAGTACATGCATACACAAGTATTTATAAAAGTCTTGAAAAAGATAGGCCAACCTGTTAATAATGTTTTTCCATGAACAATTATATGATAGGCCATATTTTAAATGATTGTCATCATTCAATTAGTCAATGAGAAGTCTGAATTAACTTTTCAACAGAAAATAATGTTTGAATGGGTATACATCTATATATCTCTGCTTTTGTTGTTTTTTACAGAAAGCAAACAAAAAACAATCTTGTCTTTTTTAGTAGCATTGCTACTAAAACACCAGGGGTTCGGTCTAGGTCCTGCTGCTTACTGCACAGAAAGCCAATGACTGAGACGCCAAGTATTGTCAAGGAAGAAGGCTTTAATCAGGTGCCACAGCCAAGGAGACAGAAGCTCAGTCCCACATCCATCTCCCTGACTGAATAAAATCAGGGGTTTATATTGCAGGCAAGAAATGTAACAATGTGTAAGAAAACAGGAACTTGGGAGAGGTAAAGAAGCCGTCATGGTGAAAGAGGGGTCCAGCATCGATACCATGATCTGGTTTCAGTTCTTCAGTACTTTTTGTGAGGCCTGAAGGTGGTCTCCTGAGGAAGGAACTCAGATAAAACAAATATGTTTCAAGCTTTTTAAGATCAGAAGGGTCAATTTCTACGTTTATCAAAAAGAACATTCTATGAGACAATTGGGTCAATTTCAGTATTACCATCCTGGTAAACAAAAATGATTACTCTTACAGCAAAATCTCAAGTCACTCAACAGATGAAAGATCTTGGCTGGTTTTGCAATGAGTGAGGTGGGTGAGAAAAAGCATCGGTTATTTACCGTCATGCTTTTAGGTAATCATCCAGACTACTGATGGAAAAAACCCATGTCCTATGGAGAGTGCAGTCCATGTTCTTTATTCCCTAAGCAAATCCCTATCACTTCTGGAGATGCTGCAGTGAGCACTGGTCAGATTCCTTCTGGTGTTGAACTGCTGGTCTTCACCACATGTGGCATATTACAAAAGTCCATGTCATGAAACCCTCTGGGATACCATAATGAGGAACTGACAAAGAAGAAAAACATTGCAAAGTGCAACAGCAGCAATAATAACCATTGAATTTGCTTGCCTTTTCATTTGTTTAAAGTATGTATACAAACATGCACAACAATAACATTACTAAATATTGGTGAGAACCAACATTTGAAATTTACATAATTATTGAGCTTGGTGAAAGCTGAGTCTAAAAATTGATGATACATGAAGAAAGATAATAAACAATTGCTTAAGAGCCATTTTCAACTACATTTCTGGAAGGTTTTAAATTTTCCTTTATGAGCAGTCATAGCAGAAATGTGGTTTTTTTCCTAAGCCAACTCTTACTCTGTTTAGTCTCTAAGCCCCTGAGGTGCACACTGGAAGATGGGGAAGGAGCTTTAAATAAGCCAAGATTTTATGAATATAAAAAATTGAATCTAGGCTATGTCTAAATATAACATTACTTTCCAATACATAAAGTAATTTATTTAAAAAAATCAATTTAAAGTCATAAACATGGAGCTTTTGAGTCACTTGTGTGATGCAACAAAATATATAATTAGAGGTGTCTTCTAATATTATTCACCTGAGCTAATTTTGCCAATTAAAGCTAAAAGCATGAGAACAGGTCAATAACATGGATCCTTTTAATTCTTTTTGAAACAAAAGTCCTGTGTATCTCTCCTGTTCTAGAAGAGAATGCTTGTTTTGTGATAACTCCATGTTTCTGGTTTACCTTTTTAACTAATAAGGAAGATAATTTCTTTTTTCAGTTACTCATTTCCTCTTACATAATGCAGTTCTGCAGTTTAAATGCTAATTGGCCATTTTGGCTGAGGAATTCCTACTTAAAAGGTTTGCCATTTAATCCTAAAGTGTCTTTTGATTTCTTGAGAATGATTAAATGGAAATTCAGCCCTGGTTCAGTATCGTAGAAGCCCATGTGTGCTCCCCTGTTGAATTTCCATGGTTTGAGCATCCTGCTGGGAAAGTCAGGCTGAGATTTTATTGAATTGGGCCCTCCGTATTCAGACTCAAAATAACCTCCAGCACACTGATAAAAATAATGACCCTTTTGCAGTTGTAAAACTTGAAACTATTCCTTGAATGTTAACTAATACCAAAAAGCTGTTTCTGCAAATGAAATGTGGGCATTGGAGCCAAGAAATTACTCTGGATGAAGACCTAGAAATGACATTCCACTCTCTCTTTCAGTAATTACAGAATTCTGAACTTTTCATCAAAGTGGGTGAAGCCATCACTCTAGATGTCATTAAGAGAAGGGTACGTAGAGATGATGATGACCCTGGCAGTGTGTTAGGATGTAGTCATCTTTGCCTACAGAATTCACCAAGAATGACTTCTTAGTCTCCAGTGCTAATGGCTTCTACAATAATAAGATTATGTAGCTGATGGAAAGCAAAACTTAAAAACTCAAATAAGTGTTAGGAAATGCTGTAACTTGCAGTATTTGACATCTATTTCCCAAAGCCCTTAACATTGTAAACACTTTCAGGTAAAATGACTCAGTTCTCTCATCTTCCTTCTCTCAGAAGCCAGGAAGTCTTTTACTCACAGCCCGTTTAATGGGCAATGGGAAATAGCCCTATTAGCTAAGTTTATTTATGCTGACACAAAGAAAACCATGAAGAAAAATCCAAGTTCTAAACTGTAATTTATTCCTGATAAGTAGTAAATCAGCGGGATTCCACTGCCCAAGTAGGGAGGGACTTGCTGTTAAACAAGAACTGAAACATAATGAGCCTCATAAATGTTCACAGCCTTACGGAGCAGTTATTTATACATGAGCTCATTCAACAAACTCTCCTGCTGGCCTGGCCATGATAACCTGGTGTACCCAAGACACTATAAGATATATAAGAAAAATGGTGAACGAATTCTAGAGTTGAGTTCAAGAAAAGTTTTTTGTTCTCAATTTTCTTCTTCCAAGCTTTTCTGAACACCTATGTCAGTTTTTCAAATCCAAGTCCTCTGCTCCTGTTGTTGATGTTTTTGGTAAAGGTAACAATTGTCTAGACCATATTATATGAGATGTAGATAAACAAATTTTGACAATTTTTCTCCAGCTAAAACAGAAAATGGTTAACCCCATAAAAGATGAAGTAGAACATTTATAGAGCAAAATCATACTTTTCTTATTGCCTAAGTAAATTATGGTCTGATACAGTGCACACATCAAATATATGAATGAGTGCATTTCTATATTCAAGTAGAGAATGTGACAAAAAATTGGGCTATAGTGAAGCATCATATTGAAATGATCAAAAAGAAGCCTGATGGGTTAAGAGAAAGAAGGCCTGAATTTTAATCTCAGGTTCTCTATTTTCCAGCTATGTAAACTACATTAACTAACATAACCTCAGTTCTATAAGTTTGATCAGAAAGTAAAGGAACAGAAAGAAATGAATCTGGAGATGCAGGAGTGGAAGGAGGTAGGGGAAATTCTGGAACACAAAAGCACTGTTAAGTTAGGGTGGAGCTAAAACAGATGGCAGTGTGGTGGCCTGGTTACCTGGTAGCAGCATGAGTATCTGGAACACCTTGGGGTATGTTAGGCCGTAAACAAACAAAGAAAAAGATAGAGTGCCAAATGTTAGCTTCTACCGTGTGTGTGTGTGTGTGTGTGTGTGTGTGTGTGTGCGCGCGCGCGCGCAAGAGGTCACCTTGGATGGTTTGGAACATTTCCCTGAGAGTGTAGTCTAAAACCCTTGCTACTATGTAACCACTGGCATCTGCTTCTAGCCCACAAGCTGCTCTGCATGTGGAAATACACCTGCTTTTGAATTGCACTGATGTTTTCCAGTAGACTTGGTCTTTTGTTTTCAGCAAGGAAGAGGAGGGAGAGAACAAGGGCTTTGTTTTCTTATTTAATTGTAAGTCCTGCTTCTGACGCTTTTTCCATAGCTCAGCTTTGTCTATAAATTCTCAAGCAGGCCAAGCACACACTTTGAATTTTGTGTAGCCCTCGCTAAGGCACTGAAGGGAAAGTAAAAGTGAGAAGAAAGAGGGAGAAAGGTCAGAAAAAGGACCCCGGGGCACATTTTATTACACCAAGAGTATACCTGATACATGTTCTAAAGATGCAGGTCTCACAGATCAAATCCTGGGAACAGGGTCAGGAGCTCAATTCAGGTATTCAAGATGGGGCACTCTTATGAGCTCTCTTTAAATATAAATGCAGATTTGATTGCTTTGGGAACAAAATGCCCAGGAATTCACTGACGATAGTAGTCTGTTGTTACCTCTTTTTGTTTTCTTTCTATGTTGAAGAGTTTGCTGTTTATAAGTGGGACTTCAATATCCTAAGTTTGTGTTGAGACATACTCACTTGGAAAAGCCATTTTTAACCTGGGAGGGATTTTAAGGACTAACAGAAATGGAGGCCAAAACAAAAGGGCTACTCCCTATATATAAGACAGCTTTGGCTCCTCTTCTTCTGTGTCATGCATTGTTTCCAAAATACTCTTGGCTCCCCTGATGGGAAACTTGTGCCTGTGAGTGAAACTCCTTATGTTGATTTGCATGTCTAAGTAGGGACATCACAATCTGTATGACCTCATTAAAAGCCTTTTCTTCATTTACCTAAAATGTGCATGCACTGCATTTCTCAAATAAAAATATTAACTCAAAGGAATACACCAAATTATAATAACAGATTATATAAGCAATTTCTTAAAATATATGTCTTAAATATATTTACCTCCCTGGGAAGGGACTGAAAGCATGGCTATTCCCAGAACTCTCTCTCGTTCTTTCCCTCTTCCCTTCACTTTGCTCTAGAAAGCATCTACATTTTGGATCATATACTCATTTCTATGCATAACTCTAGGAGAACTTTGAAAAGTATGGTCCAAGTTTTATAAAAATTGCATGGACTTTATTTCTGCACTAGAAAAAGTATTATCATCTATTTAAGAATCAGTCATTTATTGAAAGTACAGTTTACAGAAAAAAAATAAAATGAAAAACATGTGTTTTACCTGCCTTTGTCCACGAAGATGAATAAAGTCTGTGAAACCATAAAACACACACGTGGGACACTCTTTTTGTCCAACACAAACCAGACAAAAACCTAACACAAATACAAAAATTGTAGTTTTAAATAAGAGTGGTTCCTTCCATAAAAGCAGAAACTGGGCTTGACGTGGTGGCTCACACCTGTAATCTCAGCACTTTGGGAGGCTGAGGTGGGTGGATCACGAGGTCAGGAGATCGAGACCATCCTGGCTAACATGGTAAAACCCTGTCTCCACTAAAAATACAAAAAATTAGCCAGGCGTGGTGGCGGGTGCCTGTAGTCCCAGCTACTTGGGAGGCTGAGGCAGGAGAATGGCATGAACCTGGGAGGCGGAGCTTACAGTGAGCTGAGATTGCGCCAGCCTGGGTGACAAAATGAGACTCCGTCAAAAAAAAAAAAAAAAAAAAGCAGAAACCAGTTATTTCTGTAATAGTAAGAAAATAGGTGACGGGCACTGTGGCTCACGCCTATAATCCTAGCAATTTGTTAGGCTGAGGCAGGCGGATCACCTGAGGTCAGGAGTTCAAGACCAGCCTGGTCAACATGGTGAAACCCTCTCTCTCCTAAAAATACAAAAATTAGCTAGGTGTGGTGGCACATGCCCATAATCCCAGCTACTTGGGAGTCTGAGGCAGGAGAATTGCTTGAACCTGGGAGGCGGAGGTTGCTGTGAGCCAAGATCATGCCACTGGACTCCATCCTGGGCGATAGACCAAGACTCTGTCTCAAAAAAAAAAAAAACTTTTTGGCAAGAGCCAAAAAGAAACTCCTGGATGCTTGAATCTCCACTGTAGGAGAGATTCTGCCCTCCCTACAGCACATGGCTCCTGTGTTCCTCCATGCACGTGCACATCCTGCATTAAGGATGCAGGAGAGGAAAAGAAGCATGCATGTCTAGGCATCTAATAAGATGGAACCACAGGAAAAAGCTAATAAGAGAAAAACATCCAGAAGGGAAGAAGAACAGATTTCTTAGCTACTCGTAGTGAGTGGCAGCGGAAACTGAAAAATGCTCACGTTGTTTTTTTTTTAAGAGGATTTACAATAAGATTTTATTTATAAAAGCAGGGAAGTAATAGTTCCTCACTGTTGACTTTAGGTCATGACATGTAGACAAAAGGTTGAAATCCTGCAAAGGTACCAAATAATCTATTTTGGACACCCAAATATATACTCGGACAACATCATAAGTGCTAACACATGCTGTATAAAATACAAGTGTAAGCAAAACGGATGTTATGGCGTTCAGGAAGGAATCCATGTAATTTCTAAGATGCTTTATCAGTGTGTCTTCAGTTTGACTTCACCAGAGAGTATTGCTGAATGCCCTAAGAGGGTACACCAAGCCTGTCTTCAGGAGTAGAACTTGAAAGTGATGATTTAATAGAACAGGATTAAATTCATAAGGAAAGTTGTTTTTTGCACAATGCTATTACGTGCTTTAACTTGAAAATAGATTTTGGATAAAATTAAGTGTGCAACTCTTAAGTGTCCAGTTTAATGAATTATCACAAAGATAAATTGCCCATGAAGCCACTATCCATGTCTCATGGAAATAAAACTTTATTTAAATCTCAAGAACTTCACTTGTGTTCTCTTCCAGTGACTATGGCCTCTTTCCAAATATAGCTGACACTTTGACTTATAAGACTATTGTTGGCTGGGTGTGGTGGCTCACGCCTGTAATCCCAGCACTTTGGAAGCCCAAGGCGGGTGGATCACAAGGTCAGGAGTTCGAGACCAGCCTGACTAACATAGTGAAACCCCGTCTCTACTAAAATACAAAAAATTAGCCGGGCATGGTGGTGCGTGCCTGTAGTCCCAGCTACTTGGGAGGCTGAGGCAGGGGAATTGCTTGAACCCAGGAGGTGGAGGTTGCAGCAGTGAGCTGAGATCACACCATTGCAATCCAGCCTGGGGGACAGAGTGAGACTCCATCTCAAAAAAAAAAAAAAAAAAGACTATTGATTTTTTAAAAATTTTCTATTCATAGAATGATGTGGTTTAAATTATTTGTAATTGACTTATTTCACCTATCATTATAAGATTCATTTAGATTATTGCACATAATATTAGTTCATTCATTCTTCCTGCTGATGATAATCCATCATCATCATTATGAAATCCAAATCCATTTCCTAGTTCTACTATATATGATCATTTCAGTTATTTACAGTCTGCCTTTTACAACTATAGCTTCTATAAACATTTGTAAATATTTCTTGATATTCTATTGACTATACCTTGGGAGTGAAATTCTCTGGCCATAGGCTATGTGTATATTCAACTTCAAGGAACAATGTCAGAGTCTTTTACAGTGAGTGGTCCAATTTAGTCTCCAGCCAAGAGCATATGGAAGTTCTATCCACATCAAAATATTTTATCAATTACTGAGTGAAGTGTGTGAAAATCTCCAACTGTGACTGCATATTTGCCTCTGATTTTATTTCTGAAAGTTATGTGTTTACATATTTTGAGACTATATTATTAGGAGCATGCAAATGTGGAATTATACATCTTCTTTTAGTTTATTGTTTTAGCCTCATAAAAGTCCTTTTTGTCAATACTAATGTTTATTCTTTCAGGTATACTTTGTACCATATTAGTATAGCCACACCAGCTTTCTTTTAAGTTAGCTTTTGCCTGATACATCTTTGCCTTCATTTTGTTTTCTGCAATGGATTTAAATGAACTCTTTACTATGGTTTTCTATTGACTACCTTTTCTGTGTTCCTTTTCCTCTCTTTCATGACCTTCTTTCAGATTTAGTACTTAACGAGTTTTCTGAACTTTTCCTCTGCTAGCTTGGTCCTTATGCATTCTCTTGTTATCATTTCAGTGGTTTCCTTAGGCATTACAATTTATATTCTTGACTAATGAGACTTGCAATAAGTCAACATTTAAGTACATCCCAAACAGTAAAAAATAACCTAATAACTCCTTATTCGTATTTTCTCTTTCATAAATTTTGTGGTATTGTTATCATACATTTGTATTCACTCTGTTTTTAAAATAATATGGGACATAATTTTCTCATACAGACAATATTTATTTAGATTTTCCCATATATTCACCCTTAATTTATTCCTTCATCCTTCGTGCATTCCCTTCCCCCCACCTAGACATATATCTCTGGAGAACTCTTAGTATTTCAAGAATATACTTTCAGGGATCATTTCTACAGCTTGTTACTAGTATTTCTGTGTGTGTTTGGGATGAGAGTGTGTTTAAAATTTAATTTCTTGGTTGGGCACAGTGGCTCACACCTGTAATCCCAGCATTTTGGGAGGCTGAGGCAGGTGGATCACAAGGTCAGGAGATCGAGACCATCCTGGCTAACATCCATCTCTATTAAAAATATGAAAAAAAATTAGCCAGGTGTGGTGGCGGGCACCTGTAGTCCCAGCTACTCAGGAGGCTGAGGCAGGAGAATGGCATGAACCCGGGAGGCAGAGCTTGCAGTGAGCCAAGATCATGCCACTGCACGCCAGCCTAGGCAACAGAGCGAGACTCAGTCTTAAAAAACAAATTAATTTCTTTTAGCCCTTTAACAGATATTTTATGGCTAAAAGAAATATGTGAAGAGAGAATTTTTTGAAACTGGTGAAACACATTAAGTCACAGATTTAAGAAGCACAGAGATCCTTAAGCAACATAAACACCAAAAAAAGCTCATACACACACACACAAACACACACACACACACACAAACACAGAGACAGAGACAAAGACAGAGAGAGAGAGCTTTACTTTAATATTTACCTTAATGAATTGGCTCATGTGTTGTGATTCAATGCAAAAAGTTAGCAAGTCTAAGTCTGAGATCTTCAGGGCAAGTCAGCAGGCTAAAGACCTAGGAAAGAGCTGATGTTGCAGCTTGAGTCTGGAGGCAGAATTTCCTCTTCCTCTGGGGACCTCAGTCTTTTTTCTTTTACAGCCTTCAGCTGATTTGATGATGCCTACCACATTATGGAAGGTAATCTGCATTACTCCATGTCCACTGATTTAACTGTTTATTGTACTAAAAAACATCTTCACAGCAATATCTAGACTGGTGGTGTCTGGCCAAATATATCAGTACTATAGCCTAGCTAAGTTGACACATACAATTAACCATCACATTTGATATGGTGCAATTGCTCATAAGTCAGGTCAGAGCTATAGTTAAGAGAAGATACCCTGCCTCCCCAATAAATTATTAGATTTTTCTAAAGTATTGCAATGGACACTTGCTAATGCTTATGGAGTTTTGTTTTTTAATTTATTTTAGTTTCAGGGGTACATGTTCAGGTTTGTCATCTAGGTAAATTTCATGTCACAGGGGTTTGGAGTACTGATTATGTTGTCACTCAAGTAATAAGCACAGTACCTGATAGTTTTTAGATCCTTTCTCTCCTCCCACCTGTTACCCTCAAGTAGGCCCCAGTATCTAATGTTCCTTTCTTTGTGTTCATGTGTACTCAATGTTTAGCTTCCACTTATAAGTGAGAACATGTATTATTTGGTTTTCTGTTGATTTGGGATAATGGCCTCCAGCTCCATGCATGCTGCTGCAAAAACATGATCTCATGCTTTTCCATGGGTACATAGTATTCCATGGTGTATATGACTGCATTTTCTTAATCCAGTGTACCATTGATGGGCATTAGGTTGATTCCTTGTCTTTGCTGTTGTGAATAGTGTTGTGATGAACATACAAATGCATGTGTCTTTATGGTGTAACAATAAGAGATCCTTAAGGAAGTGCTCAATATGAAAACAAAAGACTGTTAATGGCCACAACAAAAACACACTTAACCACATAGACCATTGACACTGTAAAGCAGATACATAATAAAGTCTGCATAATTACCAGCTAACAAGATGATGACAGGATCAAATCCACACATATCAATATTAACCTTGAATGTACATAGGCTAAATGCTCCAATTAAAAGGCATAGAATGGCAAGCTGGATAAAGAAGCAAGAACTAAATGTATGCTGTCTTCAAGAGACCCATCTCACGTGCAATTACACCTATAGGCTCAAAGTAAAGGATGAAGAAAAATCCACCAAGCAAATGGAAAACAACAACAACAGAAAAGCAGGAGTTGCTATTCTAATTTCAAACAAAACAGACTTTAAACAAACAACAATCAAAAAAGACCAAGAACAATATTACATATGGTAAAGGATTCAATTCAATAAGAATACTTAACTATCCCTAAAACTGGGTATAGGAGGAACATACCTTAGCATAGTAAAAGCAATGTATGACAGACCCACAGATAATATGGTATTGAATGGGGAAAAACTAAAAGTTTTTCATCTTAGTTTCATCTTAGATCTGGAACACAAAAAGGATGTCCACTTTCACCACTGTTATTTAATATAGTACTGAATGTCTAGCTAGAGCAATTAGACAAGAGGAGGAAATTAATGGAAAATATCTAATAATTTGATTTAAAAATAGGAAAACATTTGAATAGACATTTCTCAAAAGAAGATATACAAATGACAAACAGGCCTATGAAAAAGTGCTCACTATCATTGATCATAAGAGAAATGCAAATGAAAACTACATTGAGAAATCACCTCATCACAGTTAAAATGGCTTTTATCCAAAAGTCTGGAAATAGTAAATGCTGGCAAGGATGTGGAGAAAAGGGAACTCTTGAACACTGTTGGGGAGAATGTAAATTAGTATAAACACTATGTAGAACAATTTGGAGGTTCATCAAAAAATCTAAAAATAGAGGTTCTTTATGATTCAGCCATTGCACTCCTAAGTATACACCCAAAGCAAAAGAAATCAGTACATCAAAATGATATGTGCACTCCCATGTTTATTGTGGCACTACTCACAATAGTCAAGATTTGGAAGCAACCCAAGTGTCCATGAACAGATGAATGGATAAAGAAAATGTGGTATGTATACACAATGGAGTACTATTTAGCCATAAAAAATGAGATTCTGTCATTTGCAACAACATGGATGGATGAAACTGAAGGTAATTGTGTTAAGTGAAATAAACCAGACACAGAAAGACAAACTGCACATGTTATCACTTATTCGTGGTGAGCTAAAAATTAAAACAATTGAATTCGTGGAGATAGAGAGTAGAAAGATGGTTAATAGAGGCTGGGAACGGTGGGGAACAGGGTGACAGAAAGGTGGGGATGGCTAATGGGTACAAAAAATAGAAAGAATGAATAAGACCTAATACTTAATAGTATAACAGGGAGACTATAGTCAATAATAATTTAATCATACATTTAAAAATAACTAAGAGGTATAACTGGATTATTTGTAATACAAAGGATAGATGTTTGAGGGGTTGGATACCCAATTTTCCATGATGTGATTATTATGCGTTGCATGCCTGTACCAAAATAACTCATGTACCCCATAAATATATATGCCTACTATGTACTCACAAGATTTTAAAATAAAACATATATATAAGAAAATAAATATATATGCACCCAACACAGGAGCACCCAGATTCATAAAACAAGTTCTTAGAGACCTATGAAGAGACTTAGATAACCACACAATAATAGTGAGAGACTTCAACATGTCACTGTGTTAGACAAAAGTGCCCAGTATTAGACAGATCATCAAGGCAGAAAACTAATAAAGATATTTGGGACCTGGAGTCAACACTTGGCCAAACAGACCTAACGGACATCTACAAAACTCTTCACCCCAAAACAACAAAATACACATTCTTCTCTTCTGCATATGGCACATACTCTAGAATTGACTACACAATTGGCCATAAAACAATTCTCAGCAAACTGAAGAAAGCCAAATCATACCAACTACACTCTGAGACCATAGCACAATAAAAATAAAAATCAATACTAAGTAGATTGCTCAAAACCGTAAAATTATGTGGAAATTAAACAACCTGCTTCTGAATGACTTCTGTGTAACAATGAATGAAATTAAGGCAGAAACCAAGAAATTCCTTGAAACTAATGAAAACAAAGATACAGAATACATGGGACACAGTTAAAGTCATCTTAAAAGGAAAGTTTATAGTACTATACATGCACATCAAAAAGTTAGAAAGATCTCAAGTTAACAAGCTAGCATCATATTTAATTTTTAATTTTTATTTTTCAGGGGGACAGGGAGCAGAAGACGGTGCACTCACAGTACTGCCCGGCCACATGCCCCCCTAACACCACATTTAGAGGAACTAGAAAAACAAGAGCAAACTAACTCCAAAGCTAGAGGAAGAAAAGAAATAACCAAATTAGAGCTGAATGGAATAAAACTGAGACACAAGAAACCATACAAAGATGGACAAAACCATACAAAAGATGGAGATTTGTATTTTGAAGAATAAATAAGAGTGATAGACTGCTAGCTAGAATAATAATGCATATAGATCTTAAGGGCAGAAAGACTCACACTGAGTTTTGCTTATGATTATTTGTAATCTATATACATTTTAATATTGAGTTAGCTAATATGGAAATATTAAAATGTATACAATAATACACTATAGTGAATATCTGGTACTCTTCCAAAATTGCTTTTGAGGCCAGTGAACTCATTCCTCAGTTTGTAGGCATGGTGGCTTATGCCTGCAATCCCAGCACTTTGGGAGGTCAAGGCTGGCAGATCACTTGAGGTGAGGAGTTCGAGACCAGCCTGGCCAACATAGTGAAACCCCATCTCTACAAAAACTACACAAATTAGCTGGGCATGTTGGCACACGCCTGTAGTCCCAGCTACTCAGGAAGCTAAGGCAGGAAAAGCGCTTGAACCCAGGAGGCAGAGGTTGCAGTGAGCCAAGATCCCGCCACTGCACTCTAGCCTGGGCAACAGAGCAAGCAAGACTCTGTCTCAAAAAAAAAAAAAAAAAAAAAAAAAAGAAAGAAATATTTGTTCCTGATGCTCATAGTTGTGTCTGTCATTGGAAAGTGTTCTCAGCTTCAGAACTGCTTCACTCAAGCATGATCTTTCCTAAGTGACAACAATGGCCAATCACTGTCAGTGGCCTGTTTACTACAATTTAACAAAATTCTGAGGGACAATTCCAGCTATAGCTGCAAAGTTCCCCATAGGAATCCCTAACGTTAAATTTGAAGCTGCCCCAGAGGTCAACCTTTTCCTTTGCCCAATCCTGCCTTACTCAACTCCTTATACTTCTCCAGAGCACTTTCTAACAAATTTATTGCACTTGTTTTAGGCATGTAATCCTGGGAAGCAGGGATTTGTATGCAAAAGTCTTTATTGGTGAGTGTTCTCAGTAACAATACTTTCAGGGAAATACGAGTGGAGGAAAAAGTTGAACTGTGATGTAATTGCATTAAAGCTTTATCTAATTCCAGGGAGTTCAGGGCTGAGATGGCCTTTTATAGTCTTACTGAATCAAAGCAAGGGATCTAGGCCCTTGTACCTTCACCTGGAGCACTCATGGAATGTAGGCTGCCCCTGACAAAGGCCCATAGGTTTGGGTGAGGCAGCTCTTTTCAGCAGAAGGAAAATCTTGGGAAAAGACTTCCCTTTGAGTCATCAGCAGGCAACACTCTTGGCAACTAGGTCAAAGAGTGCCTTGGTCTGGAAGGGAGGATCCAGGTAGCACACACAGTGTTGATTACAACACTTAATTCTCTGTCTCAGATTCACATTCCTGATTCCGGAAGTGGTCCTAAGAAGCAAACTCTAAAATGTAATTTTGGACCTGGCTGCTGGACAATAAAGACCCTTACTTTAAACAGATGGTGCATGGATAACAACTATTGTGCAGAAGTCAAACTCCTTTTTTTTTTTTTTTTTTTTGAGAGAGAGTCTTGCTCTGTCACCCAGGCTGGAGTGCAGTGGCGCGATCTCGGCTCATTGCAAGCTCCACCTCCTGGGGTCACACCATTCTCCTGCCTTAGCCTCCCTAGTAACTGCTGGGACTACAGGAGCCCACCGCCATGCCTGGCTAATTTTTTATATTTCTAGTAGAGACAGGGTTTCACCATGTTAGCCAAGATGGTCTCGATCTCCTGACTTCATGATCCACCTGCCTTGGCCTCCCAAAATGCTGGGATTACAGGCGCGAGCCACTGTGCCCGGCCAGAAGTCAAACTCTTTAGACTTTGACTAATGTAAACCTTCTCTGAGGGAGAATCCTAGTGAAAGGAGATGTGCTGTCTGTTGAAATATATCCACAGTAAAGGAAATGATACACATAAAAATCTGGGAGTTTGGTAGCTGTTACTAAGTACCAATGATTTGCTAAAAGAGATCAGATTGGGAAGGTTAATTACTAATTTAGACAAAATATGAAAGTCAGAGGATGTTCTTGATGTGAATTTTGTATAGCTAAAAGGCAAACGGGGCAGAAAAGCAGGCTCAGGATTTAATTTTAAAAGTAATAAAGCTTCAGAGAAAGTGTTTAGCCTGACCAGGTCTCATATGCCAATGTGAGTGCACAAATAGGGAAATGCTGAGATATTGAGACTTGAGATTGAAATACCTGGGTATATACAGCTCAAAATCTTGAACTCACACATTCCCTTAAACCTATCGGATCTGACAAAGTGGTCTACTTCCCCTTGTCAAAACATAGGCCCCCTGGAAAGAAAACAAAAACGAAACCAAACATAGCACGCCTTACATACAGATCATGCAGAAGTCTCAAATGAGGCAGGTGCCTTTATGACAATTCCTGCCCCCATCTCAAGATCTACCCTTAAAGCCTTGAATTCTGATAATGATGGATTACATGCTACAGAATATAAAATTGGAGAAGGTAGAGTTCATGTATATAGAGCACTCTCCAATTTTACAGGATTTATTGCCCCAGGAAGAACCTAGGAGATATTATCAACACATTGGTGAGATGGACTGTGGAATATTGGAAAGAGTGACAGCCCACACAAGGTGAAATAGAAATATCAGAAGTGCCATGGCACATGATGAATAAAACAATCAAAAGGTAGAAAAAATGGGTATGTCAGAATACAACAAATCAGGAAATTCCACCAGTTAACTATTTTCGTGGGAAAGGCCAGAGGAAACTCCATTCTCCAAAACAACAAGAAATACGACAGTGAAAGAAACACAAGTGTTACTGAGATGCTCAGTCATGGTTGTCTACTGAGGGTCAGGGCTGCTGGGAGGCAATATTATCAAGAGTTGTGTGCTTTGAGAGCAAAGGGGATGAAATAACAGATGCCAGGAGTTGGTACTTAACTGTCAGAAAAAGGTTTGGCAAAATTAATGGTGACGGATGGTCTTAGTCTGTTTTGTCCTGCTATAACAGAATACAACAGACTAAGTAATTTATAATAAACATAAATTTATTGGCTTATGGTTTATTGGCTTATGGTTCCAGAGTCTGGGAAATCCAAGATGGAGGAGCTGGCATTTGTGGAGGGCCTTCCTGCTGCATCCTCCCATGGCAGAAGGTGAAAGTCCAAAAGAGAGCCTGAGAGATAGCGAGCAAGAGGGGATCAAACTCAACTTCTTGTAGGGAAACCACTCCCAAAATAACAAGCCCACTCTGATGATAGTAGAATCAATCCATTTATGAGGGCAGTGCACCTGTGACCCAATCACCTCCCATTAGGCCCTACCTTCCAACACTGCTGCATTGGGGATTGAGTTTCCAACACAGAAACGTTGGGCAGCACATCCAAACTATAGCAGATGGCAAGGTTGGGGCTGCAGCCAGAGAAGCCCAGGCCTAAGAAAACTATGGAGATAACTAAGTGAACTCACAGTTCTTAGGGGCAAGATAATGGGCATTCAGAAAAGATATTATTGTTCTCCTCCGGTATATAAGCTTGGAAGTTGACATCCCACCCTAACAACAAGTGAAAAACTGAGGCCGGGCACCGTGGCTCACGCCTGTAATCCCAGCACTTTGGGAGGCCGAGGTGAGTGGATCACGAGGTCAGGAGATCGAGACCATCCTGGCTAACACGGTGAAACCCCGTCTCTACTAAAAATACAAAAAATTAGCCTGGTGTGGTAGCGGGTGCCTGTAGTCCCAGCTACTCGGGAGGCTGAGGCAAGAGAAAGGCATGAACTGGGAAGGCGGAGCTTGCAGTGAGCCGAGATGGCGCCACTGCACTCCAGCCTGAGCAACAGAGCAAGACTGTCTCAAAAAAAAAAAAAAAAAAAAAAAAAGAGAAAGAAAAAAAAAAAAAAGAACTGAACACAATGAAAAATCAGCAACTCTTTTTTAGATTTTTCAGAGAAGTGAGGTCACAGGACCTCTGCCTCTCAAATTGAAGAAACAGGTGAGCACAGAGAATCATCATCTACTGGGACAGAAGTCCATGAGCAGGAGCCACTGCAGGAATTCGTACTGGGACAGGAAACCCTAAGCTGTAATTGGCAAATTGCCTGAGGCTCAGAGTGGATAAGCTTGAGAGTTAAAAATCCCAAAAGGGTCCAGTCTAAGAAGGACCCTCACACTTTTGCAAGTTTTATTTCCAGGAGCACCATCAGGGCCTTAGAGTGAATATCAATGAAAAATTTCCTTGCCAGGGAAAGGAGAAAAAAATCAGTATGAAATAAATCATGGTTTATTTTGTTATTATCAAGACCTGCCCTTAAGGTAAACTACTTTACCAAAGTCTAAATTATTGGGATGTTATCAGAGCCTAATCAACTTGGGGAAAGTAAATACCCAATTCCAGCCTGCTCAAGCTTCCACATGATGGAAAGGAAATGGTTAACTTCCACCCCTTTAGCCTTCCACACAGGAGAAGGGAAATACCCATTTCCAGTATCTCTGAGAGGAAATACCTAACTTTAGTCAACTCTAACCATGCTGTCCCACATAAGGTGGGGTGGGGAGAGCTGAGAAGCACTAGTGAAGTTCCCTCTGCTTCAATGTGGACTCGCTTCTAAGACCCACTAAAGTTTCCTGTGGGGTGAGCTGAGGCCTCAGTTCTAACCAAGCTGTTGGTCACTTTCTCCCTCTGCCCCATCCTGCCCTCTTCACTTCTCTATATTTATTTATCTCCAAAGAGCCTTTCCTGGAAAACCTCTTAAGGCAACTTTCTGTTTTCAAGAAATTCAACCTAACACACACACACACACACACACACACAATGAAGGTACTAATTATCCACTTCTATCCATTTATCTCAGGTAAGTAGGATATGGTGCTAAGGGGGGTAAAAGTTGATGATAGACTCTGCATCGGTAAAAGTAGAAGTGAGGATTGGAAGTAATGAACTATTAGGTTTCTGTCAACACAATACTAAGTCTAGTACACTTCATTGAACTTAATGTTCATAAACTAGTTTATAAACTTTTTTCTCTGATAGAAAATTTGATATAATATAGAATGTTTCCATAAGAAATGTACCTGCCCCAAGTGATTGATCGAAGATATATGTGTGTTTTATGGCACAGGAACTGGAAATACAATATTTACAGCTCAAAATAATTCCATAACAAACCCTGAAAACACAATAAATCTGATTTCCCACCATTAATGGGTCAGTAATGTCATTCAGCTAAAAGAATCACTTTGCAATTAATTAAATTACTTGGATCACCATGTTCACTGTTTTAGCATATTCCGTAAGACCTAGGAATTCTCTTGTACTACTGATTCTCTTGTATTACTGATTACAGTGTGCGTTTTTTCTACTTTTCAGCTTATTTTCCTTTATTTATTTTGTTAAGGCTACTATCCAAGGATTTCTTCCCAATACTAAATATGTTATTCATGGTTTTCAAAACTGCCTTTTTTCAGAATGCTAAATTTTAAAAAGCAATTTATACTGTTTCTCTGATTTTGCCGCCTTTTGCGACCATTCCCAAGTTAATGACTCCACTGAGTTTGTTAATATACTTGCCATTCTCTAATCCTGCCAGCAAATAGGACTGCTGTGAATGCCGCACATGAACAGGCCTCCAGCCATGCCATCACCTTGGTTTATGAGCACAGCACTGCATGTTTAATACTAGTCAATTTAACTACAGTCCATGCATCACTTAACAACAGATACCTTCTGAGAAATGCGGTTAGGAGCTTTTGTTCTTGTGCAAATATCCCAGAATGCATTTACACAAACCTAGATGGTATAGCCTCCTACACACCTAGGCTATATGGTATAGCCTGTAGCTCCTAGGGTACAGCATGTTACTGTACAGCATGTTACTGTACTGAATACACAATTGGAACACAATGGTAAGTGTTTCTGTATCTAAACATAGGAAAGGTACAGTAAAAATACATTATGAAAGCTCTGGCTGGTCGCGGTGGCTCATGCCTGTAATCCCAGCACTTTGGGAGGCTGAGACAGGCGGATCACTTGAGGTCAGGAGATGGAGACCAGCCTGGCTAACACAGCGAAACCCTGTCTCTACTAAAAATACAAAAAAAAAATTATCCGGGCGTGGTGGTGGGCGCCCGTAGTCCCAGCTACTCGGGAGGCTGAGGCAGGAGAATGGCGTGAACCCGGGAGGCGGAGCTTGCAGGGAGCCAAGATTTCGCCACTGCACTCCAGCCTGGGCGACAGAAGGAGACTCGGTCTCAAAAAAAAAAAAAAATTAGGCAGGCATGGTGGCACGCGCCTGTAATCCCAGCTACTCCCTGGGCAACAGAGTGAGATTCTGTACACCCCCCCCACCGCCAAAAAAAAGCTCCATTATAATCCTATGGGACCACCATAGCACACGAAGTCCATCTTTGACTAAATATCAAATATCATTATGTAGTGTGTTGGCAAAATTCTGCAAGTATGCATAAACCAAGTTATTTTTGCAGAGAAATATCCACTTGAAAAAGAGAAAAAAAAATATATACATACATATATTATACACACACACATATATATATACACACACACATATATATAGTTCACATAAAAGTTATGGGGCCCAGAGGCCAGGCGTGGTGGCTCACGCCTGTAATCCCAGCACTTTGGGAGGCTGAGGCGGGTAGATCACGAGGTCAGGAGATCGAGACCATCCTGTCTAACACAGTGAAACCCTGTCTCTACCAAAAATACAAAAAAATTAGCTGGGCGTGGTTGCGGGCGCCTGTAGTCCCAACTACTCGGGAGGCTGAGACAGGGGAATGGCGTGAACCCGGGAGGCAGAGCTTGAAGTGAGCTGAGATCGCGCCACTGCACTCCAGCTTGGGCAACAGAGCGAGACTCCGTCTCAAAAAAAAAAAAAAGTTATGGGGCCCAACCAATCCCTGAAAATAAAAGGATATCCATATTTGGGGTGTTGATTTGCTAATGAAGAGATCCCATTCAAATGTGTAGTACAGTACTTGCTGATAATTTCCTGTTTTTTTTTTACAGTAAAATTGTAAAATGGCAAGTGGTAAAATGGGAAGGATAACTGAACATTGTATCAAAACAGGAAATTAATTTTTTAAATGCTATATGATTAAAAGTTTTTTATGTAATAATATTTTACATGTTGCCCGAAGATAGGAATTACTGGTTTGTTTGTTTGTTTGTTTGGTTGGTTGGTTTGGCATTTAAGGTAAGCAATGGATGTAATTGATAGATATTAGAATATTCTATCATTCCTTGGAAAAGAATGGCTGTTAGAAAATAATATAATTATGAAGGCATAATATTTTGTTACTTAAAGATAAAATATTACAGCATCCGCTATTTATATACCCCTCTATTTGCTGTAACTTAAATAATAAAATATAATAACAGGTTTATTAGATTATCTACTGTTCCCTAATAAATTATCCCCAAACAATATTCCTCCTATTACAGTTTCTTGGGTCAGGTGCCCAGGCGTAGGTTAGCCAGGCGCCTCTGGATCTCACGAGCCTGCAATCAACATTGTCAACTAGGTGTCCCATCATCTTAAGGCTAGACTGGGGGATGCTCTACTTCTAGCTTCCTCATGTGACGACTGTTGATGGCCTCGAGTCCTCATTGACTGTTGGCTGGAGAGCTCTGGTCCTTGTCACGTGGGGTCCTTGTCACTCTACTCTCCACAAGGCAACTCAAAACATGGAAACTGGCTTTTCTCATAAGCCAGTGGGAAAGCAAGAGAGGGAAAGTAAGACAGATATCACAATGTGTTCATAACCTAATCTCCAAAGTGACATCCTAGCACTCCTGCCATATTCACTAGGTCCATTACACATTTAAGAAGAGGAATTACAGAAGGGCATGAGTACCAGGAAACGAAGATTATTTGGTGCCATCTCAGGGGCTTCCCACCACAGCAGAGCATTGCCAAAAGCCATTCATTGACTCCTACATAAATCTCCTTATATATGAGAATTATCACTTAAGGCAAATGCATTTTTTTTCCTTAGGGAGAAACATGACTTTGAATTATAGCCTTAATTTGAAATTACGCTTTTTAAAAACTAAATAATCATAGGCTTTTACAGGTAATGTTGGATATACTCTTTATCAGTGAGAATAATATGTAAAACTTCAATGGCATAATAAATCTATAGTCAACGCCCTGGCAAGGTCCTCTTTAGGAAACTGTAAGGTAAAGTCCTGGTGCATCCAATCATGATCTAAAATGATAATGATGATAATTAATGACCTTCACAGAAAAGTAGCATTAATTCCATAGATAGCTGATTGTATTTTTAAAAGACAAACAAAAACCATAAATATATTTTATTGTGTAGCTATAGTGTTAAGTTCTTTGCTTAACCATGGCAACTAGGTTGATCTCCATAGTGTGTGGTTAATTGCTAGGACTGTAACCCAAGAGAACAGGACTCTTGCTTGACTACTCCACTCCTGTACCTGCTGTGGACAATCCTGGTCTAAGAGCAAGCCATAGGACCACCCTAATAATTTCCCTCCCTCCCTGTTTCACTCACTGTCAATGATATTGTTTTAGTTTAGATCCTTCCACTTCGGTCCAGCTCTGATAACTAGTCTCCCTGTCATGAGTCTCTCAAACATCCACAAATCTACCCAGTAGACCACAGCCACAATGCTCATGCTACTCTCCTATTTAACACCCTTCATCAGTTTCCTGATGGTTACAGATAAATCCCAAGGCTATTTTAATGATGTGCAGACCCTGCCTCTTTTTCTTAAACTCATCGTTAATTCTTTTTATTATTATCATTATTATTATTATTATTACTATACTTTAAGTTTTAGGGTACATGTGCACAATGTGCCGGTTAGTTACATATGTATACATGTGCCATGCTGCTGTGCTGCACCCATTAACTCGTCATTTAGCATTAGGTATATCTCCTAATGCTATCCCTTCCCCCTCCCCCCACCCCACAACAGTCCCTAGAGTGTGATGTTCCCCTTCCTGTGTCCATGTGTTCTCATTGTTCAGTTCCCATCTATGAGTGAGAACATGCGGTGTTTGATTTTTTGTCCTTGCGATAGTTTACTGAGCATGATGATTTCCAATTTCATCTATGTCCCTATAAAGGACATGAATTCATCATTTTTTATGGCTGCATAGTATTCCATGGTGTATATGTGCCACATTTTCTTAATCCAGTCTATCATTGTTGGACATTTGGGTTGGTTCCAAGTCTTTGCTATTGTGAATAGTGCCGCAATAAACATACGTGTGCATGTGTCTTTATAGCAGCATGATTTATAGTCCTTTGGGTATATACCCAGTAATGGGATGGCTGGGTCAAATGGTATTTCTAGTTCTAGATCCCTGAGGAATCGCCACACTGACTTCCAAAATGGTTGAACTTCCAAAATGGTTTACAGTCCCACCAACAGTGTAAAGGTGTTTCTATTTCTCCACATCCTCTCCAGCACCTGTTGTTTCCTGACTTTTTAATGATTGCCATTCTAACTGGTGTAAGGTGGTATCTCATTGTGGTTTTGATTTGCATTTCTCTGATGGCCAGTGATGATGAGCATTTTTTCATGTGTCTTTTGGCTGCATGAATGTCTTCTTTTGGGAAGTGTCTGTTCATATCCTTTGCCCACTTTTTGATGGGGTGGTTTGTTTTTTTCTTGTAAATTTGTTTGAGTTCATTGTAGATTCTGGATATTAGCCCTTTGTCAGATGAGTAGGTTGCAAAAATTTTCTCCAATTTTGTAGGTTGCCTGTTCACTCTGATGGTAGTTTCTTTTGCTGTGCAGAAGCTCTTTAGTTTAATTAGATCCCATTTGTCAATTTTGGCTTTTGTTGCCATTGCTTTTGGTGTTTTAGACATGAAGTCCTTGCCCATGCCTATGTCCTGAATGGTATTGCCTAGGTTTTCTTCTAGGGTTTTTATGGTTTTAGGTCTAACGTTTAAGTTTTTAATCCATCTTGAATTAATTTTTGTATAAGGTGTAAGGAAGGGATCCAGTTTCAGCTTTCTACGTATGGCTAGCCAGTTTTCCCAGCATCATTTATTAAACAGGGAATCCTTTCCCCATTGCTTGTTTTTCTCTGGTTTGTCAAAGATCAGATAGTTGTAGATATGCGGCATTATTTCTGAGGGCTCTGTTCTGTTCCATTGATCTGTATCTCTGTTTTGGTACCAGTACCATGCTGTTTTGGTTACTGTAGCCTTGTAGTATAGTTTGAAGTCAGGTAGCATGATGCCTCCAGCTTTTTTTTTTTTGGCTTAGGATTAACTTGGCAATGCAGGCTCTTTTTTGGTTCCATATGAACTTTAAAGTAGTTTTTTCCAATTCTGTGAAGAAAGTCATTGGTAGCTTGATGGGGATGGCATTGAATCTATAAATTACCTTGGGCAGTATGGCCATTTTCACGATATTGATTCTTCCTACCCATGAGCATGGAATGTTCTTCCATTTGTTTGTGTCTTCTTTTATTTCATTGAGCAGTGGTTTGTAGTTCTCCTTGAAGAGGTCCTTCACGTCCCTTGTAAGTTGGATTCCTAAGTATTTTATTCTCTTTGAAGCAATTGTGAGTGGGAGTTCACTCATGATTTGGCTCTCTGTCTGTTATTGGTGTATAAGAATGCTTGTGATTTTTGCACATTGATTTTGTATCCTGAGACTTTGCTGAAGTTGCTTATCAGCTTAAGGAGATTTTGGGCTGAGATGATGGGGTTTTCTAGATATACAATCATGTCATCTGCAAACAGGGACAATTTGACTTCATCTTTTCCTAATTGAATACCCTTTATTTCCTTCTCCTGTCTAATTGCCCTGGCCAGAACTTCCAACACTGTGTTGAATAGGAGTGGAGAGAGAGGGCATCCCTGTCTTGTGCCAGTTTTCAAAGGGAATGCTTCCAGTTTTTGCCCATTCAGTATGATATTGGCTGTGGGTTTGTCATGGATAGCTCTTATTATTTTGAGATACGTCCCATCAATACCTAATTTATTGAGAGTTTTTAGCATGAAGGGGTGTTGAATTTTGTCAAAGGCCTTTTCTGCATCTATTGAGATAATCATGTGGTTTTTGTCTTTGGTTCTGTTTATATGCTGGATTACATTTATTGATTTGCGTATATTGAGCCACCTTGCATTCCAGGGATGAAGCCCACTTAATCATGGGGGATAACCTTTTTGATGTGCTGCTGGATTTGGTTTTCCAGTATTTTATTGAGGAATTTCGCATCAATGTTCCTCAAAGATATTGGTCTAAAATTCTCTTTTTTGGTTGTGTCTCTGCCCGGTTTTGGTATCAGGATGATACTGGCCTCATAAAATGAGTTAGGGAGAATTCCCTCTTTTTCTATTGATTGGAATAGTTTCAGAAGGAATGGTACCAGTTCCTCCTTGTACCTCTGGTAGGATTCGGCTGTGAATCCATCTGGTCCTGGACTCTTTTTGGTTGGTAAGCTATTGATTATTGCTACAATTTCAGCTCCTGTTATTGGTCTATTCAGAGATTCAACTTCTTCCTGGTTTAGTCTTGGGAGAGTGTATGTGTCGAGGAATGTATCCATTTCTTCTAGATTTTCTAGTTTATTTGCGTAGAGGTGTTTATAGTATTCTCTGATGGTAGTTTGTATTTCTGTGGGATCGGTGGTGATATCCCCTTTATCATTTTTTATTGCATCTATTTGATTCTTCTCTCTTTTTTTCTTTATTAGTCTTGCTAGCGGTCTATCAATTTTGTTGATCCTTTCAAAAAACCAGCTCCTGGATTCATTAATTTTTTGAAGAGTTTTTTGTGTCTCTATTTCCTTCAGTTCTGCTCTGATTTTAGTTATTTCTTGCCTTCTGCTAGCTTTTGAATGTGTTTGCTCTTGCTTTTGTAGTTCTTTTAATTGTGATGTTAGGGTGTCAATTTTGGATCTTTCCTGCTTTCTGCTGTGGGCATTTAGTGCTATAAATTTTCCTCTACACACTGCTTTGAATGTGTCCCAGAGATTCTGGTATGTTGTGTCTTTGTTCTCGTTGGTTTCAAAGAACATCTTTATTTCTGCCTTCATTTCGTTATGTACCCAGTAGTATTCAGGAGCAGGTTGTTCAGTTTCCATGTATTTGAGCGGTTTTGAGTGAGTTTCTTAATCCTGAGTTCTAGTTTGATTGCACTGTGGTCTGAGAGACAGTTTGTTATAATTTCTGTTCTTCTACATTTGCTGAGGAGAGCTTTACTTCCAACTATGTGGTCAATTTTGGAATAGGTGTGGTGCTGAAAAAAATGTATATTCTGTTGATTTGGGGTGGAGAGTTCTGTAGATGTCTATTAAGTCCACTTGGTGCAGAGCTGAGTACAATTCCTGGGTATCCTTGTTAACTTTCTGTCTCGTTGATCTGTCTAATGTTGACAGTGGGGTGTTAAAGTCTCCCATTATTATTGTGTGGGAGTCTAAGTCTCTTTATAGGTCACTCAGGACTTGCTTTATGAATCTGGGTGCTCCTGTATTGGGTGCATATATATTTAGGATAGTTAGCTCTTCTTGTTGAATTGATCCCTTTACCATTATGTAATGGCCTTCTTTGTCTCTTTTGATCTTTGTTGGTTTAAAGTCTGTTTTATCAGAGGCTAGGATTGCAACCCCTGCCTTTTTTTGTTTTCCATTTGCTTGGTAGATCTTCCTCCATCCTTTTATTTTGAGCCTATGTGTGTCTCTGCATGTGAGATGGGTTTCCTGAATACAGCACACTGATGGGTCTTGACTCTTTATCCAATTTGCCAGTCTGTGTCTTTTAATTGGAGCATTTAGTCCATTTACATTTAAAGTTAATATTGTTATGTGTGAATTTGATCCTGTCATTATGATGTTAGCTGGTTATTTTGCTCATTAGTTGATGCAGTTTCTTCCTAATCTCCATGGTCTTTACATTTTGGCATGATTTTGCAGCAGGTTGTACTGGTTGTGCCTTTCCATGTTTAGTGCTTCCTTCAGGAGCTCTTTTAGGGCAGGCCTGGTGGTGACAAAATCTCTCAGCATTTGTTTGTCTGTAAAGTATTGAACTTCTCTTACGAAACTCAGTTTGGCTGGATATGAAATTTTGGGATATGAAATTCTTTTCTTTAGGAATGTTGAATATTGGCCCTCACTCTCTTCTGGCTTGTAGAGTTTCTGCCGAGAGATCCGCTGTTAATCTGATGGGCTTCCCTTTGTGGGTAACCCGACCTTTCTCTCTGGCTGCCCTTAACATTTTTTCCTTTATTTCAACTTTGGTGAATCTGACAATTATGTGTCTTGGAGTTGCTCTTCTCGAGGAGTGCTCTGCTTTTTAGAGTTTCCAGTTTTTCTGCTCTGTTTTTTCCCCATCTTTGTGGTTTTATCTACTTTTGGTCTTTGATGATGGTGATGTACAGATGGGTTTTTGGTGTGGATGTCCTTTCTGTTTGTTAGTTTTCCTTGTAACAGGCAGGAACCTCAGCTGCAGGTCTGTTGGAGTTTGCTAGAAGTCCACTCCAGATCCTGTTTGCCTGGGTATCAGCAGCGGTGTCTGCAGAACCGCAGATTTTCGTGATCCGCGAATGCTGCTGTCTGATCGTTCCTCTGGAAGTTTTGTCTCAGAGGAGTACCCGGCCATGTGAGGTGTCAGTCTGCCCCTACTGGGGGGTGCCTCCCATTTAGGCTGCTCGGGGGCCAGGGGTCAGGGACCCACTTGAGGAGGCAGTCTGCCCGTTCTCAGATCTTCAGCTGCGTGCTGGGAGAACCACTGCTCTCCTCAAAGCTGTCAGACAGGGACATTTAAGTCTGCAGAGGTTACTGCTGTCTTTTTGTTTGTCTGTGCCCTGCTCCCAGAGGTGGAGCCTACAGAGGCAGGCAGGCCTCCTTGAGCTGTGGTGGGCTCCACCCAGTTCGAGCTTCCGGGCTGCTTTGTTTACCTAAGCGAGCCTGGGCAATGGCGGGTGCCCCTCCCCCAGACTTGCTGCCGCCTTGCAGTTTGATCTCAGACTGCACTTTGGGAGACCGAAGCAGGCGAATCACCTGAGGTGAGGAGTTTGAGACCAGCCTGGCCAACATGGCAAAAACCCAGCTCTACTAAAAATACAAAAATTAGCTGGGTGTGGTGGTTTCCCTGTAATTCCAGCTACTCGGGAGGCTGAGGCAGGAGAACTGCTTCAATTTGGGAAGCAGAGGTTGCAGTGAACCGAGATCGCACCACTGCACTCCACCCTGGGTGACACAGCAAGCCTCTGTCTAAAAAACAAAAACAAATAATTAGACAAAAAAACCCTCAACAATAAATCACTCTGATTCTTTTGTACTTCTGTAAACTTCCTAAGGACAGATACCCTATGGTATTTTCTGAGCCCAGCACATAGTAGGCACTTCATTTCTGAATCCATGGAAATGTCATCACATCTCTAAGCAGCTTTCTGTCCTGAATCAGGAGCATAATAATTAGTTTGGAAAATTTTGTAGTTTTC